>NC_000007.14:43573575-43876605 GCF_000001405.40 Homo sapiens | reverse complement strand
CACCCGTGTGGGGCTGTGCTCTGGTGCCTGAGAATGGCTGGTGCCCAATCGACATGAGAAGACGAGGAAAAGACAGGGTTTGGAGTCTCCTCAACAGTGTTAAAAGAGGAAGTGACCTCACAGACCAGCTCAGAGATGTTACCAAGAATATCACAGCCCCCAGGGTAGGGAGACAAGCAGCAGTTTGTTCTGTCTCAGCTCCTGTCAAGGATCCTGCGGGGTGGGCCCTCTGTATAGCTGCTCTCTGTCACTGGCCCCTGGAGTGGGAGCAGCGTCCTTAGTCACTGCAGGCCCAGGCGGGCAGGTGGTCCCAGGACAGAGGTGGGGAAGTTGTCCTGAGGAAGCAGAAGTAGGCCTTGCTCCCGCCCAACCCAAGGGCCTCCAGTGGACCAGCATTCAAGATGTGAGTGCCCGTGGTGTGCAAGGCACTCCCATGGCACCGTATTTATTGACTGATCTGTGAAGGCTTCCCTGACCCCTGCCCAGGAAGAGTTCACTGGTCGCTCTGTTGTGCCCCACAGCACTTTGTTATACCTCTGCCACACACTTCACGCAGCGCGTTGTAACTCATGTGTTTACATGTCTGTCCCCCCAGACTGTGAGCTCCTTGAGGGCAGGGACTGTACATTCTCCAGCTCTGTGTCCCCAGGGCCTGGCACATTGTAGACGCTTAATAAATGTCTGTTAAATGAATGAGTGCACAAGTGATGGTAATGGGCAGGTTCTGCCTCTCTGTGCCTTAATTCTCCTGTTTCTCAAAGAGGATAGCAGCATCTGTCTGAGGAGGGTGTACGGTACAGGCAGTATCTGGAATGGTAGATAGCACAGAGATGCACCACTTAAAAAAGCCATCCTGTTCCCTCTCTTTAAGGCAGGAGCCATTCTTCAGGCTGTTACTGGGGATTAAAACTAAATACCTTCACAGTAACTCTGAGGTCTTTCCACTGTCACCCCATTTCACAGTTGAGGAAAAGGAAGCCTAGAGCAGGTAATCCCCTGCCCCAGAGCTTACACCTGGATGGGCAGAGCTGGAGCGGATGAAGGGTGGTGCTGTCACGCCCAGCCCTGCATCTCTTCCTCTCATCCTCTCCAGACTCCCATGGCTTCTGGGCTCACCCCTGGGCAGCCATGTCAGTGCCAGCGCCTCCTCTTACATCCTCCCCGACCTCATCCACAGCCCACTTGCCACCATTCGAACCAGAGGCTTGGCCAAGGACTTGGTAGTTCTGCCCTGTCAGTTTTCCCGCTGGAGTCCTTGCCTGTGCTGGCCCTTCCCAGAGGCCAGTGTCACCTCACTGGGCCTCAGAACCCCACCTGAGCCCTTTCACCAGCTCTAGGAAGCTCTGCTTGATCCTCTGGGCCTTGCTTAGACCTTGGAGCCTCTTTCTCTTTGTGTTTCTTGACTTCAGAGAAACCAGGCCCTTCCCCAAGAGCTCCTACCATGTTTCTTGTCCTCCTTTCACTAGACACAGCAAGGGAGCCTTTAGCTCTCGGGAGCTCACCAGCCTTCTAGACTGGAATCCTTTCTTGAACAAAAGGCTTCCTGGTCCCTCTTCTGGAGATGCCTGGCAGGCTGCCTGCTGTGGATTTCTGGATTCCCCAGATGCTCCACCTGCTGCTCCCGGGACATCCAAACTGTTGCCTCCTGCGTTCCAGGAGCCTGGTTCTCTGCAAACCTGGTCTCTTAGTAATAAGTTTAGGAAAACCTTTCCCTTTTTCATTTTCCTGCTCTGTTGCCTGGGCTGGAATGCAGTGGCGCGATCTCACTGCAACCTCCACCTCCTGGGTTCCAGTGATTCTCAGCCTCCCAAGTAGCTGGGACTACAGGCGCCCACCATCACAAAAATACAAATAATTTTTGTATTTTTAGTACAGACAGGGTTTCACCACGTTGGCCAGGCTGGTCTCACACTTCTGGCCTCAAGTGATCCACCTGCCTCAGCCTCCCAAAGTGCTGGGATTACAGGAGTGAGCCACCGTACCCAGCCTCCTCCCACCCTTTTTGAAGGGTTGATGTTTCAAGTCTGTGAACTGTGGATGGGCCTTGCCTTTAGCCCTCCAGTCAGTGCTGCTCTTAGGATTCCAATGAACACAACACCCAGGACTTGCCTTTCATATCTGGAGCTCAAAATGCTCACCTTCAGGTCTGAGAAGCCCCAGAATTTGCCATGGGGCTACTGGACGGTCATGTCCTTGGAGCCAAGCTTAGTAGAGAGAGAGCCACCCAGAAAGGTGGACAGGGCGGCAGGCTGCTCACCAGAGCATGGCCGTGTGCTCACAAGGGGTCCTGTTTGATGAAAGTGTCAAACCAAGCAAGTACCATCTTGGAGGAAATGGGCCTGAAGAGTGCTTGGGACAAGGAACAAGCGTGTCTTCGCCTCTCTTGTGAGATGAGGTGTAGCTTGCTTCAGCACATTGGATGTCCGGCCTGGTTTTGAACCTCAGCCTTACTTCCTACTAATTATATGACCCTTTAGCAAAGTTACTTGGCTTCTCCAAGCCTTAGTTCCCCCTACTAGCGCCTGTGTAGGAATGGAAGGTGCTTATACAGTGCCTGCCCTGTGGTGGAAAAGCCAGTCTGTGCATGAGGTAAGTGAGGCACCCATCTCTGTGTCTACACCATTCTGCACACCCATGAGGTTTGTGGAGAGGAAACTGCCTTCTGCATCAGCCTCAAACATTTTAACATGTCAGATCAGGATTCATCTTTTAATCAATCAATGGTACCTTAAGATAATTTGCAGCCAGTTTTCCTTCTTAATGGTATGTAAAACAGCATCTTCTCATCGATACTATCTTAATTTACTGAAACAGCACCTAGCAGAACTGGTGGTGGTCTGCAGTTTATACAATATAAACCTGATCTGGTAACTACCCCAACTCCTCAGGTGTGGTGTATTAGCCCAGTAAAAGGGAAAATCCTCTTTCTGAGTCACTAATAAAATAATTTGGCCATAAACCTATCCTGATTTCTTCTAAGACTCCAACAAAATTTCACCAGAGTGCAGCTTTATGAGCACTGATGAGTCAGGGCTGTACAAGAGCCAAGATGACCTTGGTCCTGGTCTCCTGTCATTTCGTCAACCACACCCTCGCCCCGCCACATACACACTTTGGAGGCCATGGTTTCTTCCATGCTGCTGTCTGCCTGGGGGCCCCTTCTGCCTGTCTCTGGCCCTGGTTGACTGGCGGGCACATCTCTCAGAACAGCCTCTGGTGCCAGTCGCACCTCCATTTGTGCCCACCCAAGGGTTCAGAGGCCTTTCTGTGCCCTTCTTGGTCCTTAGCACATTTTCATTGTCTCCTCATCTGAGCCCATTATATCTAGATCTAGCAGTTTCTGGGAGCCAGGGAGTGGCAGTCTCAGGGGCTGGAGCTCATGAGCCCATCCCTCGGTCTTCTCTTTCTTGAGTCCGCACCCCCTCTATCCTAAGCACCAGTTTGGCTTCTTCAGGTTCTGACTTTTAGCCCAGGGTTCTGGTGTGGCACTGGGCATTTCTAATTGCCCATAGCTCTGATAACAGGGGAGTGGATTCCTTGGGACCGCAAAGCTGATGTCAGTAATTATAGCTGGGGACCTCACCCACCAAACCCAGCCCTTGTGCCTCACCAGAAGGAGAACAGAGGTGGGGGGATGGAGCAGGAGCTCACAGGGAAAACGGCTGAGCTGTCTTGGCAATCTGGTTTGACACGCCTCTCTGCTTTACTCATAGGGTTTCAGTTGTTTGACCTATTTCTCAGAATAGAGCTGAGAGCCTCTGGGATTTTTCCTAGTGAACGAGTTATTAGGAAAAAAAGAATCACAAGGAATAATGTAAAAACCATAGGTTTACAAAGTGTAAAGTGTCAGCAGTTCTGAGTTAGGATAAGTCAGCTGTAAAGAGAACCACCATGAGTGGAGTGATATCGGCTCACCCTGCAGCCAACAGGAAGGGAGATGTCACCCCACCGCCCCCAGGCTGGATTCTGAAACTCTTCAGGCTCTGGAAGTACAAGGGGGCTGACAGCTCCCTTTTACACAGTGTCTCTCCATGGCCCAGCCAGTGCTGTATCCCCTGAGCACTCTGGGTGAGCCCATGGTGGCTGTGCTGCACCCAACTGGACAGATCATCTCAAAGAAGTCCTGACCTCCCAGCAGACCCCTCCTCCCTTCTTCTGCCCTTGTGACCAAGAGTGGTGGGCGTGGACTATGGCTATGTTCCTTAGAGAGCTGCCATAATCTTCCAGGGGCATCCAACAGCACTCTCCCCGAAAGGGGGCTCTGCAAATACACATTTTGGGAGTCTCCCAAATAAACTGAGTGAGTTCAGGACACTGGTTCTCAGCCCCGACTGCAAATTGAAATCATCTAAGGGGCATTTTAAAAGTGTGAGTGCCTGCCCTCTCCCCACAGAGGTGGTGTGGAACCCAGGGGGCTCTGTCATGCAATTGCAAATCACTGCTTTGAGAGCATAGGAGCAACTTCTGGTTCTTGGTTATTATGTACAGAACAAAGGCTCATGTCAGAGAAAAAGCAGTTTTACATCCCTGTCTCTGCATTAGGCTCCAGGAAGGGTGCAGATGGGTCTTTCACATGGGGTCATATGCTCCTGGCCTTTCCATGTCCAGGCAGTCCTTGAGGGCCACTTGGGAGCTGTCTGCAGCAAGCCACAGAAACCCAGGCCATTCCCTGATCCTAACATGGTCTGAACCCTCACCCCCAGGAAGTGATACTGAAAGAGCACATGCTTTGGAGCAAAAAGGCCTGCTACCATTTACTACTTCTGTAACCTCAGGTGAGTCTGTGAGCCTCCATCTTCTGCTCTGTGAAGCCTGGAAATACTGCCTCCTTTATGGAATTAATAGGAGAAGGAAAGTGCATCAAAACAACAACAAATGGAAGTTACAGAAAAATAAAACATCCCCAGTCAGATTTTTCTGCTGATTATTTAAAACAATATAACATTCATACTGATGTATAAAAGTCATTTTAAGTAATTTTAATCATGTAAAGACCGACACGTCCCCTTTCCCCCAATCACAGTATAAACAAAGCTAATAAAGGATAGATAACAAGATATTTGAACCCCAGAAATGTCTGCCACTGAAATGGCCATTGTGATGCTTGGAAAGATCTAGATCGGTTTGGAATTCCAGAGAGAGATCTCAGGCATAAGGGAGAATGGCTTGAATAGAGGAAAGCATAAATTTGATCATTTGATTGCCTACTGCTTTATGGGCTAAACTTGATTCCCAACCACAGCCTTCGTGGTGTGGCCCCTGCCCACCTTGGGCCCCAATAGGTGTTGTGCCATTGCCACCTCTGCCTCTGATCAGCCCAAGGATCTTGTTTCCCTTTCTCCTTCCCCTTTCCTCTGATTAGGGTGGTGTTGCTATGAGTTCTCACAGAACCCTCAATAGCTGGCTCATCTCCCTAACGGGATATGTGGCTATCAGGGACTCGTTAAAAACAACAACAAAACCCACAACTGCTCTCTCCCTCTGCCAGGCACATCATACTGTACTTCTCACAACCACCATTATTGTCCCCAGTTTACAGATGAGAGAAACCGAGGCTCAGAAGGTTCAGTCACTTGTCCAAATTACACAGCCAGGAAGCATTGGGTCCACGATTTGGACTCAGGCAATTCAGATGCCACATCCCATGTTCCTCACCACCTTGGAGCAAATTAATGAAACTTAACAATTATAAAATTATTGAACATTATGAAAACTTTAAAAAATAATTGTCAGTTGAAAAGGATTTCTTAGGAAATGTTGAAAGTTCTTACATTTGCAAAGTATGCATTGGAGGGCACCTCATCCCTGTTCTGTCCCTTTATTCAATATGCATAACAGTTGGGGGCCGCAGTTCCTAAAAAGTAAGAATAAAACATTTCTGGTGAAGTGGACATGGAAGACCTTGTCCTTTTATTACGGGTTTTTTGAGAACCCACCTTCATGTAATCAGAGGAATCTTGGTCATGGGAAATGGGCTGGACTGAAGTCAAGAGACTTGTGTCTTGGTCCCTCTTTCCCTCTTCTCAGTGTGGTCATGGGCAACTCATTTCCACCGTTCTTCCATTTCCCCTTCCCATGGATCATAATCCAGTCCTCCCCCTGACAGGAAACCGCAGCAGTATGCAAGTACTGTACCATTAAGGGGAATGATGTAGACCCAGAACGGCCAAAACATTGGCAATTTCACATCACTCAACCAAACACAACCCATCATTGATTAAATATTCTCTTGATCCTAATAGCTCTATAAGGTAGTACTATTATTAAGGCCCATTTTATAGATAATAGAACTGAGTCTTAACTGTACAAAGATTGTTATACATGGGTCTGACTCCAGAGCCCGTGTTTTTTCCATGACCGTGGTGACTTCTAAAATAAAATATCCCGCGTTGCTATTTTTCCGTTTGACATTAATAATTACTGGATACCAATAATAGTGGCGACGCACTGGTTTCAGCATTACAGGCCCTGCGATATTCTCACGAATCTCCTTGCCCTCCGGCCCCTTCCCCGTACTTAAAATTTTCCTTCCTCAGGGGCCAGTCACCACTGTGGTCACATGTGGCAAACCCATTCTTGCATAACTGCGTAAGTCATCCTTGAAGAATTGGGTGACGTTTTAACCAAAATATGTTTCTTCTTTATTTGTGGATAAAAGTCTGGAGGGTTTTTCTGTTTTGTTTTTCTACGAATATTATTTGGAGGCATAACTAGGACCTGGGGAAACGCTTGGCTCCTCTTCGAGCCCCGAGGGTGCAGGTTGGGCAGGGCGGGCTCCGGTGGGCCGCACACCCATCACCCGTACTAGCGTGAGGTTGTCGAAGAGAAAATCTCACGTTTCGCATCCTCAAATTTCCGGATCTGAAACCCTATGCAAGCAGCAACCGCGGGAGAGCGAACAGCGGCGGGATGAGCATTCACAAGGCTGAGCATTCACAGGGCTGCGGGGAAGGCGGGAGTAACAGCTAGCAGCATACCGCGGCCCCGCCCCGCAGAGGCCCTGCCCCGCCCCCGCCAGAGTACAGAGTACGAGCTCCGACTTGGTCTCGTCCGCGGTCGTCCCCACCCCTCAGCGCGCTGTGGTACGTCCCGCGCTCCGCTTGGCCCAAGATGGCGGCCTCCGTGTGCAGCGGGTTGCTGGGGCCACGGGTGAGTGGGGCGACTCGGCAGGTCCCTGCGAGTCGGAGGTGGGGTCCCTAGTTTCCGCCTCACGCGCCCTCCCTCCACAGGTGCTGTCCTGGAGCCGAGAGCTGCCTTGCGCTTGGCGCGCCCTGCACACCTCCCCGGTCTGCGCCAAGGTGAGCACCGCCGGGGCAGGGGCCTGGGGGCCTGGGGGCCGGGGGGCCGGGGGCCGGGGAAGCCGTGCGGGCTGAAGGGGGCGTGTCGCTGGGGTCCGAGGCGGGGCTAGGGTCGGGGCTTAGGGATCAGGGGATTGGGGCCGGGGAACAGTGCCAGCTGACTGGGGGGACATGGCGCGAAGTAGGGGTCTGGATCGGGGATCTCGTGGAGTCACGGCCCCTTTTGCTCCTAGAACCGGGCGGCCCGAGTACGCGTAAGCAAGGGGGACAAGCCGGTGACCTACGAGGAGGCACACGCGCCGCACTACATCGCCCACCGTAAAGGCTGGCTGTCGCTGCACACAGGTGAGCGGACCCCAGGCCTCCAAAAGGAGCACTCAATCCGACTGTCATGTAAACAAAATGAACACGTGTCACAGGTTTTCTTTAACTCAGGAAATAATGCTAGGGTCAGAAATCTATGAAACCAACTCAAGGGAGACATAAAAAAGCAGAGATATATATAGATCAGGATGTTGAAACAAATTTGAAGATGGATGCAAAACTGACTTTTTCCATGGCAGGCAGGGACTCAATTGATCCTCCACTGAACAGAAATTATTTGCATGTCTACAGACAAGAATTATTTTGCATTCCTGTCAGTTATCTGTAATTTACAGAGCTGTAAAATAGCTCAGAGTCAAGGAAAGGAGTGAAACCGTTGCAGAATCTGATAACCCTGAACAGTGTGCTCTAAGGAATGCAGTTTTCCACTAAAGCACAAATTTTTCTCTGTAAATATATACAGACAACCCTCGTTATTCATGAATTCCATATTTTCAGATTCTTCTACTGACTAAAATTTATTTGTAAGCCCCAAATCAACACTCTGGGCACTCTCAAGGTCACTCTGAGATGTGGGTGGAGCTGCCACCCCAGGTGCATGTCCCGAGCTGAGGTCGACAAGGCTCTGCCTAGTTTCAGCTCTCGTACTGTAAAAGGTGTCCTTTTTATGGTCTAGAATCTTTTTTTTTTAATTTGCATTTTCGTGCTTTTTGTTAGTGATTTTGCTGTTTAAAATGGCCTTGCAATGCTGAAGTGCTATCTAGTGTTCCTAAGCGGGAGAAGGCTGTGACGTGCCTTAGGGAGAACATACATGTATTAGAGAATCTTTCTTCAGTCATGAGTTGCTCTTGGCCCTGAATTCAATGTTAGTGAATCTACCATATATATTAAACAAGGTGTCTTTAAACAGAAACACAAAGGAAACTAGGTTATGTATTGATTTGTTAACAAAAATACGGTGCCCAGAGGCTGAAAGGAATCTAACCCTGTATTTCACCTAGGAGCAATGGTTCAGTATTCACTAAGTCAGTGTTGGCAGTGACTTTATAGAATATAACTATTGTGAACAATTGATAACCAACTGTGCTTTGTTTAGTACAGGGGTTCTTGGATGTTTGAGATGCATCTAGAGAACTTACTTAAAATACAGATGCTTGCCTGGCACGGTGGCTCACGCCTGTAATCCCAGCACTTTGGGAGGCCGAGGAGGGTGGATCCTGAGGTCAGGAGTTCAATACCAACCTGGCCAAGATGGTGAAACCCCATCTCTACTAAAAATACAAAAAAATTAGCTGGGCGTAGTGGCGGGCGCCTGCAATCCCAGCTATTCAGGAGGCTGAGGCAGAGAATTGTTTGAACCCAAGAGGCGGAGGTTGCAGTGAGCCGAGATCACGCCACTGCACTCCAGCCTGGACGACAGAGTGAGACTCCATCTCAAAAAAAAAAAAAAAAAAAAAAAAAAAGAGAGAGAGATGCTTGTCTCCCACTCTTTCAGGTTCTGGTCTGAGGTTTGGATGTAGGTGTGCAGACTCTTAGTGGACATTGTAAGGGCTGCAGGGGATCCACAGTTCACACTGAGGAACCCACTGGTGGAAGCCCTGGGCCTAGCTCATGTCCCTAATCTCAAAAATAGCTGGTAGCCTCATCTTTCTGGCCCATGGGATGACCAGTGTTTTTATAAGGCAGCCAAGAAAGCAGGAAAGGGGCTAGATGTGGTGGCATCATCTTGAGTTTTGTACCCTGACTCAGGCCTCCATCTTCCTTTTTGTAAAATAAGGATAATGATAATACCTACTAAACTGAATTGGCTTGGGAATTAATGACATAACATACTTTGAACTTTAAAGTGTTATTTTTCTTATTCCATTAGCAGAAGAAAAGAGAAGAGGCTGGGGGTGAAGGGTGGGATTGTGCTCAGCGCTTTTGGATGTTGACTCTGGAGTTATGGCAGGGCCCTGGGGCAATGAGGCTGATTCTTCTATTATGCCCTTCCCTCTTCAGGTAACCTGGATGGAGAGGACCATGCCGCAGAGCGAACGGTGGAGGATGTTTTCCTTCGCAAGTTCATGTGGGGTACCTTCCCAGGCTGCCTGGCTGACCAGCTGGTTTTAAAGCGCCGGGGTAACCAGTTGGAGATCTGTGCCGTGGTCCTGAGGCAGTTGTCTCCACACAAGTACTACTTCCTCGTGGGCTACAGTGAAACTTTGCTGTCCTACTTTTACAAATGTCCTGTGCGACTCCACCTCCAAACTGTGCCCTCAAAGGTTGTGTATAAGTACCTCTAGAACAATCCCCTTTTTTCCATCAAGCTGTAGCCTGCAGAGAATGGAAACGTGGGAAAGGAATGGTATGTGGGGGAAATGCATCCCCTCAGAGGACTGAGGCATAGTCTCTCATCTGCTATTGAATAAAGACCTTCTATCTTGTCTTGCCTCTCTGTTTTTACTCTTGGATGAGGGAACTAGAGTAGCGTTTCTTTGACGATGCTCCAGGGTTTGCAGGAAGGCTGACGCCAGTTGTTTGAAGTTTAATTCATAGCTACAGTTTGGTGAGTACCTGTGCCAATCAATCACTCTGTCAAGCACTTTGCCTAAAAGTTCTTTGTTTTTTCTCAAGATGGAAAGACCCATTCAGTGTTAGTTTTTAAGAATCAAAACAGGCTGGGCACGGTGGCTCACGCCTGTAATCCCAGCACTTTGGGAGGCCGAGATGGGCAGATCACGAGGTTAGGAGATTGAGACCATCCTGGCTAACAAGGTGAAACCCCGTCTCTATTAAAAATACAAAAAATTAGCTGGGCATGGTGGCGGGCGTCTGTAGTCCCAGCTATTCGGGAGGCTGAGGCAGGAGAATGGTGCGAACTCGAGAGGCGGAGCTTGCAGTGAGCTGAGATCGCGCCACTGCACTCCAGCCTGGGTGACAGAGCAAGACTCCATCTCAAAAAAAAAAAAACAATATGAACATATATCAAATTGACCATGAAGCTTTCTTATAATTCCACTCCAGAGAGAACTACTGTGAACAGCTTTTATATTTTATTCCCAGATGTACTTTTTTCAAGGAATACTTTTATGCACACTCATCGATACTAAACTCTTATCGAGTGCCTCCTCCGGCCCAAGCACTCTTCTAACTGCCTGGGACCCATTAGTGAGCAAAACATTTCATTCCAAGATCACTGTCTTTGTGACACTCACATCCTAGTGAAAGGGCAGGGAGCGTGAGGCAGCATTAAATGGTCCAAGCACGTGAAGGAGGAAGACATGCAGATAAATGGAGGAAGAGCATTTCAGAAAGTTGCATTCACAACAGCCAGCACCTGGTGCTAGGAAGTAGGGCAGAGGTTGCTGATCCTGACCTTGACTCTCATCTTGATCATGTCTCTGATATCTTTAACCTGACCCTGAGCCTCAGCCCAACACACCCTTACCCTGAACTTGATAATGGCCCTGACTCTAACCGTGACCCTGTTGCTGACCTTTACCCTGACCTTGACACACAGGCTGACCTTCACCCTCACTCTCACCTAGACCCTTCCTGGTCATGTGTCTCACTCTGAGTCTGACTCTGACCTTGACTCTGATGGTCACTTTGAACTTCACTCTGAACCTGACCCTGACTCAGAACATACTAACACTACCCTGACTGTTACCATGACCGTGTTAGTCCATTTTCACGCTGCTGATAAAGACATACCTGAGACTGAGGTTTAATGGACTTAGAGTTCCACATGGCTGGGGAGGCCTCATAATCATGGTGGAAGGCAAAAGGCATGTCTTACATAGCAGCAGGCAAGAGAGAATAATAACCAAGCCAAAGAGTTTTCCCCTTATAAAACCATCAGCTCTCATGTGACTTACTCACTACCACGAGAACAGTATGGGGGAAACTGCCCCCATGATTCAGTTATCTCCCACTGGGTCCCTCCCACAACGTGGGAATTATGGGAGCTACAATTCAAGATGAGATTTGGGTGGGGACACAGCCAAACCATATTCTGTTGGGAATAGGCCCCCAAATCTGGCCATAAACTGGCCCCCAAACTGGCCATAAACAAAATCTCTGCAGCACCGTGACATGCTCATGATGGCTATGACACCCACACTGAAGGTTGTAGGTTTACTGGAATGAGGACGAGGAACACCTGGCCCACGCAGGGCGGAAAACCGCTTAAGGCATTCCTAAGCCACAAATAATAGCATGAGCGATCTGTGCCTTAGGGACATGTTCCTGCTGGAGATAACCAGCCAGAGCCCATCCCTTTGTTTCCCATTTTATTTAATCTATAATCTATAGAAACAATGCTTATCACTGGCTTGCTGTCAATAAATACTTTTTATTTATTGTGGGTAAAACTCTGTTCCTGGCTATCAGCTCTGAAGGCTGCCAGTCCCCTGATTTCCCACTCCACACTCTATATTTCTGTGTGTGTGTCTTTAATTCCTCTAATGCCGCTGAGTTAGGGTCTCCATGACCGAGCTGGTCTCAGCAAGTGGTGCCCATGTGTGGGGCTCGAAACCCGTGTTGGAGGGTCGCTGGAGCGACGGTTGGAGAACGTGGAACTAAGCTGGAGGACACTCGAATACTCTTAAGCAATCCCTGTGATGAGTAAGAAGGGGAGCTCAGAAGCATCAGGGTAACAATGGGACAGGTGTGGGCTCTGGTTCATTCCACCTTGGAACCTTTTCACACTGATGATGAAGAGGAAGTAGAGTACAATGAAGTAACAGAAGAGGTGACAGAGCAGGTTTGTTTGCCAGCTAAAGTTAAAGTGGCAAAGGAGGAAGAGGTTCATCCCTACCCTTCTCCACCCCCTCATAATTTTGAAGAAAAAGAGTGGCCTGACCCTCCAGATCTTTCTTTTCCAGAGGACACTGGGTGAAAAGTAGTTGCCCCAGTGACTGTTCAAACAGCACCTCGAGCGACCGCTCTCAGTTCTATTCAGGCAGGAATTCAGCAAGCTAGACAAGAGGGTGATATAGATGCTTGGAAGTTCCCTGTTAGAATACACCCACCTAATCAACAGGGAAATATTACACCTATGTTTGAGTCTTTTCCTTTTAAATTACTCAAAGAGTTTAAACAAGCTATCAATCAGTATGAACCAGGTCTATGCCCGAAGTGTAAAAAAGGGAAGCATTGGGCCAATCAGCGTCATTCTAAATTTGAGAAGGATGGAAATGTGATTTCGGGAAATGCCATGAGGGGCCCATCCCGAGACCCATTGCAAACCGGGGCATTTCCGGCTCAGGCCATCCCTTCACCCATGTACAATGTCTGTCCCCCGCCACAGCTGGTAGTGCCGTGGTAGATTTATGCTGCACAAAATCTGTCAGTCTTCTGCCTGGGGAACCCCTGCAAAAAGTTCCAACAGGGGTCTGTGGACCCTTGCCAGCGGGGATGATAGGATTACTTCTAGGTAGATCTAGTTTAAATATAAAAGGAGTGCAAGTACATACAGGAGTCATTGATTCAGATTACAATGGAGAAATTCAAATTGTTATATCTACTTCTGTTCCCTGGAAAGCAGAGCCAGGAGAGTGCATAGCACAGCTCCTGATTGTGCCGTATGTGAAAATGGGGAAAAGTAAAATTAAACAAACAGGAGGATTTGGAAGCAAAAATAAACAAGGCAAAGCAGCTTATTGGGTGAATCAAATTGTGATAAACGTCCTACCTGTGGAATAACTATTCAGGGAAAGAAATTTAAAGGTTTGGTAGATACAGGAGTGGACATTTCCATCATTTCTCTACAGCACTGGCCATCCGCATGGTCAATTCAACCCGCTCAATTTAATATAGTTGGAGTTGGTAAAGCCCCTGAAGTATATCAAAATAGTTATATTTTGCATTGTGAAGGGCCCGATGGACAACCTGGGACTATTCAACCAATTATAACTTCTGCACCTATAAATTTATGGGGGAGAGATTTATTACAACAATGGGGAGCACAAGTTCTAATTCCAGAGCAATTATACAGCCCTCAAAGTCAACATATGATGCATGAAATGGGGTATGTCCCTGGTATGGGACTAGGAAAAAATTTGCAAGGTTTGAAGGAACTGCTTCAAGTGGAAAGACAAAGTTCCTGCCAAGGTTTGGGATAAGATTTTTGATGGAGGCCATTGTTAAGCCTCCAGAACCTATACCTTAAAAATGGTTAACAAATAAGCCAATTTGGATAGAACAATGGCCACTAAGTAAAGAGAAACTGGAGGCTTTAGAGGACTTAGTTAATGAACAATTGGAAAAAGGACACATAGCTTCAACATTTTCCCCTTGGAATTCTCCAGTTTTCATAAGTAAGAAAAAAAACAGGTAAATGGAGAATGTTAACTGACTTTAGAGCCATTAATTCAGTTATACAACCTATGGGGATATTGCAGCCAGCACTGCCTTCTCCTACTATGATTCCAAAAAATTGGCCTTTAATAGTCATAGATTTAAAAGACTTTCTTTGCTATCCCCTTAGCTGAGCAAGACTGTGAATAGTTTGCATTTACAATTCCTGTGTACACAACCTACAGTCTGCTAAGTGTTTTCATTGGAAAGTGTTGCCACAGGGCGTGTTAAACAGTCCAACAATTTGCCAGATGTATGTAGGGCAAGCAATTGAACCTACTTGTAAAAAATTTTCACAGTGTTACATTATTCATTATATGGGTGATATAGTTTGTGCTGCCCCCACTCGAGAAATATTACTCCAATGTTATGATCACTTGCAAAATGTGATTTCTCATGCTGGTTTAATTATAGCTCCTGACAAAATTTAGACTACTACTCCTTACTCCTACTTCGGGACCTTAGTAAATGACACTACAATAGTGCCACAGAAAGTAACCATACGTAGGGCTCAATTGAAAACATTAAATGACTTTCAAAAATTACTGTGGGGCATTAATTGGATGCAACCTGCTCTAGGCATTCCTACCTATGCCATGAGTAATCTATTTTCTATCCAGTGATGCCCAACTTGCCAAATGGTGCATTCCTCATCGTTTACAGGAGGAGTTAATCCTTGAGGATTGGAACCTAATTCTTTTTGGCAAATAGATGTCACACATGTTCTCTCATTCAGGAGACTAGCTTAGGTACATGTATGTGTGGACACCTTTTCTCACTTTGTCTGGGCTACATGCCAATCAGGAGAGTCTTCTGCCTGTGTTAAACGTCACCTTTTGCAGTGTTTTGCAGTGATGGGCATTCCAGCTTCTACTAAAACAGATAATGCCCCAGGCTATACTAGCCAAGTTCTAGCTACATTTCTCTCTGTATGGAATATTAAACACATTATTGGTGTCCCATATAATTCTCAAAGACAAGCCATAGTCTTTGAAACATAGTCCCTGAAACAGCAGTTGCAAAAGCAAAAGGGGGAAAACAGGGACTACAGGACACCTCATATACAATTGAATCTAGCATTATTGACTTTAAATTTTTTGAGCCTGCCTAAAGGCCAGGTGCTATCAGCAGCTGAACAGCATCTACAGAAACCAGCTGCAAAGACAGAAGCAGAACAACTGGTTTAATGGAGAGATCTGATGACAAAAAGTTGGGAAATAGGTAAAATAATAACTTGGCATAGAGGTTATGCTTGTGTTTCTCCAGGACTGAATCAACAGCCAATTTGGATACTATCAAGACAGCTGAAACCTTATCATGAGCCAGATGCTGAGGAAGAGATTCCAAGAGGATCCCGAGGACCCCCCAGTTGCAGCCATGTCAAGACTGATGCTAAGGAGGACCCCAACTGTCACAAGCAACACCCATTGAACACAGCCACCAACCAGAGGACAGATCAAGAAACTGTCACAGATGGTGGAAGAAAACCTGAGGAAAGTGGGACAACCAGTCACAATGAGTAATTTAATGGTAGCTATGATAGCAGTGATCACCATTGCCATGAGTATTGCTTCAACAAGGGCTGACACAGAGAACAATTATACTTATTAGGCATATTTATCAATCTTGGCTAGCAATAATGCCTGGATGTAATCACTCTATAACACATTTACACATGCTTTCTAGTCTCAGTATTTACCATAATGAATCTGCTCCTATAATTCAGGCATACCACCCTCAAAAATCTATTTGTAAAAGAATTGGACCTGGCCAGAAATAATGAACATACTTATTTAGGAAGACTGCATTGCAGAACAGGCAGAGGTGCTGCGCAGCGATTCCTATGGAATCATTATTGATTGGTCCCCTAAGGAGATGTTTAGCTTGAATTATACCTCTTAGTCTGCGTGCCACAGCCACACTATGTTCAGCTGGTCTAAACAAAACAGTCAGATGGTAGAAATGGTAAGAAATATGGCAAGAGTTCCTATTGTCTGGAAACATGGCGGTATAGTGGCACCTCAACCTCAAATGATACGGCCTGCTCTAGAAGCTAAACATAAGGATTTGTGGAAACTATTAATGGCTCTTAATAAGATCAAAATTTAAGAAAGAATTAAAAAGCATCTAGAAGGATACTCTACAAACTTCTCTTTGGATATTGCAAAATTAAAAGTACAAATATTTAAGGCATCCCAGGCACACCTGACCTTAACACCAGGAACTGGAGTACTTGAAGGAACTGCAGACGGATTAGCAGCTATTAACCCATTAAAATGGATAAAAACACTTGGAGGCTCTATGATTTCAATAATGATTTTGCTATTAATCTGTGTTGTTTGTCTTTGTATAGTCTGCAAATGCAGATCCCGACTCCTGTGAGAAGTGGCTCATCGTGATAAAGCCGCCTTTGCTTTTGTCATTTTGCAAAAACCAAAAGGGGGAACATGTTGGGAACAGGCCCCCAAATCTGGCCATAAACTGGCCCCAAAACTGGCCATATACAAAATCTCTGCAGCACTGTGACATGCTCGTGATGGCTATGATGCCCATGCTGAAGGTTGTGGGTTTACTGAAATGAGGACAAGGAACACCTGGCCCACCCAGGACAGAAAACCACTTAAGGCGTTCCTAAACCACAAACAATAGCATGAGTGATCTGTGCCTTAAGGACATGTTTCTGCTGCAGATAACTAGCCAGAGCCCATCCCTTTGTTTCGGCCCATCCCTTTGTTTCCCATTTTAATCTATAATCTATAGAAACAATGCTTATCATTGGCTTGCTGTCAATAAATATGTGGGTAAAACTCTGTTCATGGTTCTCAGCTCTGAAGGCTGCCAGCCCCCTGATTTCCCACTCCACACTCTATATTTCTGTGTGTGTGTCTTTAATTCCTCTAGTGCCGCTGAGTTAGGGCCTCCACGACTGAGCTGGTCTCGGCATCATTCCACCCCCAACCCCTCCCAAATCTCATGTCCTCACATTTCAAAACCAATCATGCCTTCCCAAAAGTCCCCCAAAGTCTTATTTCAGCATTAACTCAAAAGTCCACAGTCCAAATTCTCAACTGAGACAAGGCAAGTCCCTTCCATCTATAAGCCTGTAAAATAAAAAGCAAGTTAGTTACTTCCTAGAATGTACCCCATACAATGAGGGTACAGACATTGGATAAATACAGCCATTCCAAATGGGAGAAATTGGCCAAAACACAGGGGCTAAAGACCTCATGCAAGTCCGAAATCCAGTGGGACAGTCAAATATTAAAGCTCCAGAATGATCATTGAATGCAGCTTTTCCAAGCACACAGTGCAAGATGTTGGTGCATCTACCATTCTGGGGTCTGGAGGATGGTGGCCCTCTACTCACAGCTCCACTAGGCAGTGCCCCAATGGGGACTCTGTGTGGGGGCTCCAATCCATTTCCAATCCACACTGCCCTAGCAGAGGCTCTCCATGAAGGCATCGCCCCTGTAGCCAACTTCTGCCTGGACATCCAGCCATTTCCATATGTCCTCTGAAATCTAGGCACAGGTTCCTAAACCTCAATTCTTGACTTCTGTGTACATGCAGGCTCAATACCACATGAAAGCTGCCAAGGTTTGGAGCTTGCATGCTTTGAAGCCATGGCCCAAGATGTACCTCGGTCCCTTTTAGCCATAGCTAGAGCAGCTGGGATGCAGGGCACCAAGTCCCTATGCTGCACATAGCAGGGGGGCCCTGGGCCCGGCCCACAAAATCATTTTTTTTCCCTAGGCCTCTGGGCCTGTGATGGAAGGGGCTGCTGCAATGGTCTCTGACATGCCCTGGGGACATTTTCCCCATTGTCTTGGCAATGAACATTTAGCTCCTAGTTACTTATGCAAATTTCTGCAGCTGGTTTGAATTTCTCCTCAGAAAATGGGTTTTTCAGCTGGGCATGGTGTCTCACCCCTGTACTTTTCAGCTGGGTGTGGTGGCTCACTCCCAGCACTTTGGGAGGCCAAGGCAGGTGGATCACCTGAGGTCAGGAGTTCAAGACCAGCCTGGCCAACATGATGAAAACCCATCTGTACTAAAAATATAAAAATTAACTAGGCGTGGTGGCAGGCGCCTATAATCCCAGCTACTTGGGAGGATGAGGCAGGAGAATTGGTTGAGCCTGGGAGGCAGTGTTTGCAGTCAGCCAAGATCGCACCATTGCACTCCAGCCTGGGTGACAAGAGAGAAACTCCGTCTCAAAAAAAAAAAAAAAAGAAAAAAAGGCCAGGCATGGTGGCTCATGCCTGTAATCCCAGCACTTTGGGAGGCTGAGGCAGGCAGATCACTTGAGGGCAGAGGTTCGGGACCGGCCTGGCCAACATGGTGAAACCCCATCTCTACTAAAAATACAAAAATTAGCTGTGTGTGGTGGCAGGCACTTGTAATTCCAGCTACTCGGGAGGCTGAGGCAGGAGAATTAATTGAACCTGGGAGGCGGAGGTTGCAATGAGCCGAGATGGTGCCACTGCACTTCATCCTGGGTGACAGAGCAAGACTCTGTCTCAAAAAAAAAAGGTGGGGGGTTATTTTCTATCCTATTACATTGTCCGGCCTCAAATTTTCTCAATTTTTATGCTCTGTTTCTCTTTTAAAATTGAATGCTTATAACAGCACCTAAGTCACATTTGAATGCTTTGCTGCTTAGAAATTTCTTCCGCTGGGTACCCTAAATCATCTCCCTCAAGTTCAAAGTTCCACAAATCTCTAGCACAGGGACAAAATGCCTCCAGTCTCTTTGCTAAAACATAGCAAGAGTCACCTTTACTCCAGCTCCCAACAAGTTCCTCATCTGCATCTGAGACCACCTCAGCCTGGATTTCATTGTCCATATCATTATCAGCATTTTGGTCAAAGCCATTCAACAAGTCTCTATGAAGTTCCAAACTTTCTCACTTTTTCCTTTGTCTGAGCCCTCCAAACTGTTCCAACCTGTTCCTGTTACCTGGTTCCAAAGTCGTTTCCACATTTTCGGGTATCTTTACAGCAGCACTCCACTATACTGGTACCAATGTACTATATGAGTCTGTCTTCACACTGCTGATGAAGACATACCCAAGACTGGGTAATTTATAAAGAAAAAGAGGTTTAATGGACTTACAGTTCCACGTGGCTGGGGAGGCCTCACAATCATGGTGGAAGGCAAAAGGCACGTCTTACACAGCAACAGGCAAGAGAGAATAATAACGAAGCAAAAGGGATTACCCTTTATAAACCCATCAGATCTCGTGAGAATTATTCACTACCACGAGAACAGTATGGAGGAAACTGCCCCCATGATTCAATTATCTCCCCTGGTCCCTCCCACAACATATGGGAATTATGGGAGTTACAATTCAAGATGAGATTTGGCTGGGGACACAGCCAAACCATATCAATGACTAACCCTGACCTCATCCTAACTCTAGTACTGATACTCACTTTGACTCTGACCATGACTCTCACCCAGATGCCTATCATGACATTGACCATAAACCTGGAAGTCATGTAAATCTGACTCCCACTCATCCCTAACCCAGATTCTGGCCCTGATCTTGGCCCTATCTCTCATGCTGATCTAACCCTGCCCTTGACCTGATTCTCACACTCAGCAATGCTGACACTGGTTGTCATTCAGGCCCTAGGACTCCCCCTGGACCCTGACCCTGGCCTGAACAAGATTCTCAACCTGACCATAATCCATGTGTAGATCATGACTGATTTTGACTCTCAACCAGATCCTGAACTCAGCTTGACCCTGAACTCATCTCACCTTTTTCCTCACTCTCAGCTTCTGCTTAATCAGACCCTAACCTTCATGCTGATCCCAACCCTACGCACGAGTTGGTCATTAGCCTGACCCTTCTAATCTTCATCCTGACATGAATGTGTTCTGACCCTTACCCTCACTCTGACCTTGACTGTGAGCTCCACTCTATCACTGATACTGAACCTCATTAGAACTTGATCATGACCCTGACCCTCACCATGCCCCTGACTCTGATCTTGACTTTTACCTTGAACCTGATGATTTTCCTCACTCTGAATAGGACCCTTACTCTGACCCTCACTTTCTCTCAGGCTATTGCGAGCCTGACCCTCGCAATAATTCTGACCTCGATGTCAAACTGACATAATTTGACACTGACTTTGACCCTGAGCCTGACACTCACCTGGTTCTTACTTTCATACTGACCTTGACTCTCTCACATAGACACTGACCATGAACCTGAACCTGACATCAAATCGCACACCCATTCTCACCCTCTGACCCTCAACTTGAGCTTGACCCTTACCCTCACCCTGTACCTAACCTTAACCTGATTCTAACCCTAACTCTTACCCTCACCCAAATTTGTTCCTGCACTTGAAATGTGAGTTTTGTGGTTCAGAAGTCAGCCATGGGCTTCACTGGACTAAAATCAAGGGGTTGGCAGGGATGCATTCCTTTCTAGAGGCTCTAGGGGATAATCGGTTTCCTCACCATTTCCAGCTTCTAGCGGCTGCCTACATTCTTTGGTCTGTGGCCCCTGCCTCCATTTTCAAAGCCAGCAGTAGCAGGTCAAATCCTCACTTTATATCACTCTGAAGATTCTTTTCTGGCTTTTCTCTACCACTTTTAAGGATTTGGGATTTTTTTTTTTTTGATAGCTTTGCTCTGTTGCCCAGGCTGGAGTGCAGTGGCATGATTTTGGCTTACTGCGTCCTCTGCCTCTTGGGTTCAAACAATTCTCCTGCCTCAGCCTTCCAAGTAGCTGGGATTACAGATGCACACAACCACATCTGGCTAATTTTTGTATTTTTAGTAGGTATGGGGTTTCGCCATGTTGGCTAGGCTGGTCTTGAATTCCTGAGCTCAAGCAATTCTGCCCACCTCAGCCATCCAAAATGCTGGGATTACAGGTGTAAGCCACCATGCGTGGCCAGGATTTGGGATTATTTTGGGTCCACCTGGATAATCCAGGGCTTCTTTCTACCTCAAGGTAAAACGATTAGCAACTTAATCATTTTTGCCATGTAATGGGATGTTCACAGGTCCCAGGGATTAAGGCATAGGCATCTTTGGGGGCCATTATTCTGCCCACCACAACTCTAACTGTACCCTTGCTTTCATCTGACCTACATTCTGACACTGACCCTGACCATGAAGATCAACATGTCCCTTTCTCTGATCCTAACACTGAATTTGACTGTCACCTTGTCCCTGGCTGGCACCATGAACCTAACTGAAGGTGTGACCTGACCCTCACCCTGACTCTGACCTTGACATTGACAAGGAATAGACCTTCACCCTGACAGTCACCATGACCCTGTGCTGACCTTGATGGTGACTCTCACTGACTCTGGCCCTCATGCTGACCCTGACCCTATTCTCAACTTTACCTTTATTCTGACCCTTATCCTCACCATGACCCTGACCCTAAACCTCATCTTGACTGTGGTTGGCTGAGTAATAGCTCCCACAGATGTGCATGTTCCAATTCCCAGACCTGTGAATATGGTACTTTGCCAATATGATTAAGAGTCTTAATACAAAAAATTAGCCTGGTGTGGGCCAGGCATGGTGGCTCACGCCTGTAATCCCAACACTTTGGGAAGCCGAGGCAGGCAGATCACAAGGTCAGGAGTTTGAGATCAGCCTGGCCAATATGGTGAAACCCCGTCTCTATTAAAAATACAAAAATTAGCCAGGCGTGGTGGCAGGCGCCTGTAGTCCCAGCTACTCAGGAGGCTGAGGCAGGAGAATCGCTTGGACCCGGGAGGCGGAGGTTGCAGTGAGCCGAGATCTCGCTGCTGCACTCCAGCCTGGGTGACAGAGCAAGACTCCATCTCAAAAACAACAACAACAACAAAAAATTAGCCTGTTGTCATGGCGTGCACCTGTAGTCCCAGCTACTCAGGAGGCTGAGGTGGGAGGATTGCTTGCTTGAGCCTGGGAAGTTGAGGTTGCAGTGAGTTGCAGTGAACTGCACCCCATCCTGGGCAACAGAGTGAGACTTAATTAGGCCGGGCATGGTGGCTCACGCCTGTAATACCAGCACTTTGAGAGGCCGAGGGGGATGGATCACTTGAGCCCAGGAGTTTGAGATCAGCCTGGCCAACATGGTGAAACCCCGTCTCTACTAAAAATACAAAAATTAGCTGGGCATGATGGTGCATGTTTGTAATCCCAGCTACTTGGGAGGCCAAGGAAGGAGGATCACTTGAACCTGGGAAGTGGAGGTTGCAGTGAGCCGAGATTGCACCACTGCACTCTAGCCTGGGTGACAGAGTGAGACTCCATCTCAAAAAAATATTTTTTAATTAAAAATTTTTTAATTAAAAATTTTTTTTAAAAAAAACAGGGTCTCATTATGTTGCCCAGGCTGGTCTTGAACTCTTGAGCTCAAGTGATCCTCTTGCCCCTGCCTTGCTAGGATTACAGGCATGAGCCACCACTCCCAGCCCAAAAGAAGAGTCTTGAGATAGGGAGATTGTTCTGGATTATCTGGGTGAGCTCACTATAATCACAAGGGCCCTATATTAGTCAGGGTTCTACAGAGAATAAAAAACAAGAGGATGTGTATCTATGTACAGACTTGGAGATATACTTTAAGAAATTTGGTTAGGCTGGGTGTGATGGCTCACCCTTGTAATCCCAGCACTTTGGGAGGCCAAGGTGGGTGGATCACCTGATGTCAGGAGTTCATGAACAGCCTGGCCAACATGGTGAAACCCCGTCTCTACTAAAAATACAAAAATTAGCCAGGTGTGGTGGCAGGTGCCTGTAATCCCAGCTACTTGGGAGGCTGAGGTAGGAGAATTGCTCAAACTCAGGAGGTGGAGGCTGCTATGAGCCAAGACCGCACCATTGCACTTCAGCCTGGGCAACAAGAGTGAAAACTGTTAAAGAAAAGAAAAGAAAAGAAATTTGCTTACATGATTGTGGAGACTTTGTGCTTCTAAAATCTGATAGGGTAGGCTGGAGACCCAGGGAAGAGCTGCAGTTTGAGTCCAGAAACAGGCTGCCGGCAGAATTCCTTCTAGGTAGAGGAAGGTTGGTCAGTCTTTTTTATGTTCAGGCCTTCAACTGCTCACCTGAATTATGGGAAACAATTTCCTTTACTCAGAGTTCACTGATTGAATGTTATTCTAATAAAAAAAATACTTTCACAAGAAATATCCAAAATAATGTTTCTTTTTTTTCTTTTTTGATAGAATCTTGCTCTGTCACCAGGCTGGAGTGCAACAGTTAGTGTGATCTCCACTCACTGCAACCTCTGCCTCCCAGGTTCAAGCAATTCTCATGCCTCAGCCTCCCCAGTGGCTGGGAGTACAGGTGTGCACCACCATGCCCAGCTAATTTTTGTGTTTTTAGTAGAGACAGGGTTTCACCATGTTGGCCAGGCTGGTTTTGAACTCTTAGCCTCAAGTGATTTGCTCACTTTGGCCTCCCAAAGTGCTGGGATCGCAGGCGTGAGCCACCATGCCTGGCCAGAATAACGTTTCATGAAATATCTGGGCCCAATGGCCCAGCTAAGTTGACACATAAATATTAATCACCACAAGTCCTAAGGGAAAGAGGAGTAAGGATGATCAGAGTTAGAGAAGATGTGACTAGGATAAAAATAGTGATAAAGAGAGAGGGAGAGAATGGATGGAGGAGGAGAGAGAGGAATTTGAAGATGCTTCCCTGCTGGCATTGAAGATGGAGTAAGGGAGATGAGCCATGAAATGCAAGAGGCTTTTAGAAGCTGAAAAAGGCAAGGAAAGAAATTCTCTCCTAGGGCCTCTAGAAGGAATACAGCCCTGCTGATCCATTTTAGACCTATTTTGGGTAGTAACTATCTAGGGCTGGTGGTGCAGGAGGTAAAGGAATTTACCAGGACTGTTGTAGATAAAGACAGATTTATTAGAGAAGGTATGAAAATACTTGCAAGATTGCAACGGGCAGTACAGCAGAGAAGGGGCTGCCCGCAAAGAGGCTAGGGCTGCAAGCAAGTTTTTTTTTTTTTTTTTGAGATGGAGTCTCACTCTGTTGCTCAGGCTGGAGTGCAGTGGCATTATCTCAGCTCACTGAAACCTCCACCTCCTGGGTTCAAGCAATTCTCCTGTGTCAGCCTCCCAAGAAGCTGGGATTAGAGGCGCCTGCCACCATACGTGGCTAATTTTTGTATTTTTAGTAGAGATGTGGTTTCTCTATATTGGTAAGCCCGGTCTTGAACTCCTGACCTCAGGTGATCCACCCTCCTCAGCCACCCAAAATGCTGGGATTACAAGCATGAGCCACTGTGCGGGCCTTGGAAGGAAGTTTTATAGGGTTGTGCTGGAGGGGGCTACATGCAGAATGAGGTCATTGTGCCCTGGGGACAAGGTCATTGTGCCCATGGAATGAGGTAGAGGTCATTGTAATTAGCCATCTCTCAGAGCAATTGTTTCTTGTTCTTGCCCACCTAGACCCCTGCCCAACCCAGGGCCCCTTCCTCCTGGTTGCTTACTTACCTTCTCAGGACTCCACACTTCTGATCTCCACAGCTGTAAGATAATAAATGTGTGTTGTTTAGGCCATCAGATTTTTCACTCCTGTAGTTCAGCAAGCAGGAGGGAGTGGCACCCAGTGGCCTCTTCACTTCTGTAGCTCAGTGAGCAGAAAGGAGTGGCATCCAGCGGCCTCTTCACTTCCATAGCTCAGTGAGTGGGAGGGAATGTTACAGCTCTTTTACTCCTGCCACCCATAGCTAGGTGAGCAAGAGCATTACAGCCCTTTAGCTCCTGTGGTTCAGCAAGTTCCGGGTTCTTGTCCTGCAACCAAGAGGAATAAGGTATGGGGACACTGGAGAGTGAGTAAGGCAGAGTAGAGTTTTACTGAGCAACAGAAAGAAAGCTCTCAGCAGTGAGAGGGTACCCAAAATCAGGTTGCTGTCTGTGAGGCTGAATCTGGGGGTTTTATGAGCTTAGAATGGGAGAATGCATGCTGATTGGTCCATGGGTAGGCTTGGAAGATGAACCATTCATTTGGTTAAAAGGCATCATTAAGAAGGAACCAATCAAGAGAGAATGGGTAAGATGGAGATAGAAGCTTTCACTCTGGTTGTGGACTCTACCCAGAACTGGCAGCTCAGTTTTCAGGCTTCAGACAGTCCTTGGCCTGAAGGTTGAGTTTCACCAGGGACCTGTCTGCCTAGGATTTTGTCTGTCTCCTGTCACTATCAGTAATGTGCTACAGCAGCAATAGGAAAGTAATATACTACTCAAACTTTAGATGTCAACTTAAAAATCATTTCTGTTTAAATTTGTAAAACAAATGTTAACTGAGTCCCACTCAGTAACACCCACTGGGCTTATAGCAACCATGTTCTGAGATGGATCTGCATTGTCTCTGACTCCCTCCTGTGATTTCTTTGTAGCACTAATCACAAGTGCTAATGGAAGAGTGATCTGATGGCTTTCTGTTTAATATCTGTATCCCTGTGCTCCTAGACAGTAGGCTCTTTGAAGACAGTCACCATAGTCCAACTTTCCAGGAGACCTGAAGGAAGGGGCTAAATGTGGGGCTTTGGGTCCTGGGTCAGCACAAGAAAGGTGGTGGGTGAGGACTCACTTGGATTCTCATTTGTCCAGGCTCTGTCCTGGAGGGAGCAGAAGGGAAGGAGCAAGGGAAAACCTGCCCAGGCCACTAGCCCCGCTGGGCCTACGAAGGCAGTGTGGGTGTCAGTGTGTAACAACTGGCTCTCCAGGATGGGGGCAGGGAAGCCATCTGCCAATTTCTGTGGTGTAAATGCTCCTGACATGGCTGATTTCCAGACACCAGTGATGTTCCTGAAAGTGGAGTTGGGAAGTTTAGAGTGTGTTCTCTGATACCAACCAATTCTTCAGATTCTCTGATATCAACTGGGTGTCCAACAATTTAAGAAATAAAAATGAAATCCTAAACTCCCCAGCCAACTGAAGGAACTCCCTCTTGGCCAAGGAGACCCCAGAGAAACCTTGAAAACAGTTCCAGGCCATGACAGGGTGGAAGGTTGGACACATCTTGTTATACTCCTCCCTAACCACAATTAGGCTTTTTCCCCTAAGGGCTAAACAGAACAATCAACCAATTGCCTGCTGCTACCCCTTGTTTTGTGGTTTTGGCACAACCACCACCAATCATGAAGTGGTTTCGGCCAGTCTACAGAGGATGTGTAGTAAGGGTTTTTATGTCCTCTGCTTCACTTTTTTATGTCAGAGCACTGAAAAACTCAACCTTCAGATCATGCTAACACCACCATTTTTGAACATCGGTTTCTTATAAAGGCATGAAGCTCAACTGCACGTGCACATGGTTCTACGTTCATAAATATTCATGACTCCTTCTATAGCTTATTGAATATGTATATTTGGCCACACCATTCAGCATAAATCCCTATCTCACTCTTCTACCTTCGAAGTGTCTGTTTCTGGCTTCTGGACCGATGCTATGCTCCCCAGCCTCTCAGAATGGCTACCCTGGAGGCTGCAAACCTTTGTGAGAAATAAAGCTCTCCTTTCCACATTTATCAATCTCATTATTCTTCTTTGGTTGACAAATTCATTTCAATTCTGACACTAATCACCCAGATTAGCATTAGACCCCACAAGTTAAATGGCTCAGTCCCACAAAACTGCCCCCACTTCAGACACCCAGGCCACCCATATCTCTGTCTGGCTGACTACAAATTAGGGGTTCCTACAACACCCTCATTATATTTGATAATTTTCTAAAATGGCTCACAGAACTAAGGAAAACACTTTTACTTACATTTACTGGTTTATTATATTTAAAGAGTGTTTTTTTTTTTAGAGATTGGGTGTCAGGATATTGCCCAGGCTGGTCTCAAACTCCTGGCCTCAAACGATCCTCCCACCTCAGCCTCCCAAATGTTGGGATTATAGGCATGAGCCACTGTGCCTGGCCTACAAGTTTATTATAAAGGACAGAAGTTGGTTTTGTTTTGTTTTTTTAGTCCCGCTGTGTGATGTTACCCAGACTGGAGTGCAATGGTGCAATCATGGCTCACTGCAGCCTCAACCTCCTGAGCACAAGTGATCCTTCCAGCTTAGCCTCCCAAGTAGCTGGGACTACAGCCACATGCCACCACACCTGGCTATTTTTTTTTTTTTTTGTATTTTTTGTAGAGATGGGGGTCTCACCATGTTGGCCAGGCTGGTCTTGAACTCCTGGGGTCAACAGATCCTCCCATCTCAGCCTCCCAAAATGTTGTGATTACAGGCATGAACCACTGCACCCTGCCTACTAGTTTATTATAAAGGATACAACTTGGGAACAGACAAATGGAAAGCACGCATAGGGAAAGCTATGTGGGGAGGGGTATGAAGCTTCCATGCCCTGGAGGCACCACCCTCGTGTCCTCAGTGTGTTTGCCAATCCAGAAGCTCTTGGAGTCTCATTGTTCAAGAGCTTTTACAGAACTCAATCTCTAGCTCCCCCTCCTCCTTCCCAGCTGTCAGTGGGTACAGCTGAAAGTTCCCACCCTCTAATCACTTGGTCTTTCTGGTGACCAGCCCCCTCCTGAGGCTATAAGTGGGGCTCATCTCATTAGCATAAACTCAGGTTATCCAAAAGGACTCATTATAAATAACAAAAGACACTCTATCACTCAGGAAATTCTAAGTGTTTTAGGAGCTCTGTGCTAGTGTACAAAGACCAAATGTATATATATTTTTGTATTACACCATAGGAAAAGATATGCTGCAGCACGTTACTGCACTATGCATGAATAAATATCCCTCAAGAAGATAGTCACATTCAAATTAAATTAAAATAATTATGGAAACTGACCAGGTGGTTGAAATGAAAAAAAATTAAATGTGATTGGTATTATTTTATTTTATTTTCTGAGACAGGGTCTCACTCTGTTGCCCAGGCTGGAGTGCAGTGGTGTGATCTCTTACTGCAACCTCCGCCACGTGGGCTCAAGCAATCCTCCCATCTCAGCCTCCCAAGTAGCTGCAACTATAGGCATCACCATCATGCCCAGCTAACTTTTATATTTTTTATAGAGATGGGGTTTCACCATGTTGCCCAGGCTGGAGATGTGATTGGTTTTA
Organism: Homo sapiens; assembly: GCF_000001405.40. Classification (NCBI taxonomy): domain Eukaryota; kingdom Metazoa; phylum Chordata; class Mammalia; order Primates; family Hominidae; genus Homo; species Homo sapiens. Next base: position 43,848,577 of record NC_000007.14, on the reverse strand, counting down.
AATAGATATTACTTTTGTTTTAAAAATAATTTAATTGCAAGTTTTACAATTTAATTGTTAATAATAGGTTAACTGCAAGAAATAAAAATAAAATTCTAAGCCCCCAACTGACTGAATGGATCCTCTCTTGCCCATGGGAACCCCAGAGAAACCCTGGAAGACAGAATTAATGGCCACAATGGGAAGGGAGATCAGAAATACCTCATTATACCCCCTCCCTTACTAATAGCTATTAGGTTTTATTCTGTAAGGACTAAACAGAAACCATCTCTTTCAAATACTACTAGCTTATCTTCCCAGGTACATAACAAAGACAAGATAAAAGTAATTCTTCATTCCTCCCCGAGCCCCCCTGCTTCATCTGTTCCCTTTAGCTTCAAATGTTCACCTTATCTTATGTAAAATGTAGATTTATTGGGTATTAACAAAAGCCTCACAAACATGTAATTATTTGTCTCACTGCTGCCTCCCCAGCCTTTTTTTTTTTTTTTTCTGAGGCAAGGTCTCACTCTGTTACCCAGGTTGTAGTGCAGTGGCTCACTGAAACCTCTGCCCCTCCAGGCTCAAGCTATTCTCCCACCTCAGCCTCCCAAGTAGCTGGTGACCACAGGTGTCCACTACCACGCCCAGCTAAGTTTCTTTCTTTTTTTTTTTTTGTAGAGATGGAGTTCTGCTACGTTGCCTAGGCTGGTCTTGAACTCTTGGGCTCAAGTGATCAGTCCATCTCAGCCTCCGTAAGTGCTGGGATTACAGGCATGAGCCACCACTCCTGGCGCACCCCCCAACCTTTTTAAAGGAAAATGTATAAATAATAAACCTCTTTGGGAAAATACAGTCACAGAAGCTTCTGTGACTCCTGTTTTCCCAGGCATACCCTCTACTTGGCTGAATAAACTTTGATGATTCACGACTTAGGTCTAAATCACTCATTTTGGTGGTCAACTGTCAGCTCACAACAGTCCTTAAAACTTAACAATTTCCTCTTGTGAGCCGGTATAAGCTAGCCTCAGCACTCCACTCCACAAAATTATTTACTTTCATCATTTGTCCATATGACAAGCAATGAAATGTCTGGCAAAGATTTCCAAATATAAGCAAACATTTTATATGTATATATATATTTTAAAAGTATATCTTAATATACATTTATATATTTATATACTATAATATATAAGTATTATAAATATATGTATTTATATAAATATAATATATAATATGATATTTATATTATAAATATATATATATATATTTTTTTTCTTTTTGAGATGGAGTCTTGCTCTGTCACCCAGGCTGGAGTGCAGTGGTACAATCTCTGCTCACTGGAACCTCCACCTCCCGGGTTCAAGCGATTCTCCTGCCTCAGTCTCCTGAGTAGCTGGGATTACAGACGTTCACCACCACGCCCAGCTAATTTTTTGTATTTTTAGTAGAGACAGAGTTTCACCATGTTGGCCAGGCTGGTCTCCACCTCCTGGGCTCAAGTGATCTGCCTGCCTCGGCCTTCCAAAGTGCTGGGATTACAGGTGTGAGACACTGCGCCTGACCACAAACACATATTTACTTTATTTTATTTATTTATTTTTTTGAGATGACTCTGTTGCCCAGGCTGGAGTGCAGTGGCACTATCTCAGCAACCCCTGCCTCCCAAGCCCAAGTGATCCTCCCACCTCAGCCTCCCAAGTAGCTGGGACTACAGTCACACATCACTGGGCCTGGCTAATTTTTGTATTTTGTGTAGAGACAGGGTTTCACCATGTTGCCCAGGATGGTCTCAAATTTCTGGACTCAAGCAATCAGCCCACATTGGCCTCCCAAAGTGTTGGGATCACAGACACAAGCCACTGTGCCCAGCCTGCAAATATATATTTAAATAGATTCTAGGCTTGTGTTTGAAAAGAGGAGTAAGAGCAGACCTCACCAGCCCATCTGGCCTCTTGTTTCCAGTGGTCAGCATCTGAGAAGTGAGCAGAGGCCTTTCTCCCATGCCTCCTCCTGGATGTCCCATGGGCACCACCTCCACATGCTAGTTTCAAGCACAGGCTACCCTGGTGAACAGACCACATTTGGAAATGCATATGTTTCTGTTTGTTTTCTGGCCCAGAGCCCATTCGGTAAGCTGAGTTTTTAGTGTCCCCATTAAGGACAGTGACAACAGTGACAGAAGCTCATTCACTGTCAGTGGCAGCCTTGACTTTAGGGCCCCAGGGGCTGTCCTCCCTTTATCCTGCCTGGCTCAGAAGATGCCCACAATGGTTTATCAGTGAGTCCAAAAGCATGGCCCCAGCCCCCAGGTGGGCTGCCTGGATTCTGCTTTGGGTCATGGGCCTATATCTTCCTACCCTCAATCTGCTGTCTTTTCACCCAGAGCACAGTTGCCAGAGCCCCAGAGGGTGTGCATGGCTCAGAGATTGGCATCCCCAGCAGGCAATGGCGTCAGGGTGGGGGCTGGCTGGTTTTGAGAGAGTGGAAAGAGTTTCCAAGTCAGACTGATCTGGACGGGGGTCACTGGCCCACCAAGTCACTTTCCTTCTACAAACTATTGTGAAGATGATAATGTTATAGCTCAATGGGTTCTTCTTACCTGCTGCACAGATAAAGCCAATGCATTGAGATAGTGGCATTGGAGCAGAGAAAGAGTTTGATTATCACAAGGCAGCTGAGTGGAAAGACAGAAGGTATTTCTCAAATTGGTCTCCCTGAGAATTTGGAGGCTAGGGTTTTTAAGGACTTCTTTCACGGGCAGGGGGCCAGAGAGTGAGAAATCCTGATTGGCTGGGTCAGGGATAAAATCATAGGAACTTAATTCCTGGTGGGGGGTCAGTGGTCTTAGTGGCATCAGTTGTTCCACCGGAATGCAAAGCCTGAAAAATATCTCAAACACCAGTCTTAGGTCTTACAATAGCAATGTTATCAATAGGGGCAATTAGGTACATTACAAATTATAAATCTTGTGACCACTGGCTACATGACTCCTGAGCAGTAAGCAAGTTACAAAACATGACTAGTTGTCATTTATTTAATTTAATTTTTTTTTGTTTTGAGACAGGGTTTCACTCTGTTGCCCAGGCAAGAGTGCAATGGCACAATCATAGTTCACTGAAGCCTCGACCTTCTGGGCTCAAGCAATCCTCCCACCTCAGCCTTCTGGGTAGCTGGGACTACGGGTGCATGCCACCACACCTATCTAATTTTTTGTATTTTCTGTAGAGATACGGTCTAGGCTGGTCTCAAACTCCTAGGGTCAAGCGATCCACCTGCCTTGGCCTCCCAAAGTGTTGGGATTACAGGCATACCCACCTTGCCTGGCTTGCCTAGTTATCATTTATCTATGCATAGGTCTTAGCAGAATTCAGACCCCTCCTATAATTCTAACTTTGTGGTCTTTTATTAGTTTTACAAAGGCGACATCCATCCCCAGACAAGTAGGGGGGTAGTTTTGGGAAGGTACCATTGCTATTGCTTTAAGGTTAAACTGCACACTAAACTCCTTCCATGGCAAGCTTGGCCTACACCCAGGAATGAGCAAAGACAATCAGCTTGTGAGGTTGGAAGCAAGATGGAATCAGTTACGTCTTTCACTGTCATAATTTTTGCAAGAACAATTTCAGTAAGGCCTATTCAGAGCACTTAGCTATTGGCAGCCACTCTGGTGGTGGAAATGGTGACAGTGGCAGTGACAATGATGATGATGATGATGGTAGTGATGATGACAATAATGACTACAATGATGAATCGCCCCCATCCCACTGGGCAGCACTGCACTGGTGAGGGATGTCCCTCCATCCCCACCTTTATATACAGAACCTTGTCTTTTACAACCCTCCCAACTCCAGGACAGTCTTCCTGTGGGTGAGCCTGGAGGTCATCACTGTTTCAAAGGGAAACCTTTGAGCAGAATGAGATGCAAACAGTGATGACTTCCAGGCTCACCCACAGGAAGACTGTCTTGGAGTATTATAAGGATGAATGAGTAGTAGCAGAATGAGGATGTTTCTAAGCTCTCTCCAGTCCCTGAACAAATTATTCCAGTTAGGTTGCATTGTCACTTGATATCATTTGCTGTAACAGAACTTGTAGTCACAGTGTCTCCGGTATATGACTCAGTGTAGTGGCACAGAGCGGATCCAGGAGAGTCCCATCAAGCTCATTGCTCACTCAATGGATGACTCTTCACTGAGAACTTATGATGTGCCATGATCTAGCTGGTGTTCTGAGGACATTGAGAGGATCCCTCTCAGGGATGGTTACAATAAAGCTCCTGGTCTCTGGAAGAAACAGACACACATTCAAACAATTACAATGCCATGCTATGGGCAGGGACCAGCCTGGCACCAAGAGAAGAGTGGCAACTCCACCTGGAGGAGTGAGCCATCATGCCTGGCTTGTGTAGTAAATTTCTATTCAACTCCATTGGCTTATCCATTTACTTATAAACATACAGACATCCAGATAGTAACTTTAAGCTCCAATACTGCAGTCTTTTGTTTCTTAGGAATTCAGGCCTACTTTGGTGACTGGGGGCTCTTTCTATTGGCTCTTTTTTTTTTTTTTTTTTCATTTTGTGACAGAGTTTTGCTCTTGTTGTCCAGGCTGGAGTACAACGGCGCGGTCTTGGCTCACTGCAACCTCCACCTCCCAGGTTCAAGTGATTTTCCTGTCTCAGCCTCCTGAGTAGCTGAGATTACAGGTGCATGCCACCACACCCTGCCAATCTTTGAGTTTTTAGGAGAGATGGGGTTTCGCCCTGTTGGTCAGGCTGGTCTCAAACTCCTGATCTCAGGTGATCCACCCACCTTGGCCTCCCAAAGCGCTGGGATTACAGGTATGAGCCACCACGTCCAGCCACTGGCTCCTGTTTTACTTTGACTTAATGAAGCGACATTGTTCGTTTGGGGTAATACTTGAGGTTCATTGCCTCATGCTGAGGAAATCAAGGATGCGGACATATGTGGAGTGAGGTTAAGAGCAGAGGTTTAATAGGTGAAAGAAAGAGACTGGCTTGAGGAGGCGGTGTCTGATTTACATTAGGGCCCAAAGATCAGTTGGACCAGGGGTGACATTTACATAGTGCATGAAGAAGCTGGCTACCCCACCCTAATCTTCTTATTATGCAAATGGATGTTCTATTCAGCCAGCGCCCATGTTGTCTGCTCCTTACTGTACATGTGGTTGGCAAAGCAAAGGGAAGATGGAGCCCCCATGTTGAACATGCTTGGTCCCCAGGTAGCCTTTTCCTATTGGCACAGCTGCCAGCATTCACCTGTGCAAGTTTCCAGCTTGCTTATCTATGTCTGCAGCTCGATTTTACAGGCTGCTATTTGTTAGAAAATAAATGATTTTGGGGCTGCTTTTCATTAAAAGGGAAACCTTACTGAGGACTTCCTTACCCTCACTATCTGCCTAAATAATTTCTTTTTAACTCCAATATCATTAATTTCATCTGTTTTTTTTTCCTGAACACTTTTTAACTTTTTTTGTTTGTTATTTTTCATCCTTTTTTGAATGTCTGAAGACCACACTTTTTGATAGTTCAAGATTATCCTAGCTCATATATTTACTGTCCCAGCCCTAGTACCAGCCATTTCTTCAAACAGCCCTGATTCCTTTTATTAAAGAATGATGGCCAGGCGCGGTGGCTCATGCCTGTAATCCCAGCACTTTGGGAGGCCGAGGTGGGTAGATCACGAGGACAGGAGTTCAAGGCCAGCCAGGCCAAGATGGTGAAACCCCGTCTCTACTGAAAATACAAAAATCAGCTGGGCACAGTGGCAGGTGTCTGTAATCCCAGCTACTCAGGAGGCTGAGGCAGGAGAATCGCTTGAACCAGGGAGGCAGAGGTTGCAGTGAGCCAAGAATGTGCCACTGCACTCTAGCCTGGGCGACAGAGCAAGACTCTTTCTCAAAAAAAAAAAAAAAAAAAGAATGATATTAGCTGGACGTAGCAGCTCATACCTGTAATCCCTGCTGAGGCAGGAGAATCACTTAAGCCCAGGAGTTCGAGACCAGCCTGGGCAATGTAGTGAGACCCTGTCTCTACAAAAACTAAAAAAAAAAAAAAAAATTAGCTGAATGTGGTTGCACACACCTGTAGTACCAGCTGCTTAGAAAGCAGGAGGATTTCTTAAGCCCAGGAGTTTGAGGTTGCAGTGAGTCATGATCACACCATTGCACTTCAGTCTGGGCAACAGAGTGAGACCCTGTCTCAATAATAATAACAACAAATCTGGCTTTCCAGATTTTCTTTTTCTTTTCTTTTTTAAAAAATTAATTAGATAGAGATGGGGTCTCACTATGTTGCCCAGGCTGGTCTCAAACTCTTGGACTCAAGCAACCCTGCTTCAGCCTCCCAAAGTGTTGGGATTACAGGTGTGAGCCACCATGCCTAGCCTAATTTGTTTCTTTATATTGCTGATTAGTATTCTATTACATGAATATATCCCAATTTGCCCATGCATTTTTGAGAGCAAAACTTGCCTCTTCTAACTTTGTTCCAGTGGTTGAAGATCTGTAAGTTAACTGACAATAGACACATTAGCAGGGGACAATACTTGGCTTCTTTTCCTGCAAGTATCTTTGTAGGACATAATGCACCAAATGGCAGGATCCAGTTTTCAAAGAGGTGAAAATAGCTCAAAGACAATGAACAGGATTAGAATCTGATCCTGTGAGATTCTAAAATCTCAAGAGTGAGTTATCGTTTTCCATTGAAACATAAAATTTTTTGTACAGTCACCCTTATTTTTGATGAAATATAATCAAAGTAAAATTATTCTTGTTTGCAAAATAAGTCTAGATCAGACTTAGAGTTTGCCTGATTATTTACATAAGTTCAGTAAGAATGGTAACCATATAGGTCTTTTTAAGTTGGCTTTCCTGGAACTTTTCATAAGGAATGTTAGGTTGAGGCTGGGCATGGTGTCTCATACCTGTAATCCCAGCACTTTGGGAAGCCAAGGTCAGGGGATCTCTTGAGCCCGGGAGTTCGACCAGCCTGGCCACAAGCAAAACCTGTCTCAATTTAAAAAAAAAAAAAAAAAAAAAGGACTATCAGGTTGGACTTTTAAAAGCCCTCTTGAGGCTAGGAAGCCAAGCCAAGGATCTACCACCAGACTTCACCTGCAGTAACTATAGATTTGGGTGAATTCTCCTCTTCTTGACCCCAAAATATCCTGTTTTCTGGTCTTTTCAGGAAGTGACCATCTCTACTCACTTGTTAGGTTTGGAACTCTGTAATTCAGGTATCAGGCTCCCTGTCACACAGAGGGTTTTGTAACCTAGAGGTTTTGGTGAACATTGGTTCTGTAAAGTCAACCTTAGTTCCTTAAAATTATCTGGTCATATCTGATCCTATGTACATCATTCTCAACTGGGACATTACAGTCAATGCATTTGTGACATTACCAATTTTCTCAATTATGTCCTGTTATAAGGTAAAGAGATTCTTATTGAATTTATGCAAATAACTATATTGCCATGAAACTAAAAATATTCAATAAGAGTTTCTAAATTCTGGAGGGATCAGGCAGGGAGAAAAAGATAAATATTTCATTTCTGTTTATAAAAGTATAGTCTCCTAAATTGTTATAGGATATAGTTATCATAAGAGAAAAAGTTTCTTTAAATCCAGAAAATAGAACATTAAAGAACCAGCAATAGTTGGGTGTGGTGGCGTATAATCCCAGATACTCAGGCAGCTGAGGTGGAAGGATGCTTCAACCCAAGAGTTTGATACCAGTGTGGACAACATAGTGAGGCTCCATCTCTAATCCATCAAAAAAGAAAAAAAAAAAGCCTGGCGTGGTGGCATATGCCTGTATTTCTAGCTACTTGGGAGGCTGAGGCGGGAGGATTGCCTGAGCCCCAAAATTCCAGGCTGCAGTGAGCTATGATGATGCCACTGTACTACAGCCTGGGACACAGAGCAAGATGCCGTCTCTAAAAATAATAATAATAGGCCAGGGGCAGTGGCTCACGCTTGTAATCCCAGCACTTTGGGAGGCCCAGGTGGGCTTGCTTGAGATCAGGAGTTCGAGACCAGCCTGGCCAACATGGTGAAACCCCGTCTCTACTAAAAATACAAAAATTAGCCAGGCGTGGTGGCAGGCTCCTGTAGTCCCAGCTACTGGGGAGGCTGAGGCAAGAGAATCGCTTGAACCCAAGAGGTGGAGGTTGCAGTGAGCCCAGATTGTGCCACGGCACTCCAGCAGCCTGGGTGACAGAGTGAGGCTCCGTCTCAAAAAAAAAAAAAAAAAAAGATATAAATTGGCTATGGTTAAGATCTAATGAAAGTTCATTATAATGCAAGGAAATTTGGTTGTTTCTGTGGCATACAACATTTAAAATACTAACTGAAATTATGACTTATAACATTACATTGGGACATATCTTGGATAGGGAGGACATTGACAAATTTCCAGGGACTTGACACAATTTCTGAAACAATAACATTTTACCCATACAAATATAACCTAGAGAAGGTTAGTATCTCTTTCTCTCTCTCTCTTTTTTGAGAGAAGGTCTCTTCCACCAAGGTGGGAGTGCAGTGGCCTAATCATGGCTTACTGCAGCCTTGACCTCCTGGGCTCAGGCGATCCTCCCACTTCAGCCTCCCTAGTAGCTGGGACTATAAGTGTGTGCCATCACACCCGGCTATGGTGTGTGTGTGTGTGTGTGTGTGTGTGTGTGTGTGTGTGTGAAAGCAAGTTTATTAGAGAAGTAAAGAAACAAAAGAATGGCTACTCCACAGGCAGAGCAACCTAATTTTTGTATTTTTTGTAGAGGTGGGTTGGTTGCAGGGTGCAGGGGTGTCTAGGCTGGTCTCAAACTCCTGGGCTCAAGCGGTTCTCCCACCTCAGCCGCTCAAGGTGCTGGGATTAAGGTGTGAACCACTGTGCCTGGCTAAGTAGTTCTCATTTGACATTGCTTTCCATGTGATTTAATGTAACTTTAGAATTTTTATAGCTTGTATTATTATTTTTTTGAGACGGAATTTCGCTCTTGTTGCTCAGGCTGGAGTGCAATGGCGCGATCTCGGCTCACAGCAACCTCCACCTCCCAGGTTCAAGCGATTCTCCTGCCTCAGCCTCCCGAGTAGCTGGGATTACAGGCATGCGTCACCACGCCCGGCTAATTTTGTATTTTTAGTAGAGACGGGGGTTTCTCCATGTTGGTCAGGCTGGTCTCGAACTCCCGACCTCAGGTGATCCGCTCGCCTCAGCCTCCCAAAGTGCTGGGATTACAGGCGTGAGCCACCGCGCCCGGCCAGCTTTGTATTTTAAATTTAAGTCAATGGACTATTTTGAATGAATTTTTGTGAAACTTGTAAAGTTTGGATCTACATTTATTTCGTTCCGATTAATAATTTCTTTAACATTTTTGAGAAAGACACAGGATAGTGGGCCCCATTTTATTTTGAACGTCCGTAATCATGGCATTGAACGATCTGAATTTAATTAATTCAACCAGACAGCCAGGAGGGGGCACGCGGCCACCGCTAAACAGTGAGCGAGCGCCGAGGGCCCCGCGCTGCCCCAGATGACCAGCAGGGGGCGTGCGAGCCGCCTTGTCGGACCCCTGAGAAGCCCCCACCGCCTCCGTGCTCCTACTGCGGCCGCCAGCGCCGGGCCCGCAGTGAGGAGGAGAACCTCATTTTCCTCAACACAGATCTAAGGGGACACCGCCTCACTTTGAGACAACTTGAGGCTGCGTCAGTGGTGAGTAAAATCCTTCCTGTCACAGTCCTGACTACTGAGGAGCAGTTGGTCTTCAGAACCCCCAGTAGAGGAAGGGCTTCATGTGGAATTTTGGAAATAAAAAACCCCGGTTTCCACCACACAGGAGGTCCTTCTCAACAGCTAAGACACAGTGGCTGCTAGTATAATACCACGCAGCAGCCTTTTAATACTAACATCACATTCAGAGGCTTACCAGGGAGACTGGTTTCCTAGCTTTGGCTGAACTGGATTTGGGTCAGGCTTAGCCTCTGGAATGAAGTTTGGTGTCACCTCTGCTTTACTGACGCGGTATTGACGTGGTTGATTGATTGATTGATTGATTTTTTTTTTCTAGAGACAGAGCTCCCTATGTTGCCCAGGCTCCAAATCGTGACCTCAAGTGATCCGCCCGCCTCAGCCTTCCAAAGTGCTGGGATTACAGGCCTGAACCACCATGCCTTAGCCTTATTTTTCATTTTTTAGACAGTCTCAATCTGTCAGGCTGGAGTGCAGTGGCACGATCATAGCTCACTGCAGCCTTTAACGTCTGGGCTGAAGGATCCTCCCGTTTCATCTTCCTGAGTAGCTGGGACTACAGGCATGCACCACCAAGCCTGGCTAATTTTTAATTTTATTGTAGAGAAGATGTCTATGTTGCCCAGGCTGGTCTTCAGCTCCTGGATGCAAGCGTTCCTCACGCAAGCGAACCCAGCCCACATGGTTGTTTAAAAAAGTAATTACTGAGGTCAGGAGTTCAAGACCAGCCTGGCCAACATGGTAAAACCCCGTCTCTACTAAAAATACAAAAATTAGCCGAGTGTAGGGGCAGGTGCCTGTAATCCCAGCTACTCCGGAGGCTGAGGCAGGAGAATCGCTTAAACCCAGGAGGCGGAAGTTGCAGTGAGCTGAGATTGAGCCACTGCACTCCAGCCTGGGCGACAGAACAAGACTCCGTCTCAAAAAAAAAAAAAGTAATTACTTTTTGAGGCTGGGCGTGGTGGCTCACGCCTGTAATCCCAGCACTTTGAGAGGCCCAGGCAGGAGGATCACTTGAACCCAGGAGTTCGAGATCAGCCTAGCCAACATGGTGAAACCCCGTCTCTACCAAAAAATACAAAAATAGCAGGGCATGGTGATGTGTACCTATAATCCCAGCTACTCGGGAGGCGGAGGCAAGAGAATCTCATGAACTTGAGAGGTGGAGGTTGCAGTGAAATTGCACCTTTGCATTGCAGCCTGGGCGACAGAGGGAGACTGTCTTAAATAAATAAATAAATAAAAGTAATTACTTTTTGATAATTTCATTCTTATGGAAAACTTGCAATAGCAATACAAATCCCTGTCCTTTCTATCAAAGTCTCCAGTGGTTATTGCTGTACCAGATTTGTAATTTCACACAAAATACTTGTTTTTTTACCCAAAGCAGGGACACTCTCCCAGGTAACAATCACTCTCCCCTTTATCAGGAAATCGACAAGAATTACAAAAATGACCTGGGCGTGGTGGCACACGCCTGTGATCCCAGCTACTCAGGAGGCTGAGGCAGGAGAATCACTGGAACCTGGGAGGTGGAGGTTGCAGTGAGCAGAGATGGACCCAGTGCACTTTAGCCTGGGGGACAGAGTGAGACTCAGTCTCAGAAAAAAAAAAAAAGAAAGAAAGAAAAAGAAAAGAAAAAGAAATTAACACAGTGTCCACATGGCAATCCAGTCCTCAGACCTACTTTGCTTCACCACCTGCTCCAGTGTGGGTGGGAAAAAGATTATCTGCATTTAAAAATTTTTTTCTAACTCCTTGAGTGGCAGATAAAGCAATTTTTATGCCAGACACTGATACTTACATTATGGCTCTGAGCTCAAGATTTTAACCTGTCTGATCTGAGAGCCTAACTTTTCTAAACATTTATGTAATTCTTCTAGACTATTAGTCTTTCAATTACCTGTTTTGTCACCATACACAGTTGTTAGGCAGGCAAACCTAAATTTACATTTCCGAAAGGGACAGTTCAGGTGTCTAGGTTGTTTATCATGGAGCTGTTATTTGTAAAGTCATTAATTTGAAATGGCTTTAAGTCTTTTTTTAAAAAATCTTGGCTCAAATGTCATAAGCAGTGATTTTTATCTCAACACCAGCAGAAAAGTCAGCAGATTGAAAGTAGGCAGGAAAAAAATAAAATAGAGAGATAGAGAACTTCGAAGATTTTGCTTGTTAACCGCATAGTTGGTTGTAGTTTTCTTAGTGACCATCTGAGCTCTGAACTTTCCTTGATAGAATTTGCCCATCTGTTTCAAAATGTGCATGAGAATGAGCCATAATATAGTCAGCTGGAATCCTCAAAGGAAGGTTGTTTTGGCATGGCTTTAGAGTTTAGGATCTCATTCCATTTCTTTTTCTTTATTTTTATTTTTTTGTTTTTGTTTTTTTGAGACACAGTCTCACTCTGTTGCCCAGGCTGGAGTGCAGTGGTTTGACCTTGGCTCACTGCAACATCTTCTGGCTGGATTCAGGCTATTCTCCTTTCTCAGCCTCCTGAGTAGCTGGGAGTACAGGCGCCTGCCACCACGCCTGGCTAATTTTTGTATCTTTAGCAGAGATGGGATTTCACCATGTTGGCCAGGCTGGTCTTGAACTCCTGACCTCAAATGATCTGCCTACCTCAGCCTCCCAAAGTGCTGGGATTGCAGGCATGAGCCACTGTGCCCGGCTTCATTCCATTTCTTATTAATCTCTTGAGAGCAAAGAAATTCCCATAAATCTTTTCAGGGAATGTCAGGAGTTTGGACCAATATTTTACATCAATTTCAGTATGGTAACCACGTTCCTTCACCAAAGTAATACTTTTCACAACACACTGCATAAGTAACATTTGTGGAAACGTCTTTTTAAAATAGTATATAAATAACATTTCAGAAGCCTGTTTAACATGACTACAAACACTTCACTACATTCATTACTTCCTTACATGGAAGTTACACGGTTCACAACAAACTTTGTAAGTAGCATTTAAAAATTTTCTTCTACTTCTTTCCTATCTGGATGTCTGTCATGCTTTTTCTTGCTTGATTGTTGTGGCTAGGACTTCCAGTACTATATTGAATAGACATGGTGAGAGTTGGCATCTTTGTCTTGTTCCTGATCTTAGAGGAAAAAATATTTTCACAGTTAAATATGTTAGCTGTGGGCTTGTCAGAGATAGTCTTTGTCGTGCTGAGAAACATTACTCTTTTTTCAACATTCCTCTTTTGTTTTGGAGACAGGGTCTTGCTCTGTCACCCAGGCTGGAGTGCAGTGGTGCGATCTTGGCTCACTGCAACTTCTGCCTCCTCAGTTCAAGTGATTCTCCTGCCTCAGCCTCCCAAGTAGCTGGGATTACAAGTGTGTGCCACTGCACCCGGCTAATTTTTGTATTTTTAGTAGAAATGGGGTTTCACCATGTTGGCCGTGTTTTACCATGTTGGCCATCTTGAACTCCTGACCTCAGGTGACCCGCCCACCTGGGCCTCCCAAACTGCTGGGATTACAGGCATGAGCCACTGTGCCCGGCCTCAAAAGATTTTTAAATTTCTTCTTTGAGGCTGGGCACAGTGGCACACACCGGTAATCCCAGCACTTTGGGAGGCCAAGGCAGGCAGATTGCTTAAGCCCAGAAGTTTGAGACCAGCCTGGGCAACATGGTGAAACCCCTTCTCTACAAAAAATACAAAAAGCCAGATGTGGTGGTATGAGCCTGTAGTCCCAAGCTACTGGGGAGGCTGAGGTGGGGGGATCACTTGGACCCAGGAGGTTGAGGTTGTGGTGAGCTATTGAGCGACTAAGTGGCTAAGTTGGCTGGACTTCCTGGGTCAATAGGGACTTCCCTAAGGGGACTTTTCCCTAAGCCAAAATGAGTCATAGCTGCAAGCTAAGGGATTGAAACTTCAACCAATCAAAGGGGACTTTCTCCTAAGCCAAAATGAGTCATAGCTGCAAGCTAAGGGATTGAAACTTCAACCAATCATATAGGGAGTTTAAGCTCTAGCTGCAGCGTGATGTTTTTAACCAATCAGGCCCACCAACCCACAAGCGGATAGAAAATAAGCTAATCCTATAGGACAGGAAAAGGAAAAGGAAAAGGGAAGGAGTCATAAGGGCATATAAGCATAAGACACTCAAGCCAGGGCAACCCTTCCAGGTCCCCTTCCACCACGTGGAAGCTTTACTTTCACTTTTGCTTTACATTCACTTTCGCTTTAATAAATCTTGCTGCCACACACTCTTTGGGTCCACACGTTTCTCTAATTGAGCTGTAACACTTGCCACTGTGGTCCACAGCTTCATTCCTTGAAGCCCATGAGACCACAAACTCTTCGATCAAGAAAAACCTTTGATCGGAAGAAGACTTCTCATCTCACTATCATGTCACTGCACTCCAGTATGAGTGACGGAGTGAGACCCCATCTCAAAAAAAAAAATAATTCTTTGACCCATTGGTTGTATAGGAGCATGTTGTTTAAATTCTACATATTTGTGAATTTTCTGAAATTACTCCTATTATTGATTTCTAGTTTTATACCATTGTGATCAGAAAAGATACTTGTTATGATTTCAGTTTTCTTAATTTGTTATGACTTATTTTGTGACCTGATATATACTCTATCTTGGAGAATGTTCCATGTGCACTTGAGAAGATTGTGTATTCTGAATGACATGGTTTGCAGCTGTCCATAAGATCTGAAACATTATTTAAACATGTGTCTTCAGACGCTTCACTACATACATTACTTCCATTCACTAAAATAACACTGTTCATAACATATTGTAGCTCTGTCACCCAGGCCGGAGTGTAGTGGTATGATCACAGCTCACTGCAGCCTAGAACTGCTGGACTCAAGTGATCCTTCCACTTCAGCCTCCCAGAGTTCTGGAACTATGCCACCACACTCTGCTAATTTTAAATTTTTTGTAGAGAGTATCGTTATGTTGCCTAGGCTGGTCTTGAACTCCTGGACTCAAGCAATTCTCCTGCCTCGGCCTCCCAAAGTGCTGGGATTACAGGCATGAGCCACCATGCTTGACCACTAAGTAGCTTTCAAAGAAGCATCTTTCAAACAAGTATGTTTGTCATTTATTATATGCATGAGTGTGGCAAACCACTTTCATCCACTGAGTTAACACTGTTAACAACATAGTGTGTAAGTTACATTCTTTAGAAACATCATTTTTAATTAATTAGTTAATTAATTAATTTTGTAGAGTCTCATTATGTTGTCCAGGCTGGTCTGGAACAAAAATTAGCATAGTGGCATGCACCTGTAATCCCAGCTACACGGGAGGCTGAGGCAGGAGAATTGCTTGAACCCAGGAGATGGAGGTTGCAGTGAGCCAAGATCGTGCCATTGCACTCCAGCCTGGGCGATAGAGTGAGACTCTGTCTGAAAAAAAAAAAAAGTTGATTCAGGTCACAGTTAATGCAAATGTTTCAAAACTGGGTTTCTGATATTTGTAAATGTCTTTGTTTATTACATAAGAGTGTATTACCATTAAAGTTGGTATTGTATTGCTTTCAAAATGAGAAGGTAGGCTGGGCACAATGCCTCACACCTGTGATCCCAGCACTTTGGTAAACCAAGACAGGAGGATCACTTGAACCCAGGAGTTAAAGACCAGCCTGGGCAACATAATGAGACCCTGTCTCTACCAAAAAAAAAAAAAATGGTGTGGTGGCATATGCCTGTAGTCTCAGCTACTCAGGAGGCTGAGATGGGAGGACTGCTCGTGCCTGGATGGTTGAGGCCGCAGTGAGCCACACGCCACTACCCTCCAGCCTGGGCAAAAGAAGTGAGACTGTCTCAACTGTCTCAGAAAAAAAAAAGAAAAAAAAGAAATATGGTCTGTAAAACTCTTAGCACCTTGCCTGGAACATAAAGCTTGCTTAATAAATGGTAGTTAATATAATTTCTAGAAGTCAGCAAAAGAGACTGTAACTGCCCAAGGGGTTCACCTTACCCACTGCCTAGACAAGAGCCAATTCATCAAGACAGGGAATTATAATAGAGAAAGAGTAATTCACACAGGCCCGGCCATGGGGGAGACTGGAGTTTTATTATTACTCAAATCAGTCTCCCCCAGCATTCGCCCACCTTGGCCTCCCAAAGTGCTAGGATTACAGGCATGAGCCACTGCACCTGGCCTGGGGAGCAGAGTTTTTAAGGATAACTTGGTGGGTGGGGGGAAGCCAGTGAGCCAGGAGTGCTGATTGGTCAGGGATGAAATCATAGGGAGTCAAAGCTGTCTGCTTGTGATGAGTCAGTTCCTGGGTCGGGGGCCACAAGATCAGGTGAGCCAGTTTATTGATCTGAGTGATGCCAGCTGATCCATCAAGTACAGGGTCTGCAAAATATCTCAAGCCCTGATCTTAGGAGCAGTTTAGGGAGGGTCAGAATTTTGTAGCCTCCAGCTTCATGACTCCTAAACCATAATTTCTAATCTTGTGGCTAATGTTAGTCCTACGAAGGCAATCTAGTCCCCAGGGAAGAAGGAGGTCTGCTTTGGGAAAGGGCTGTTACCATCTTTGTTTAAACTATAAACTAAGTTTCTCCCAAAGTTAGTTCAGCCTATGCCCAGGAATGAACAAGGACAACTTGGAGGTTAGAAGCAAGATGGAGTCAGTTAAGTTAGATCCCTTTCACTGTCTCAGCCATACTTTTGCAAAGGTAGTTTCAATCCCTCCCTTTGGGTTTTATAATACCTCAATCTTAAGGTGTAGGCTATGAAGATGGGAAAAGGCTGTTGATCACTTTGGCTTCTTCCTGCTGAAAGGGGACATAGTGGGAATGAGAGTGAACCCCAAGGTGGGAAGAGTGGAACTGCTTTGCAATTGTCTGAGCATACTCATGCAGGCATGGTTGAGCTTCCAAGGCTTGCAAGGTAAAAACATTAGTATTCTCATCTATAGTTTTAGTACAGTATTTATGTGAACAGCATACTATAAGGTAAATAATGAGTCCTAGGATGAGGAGTACAATTCCCAAGTTTAAAAGCAAAGATTTGAAAGCATTAGTTTGGAGACTTCTAACCCATAAAGAATTTAGAATTTAGTCTAAACTGCAGAAAAAACCTCAAGAACAGCTAACAACAGTGTACTATAGTTTTTCTTTTGAAGCACAATTTTTCTCTCTCCAGTGCCCATTTTTATTAAAAACAATCATGATAGAACTGATTTGCTTACAAAATAAACTTCAGTCTTAACTGTACTTGGCCTGATTATTTGCATAAGGTGCAGCAAGAATAATTATTTTTCAATTAGGCTTTTAAAATTGGCTTTGATAGAACTCTCTTCCATGAAGAATCTCAGATAAGACTTTTTAAAGGCCAACCCCAGCCATGGATTTGTACCCTCAAATACCTATGAGTTGGGTGAATTCCTCTCCTCTTGAGGTCCCAAGATAACTTGGTGTTCCTGGGCCTGTTAGAAAATGACATTCTTTACTTACCACAGATCAGAAACCTTGTACAGGCACCCTGTGTGGACAAGGTATAAGGCCAGATGCCCCAATGGGCTTTAATTGGCTCTAAAAGTCCACTTTGATTCTTTAAAGGAAGCATGCCATTCAAGTCAAAGCCTTGGTAAAATAACCAATTTCTCCAGTTGTGTCCTGTTACAAAAGAAAACAGATTCTTATTGCACTTATGCAATTAACTATACCTCTGTAAGTTGAGAATACTCACAAATAGTTTCCAAATTCTGGAGAAATCAGGCAGAGAGGAACAAATATGCTCCAAGTTTTGTTCACAGGAGTATATTTTACTCATTTGTTAAAAGTTGCAAATAGCTCTAAAGAAATAAGTTATCTTGACTGAACACAAAAGGTTTAGCAATGTTTAACACATTAGCTCTCCATGAGAGTCCTAGAAGTTTGGTTTTTTTCCTCTATTCCAATAGCACATTTTTTTTTTTTTTTCTGAGACAGAGTCTTGCTCTGTCACCCAGGCTGGAAGTGCAGTGGCATGATCTTGGCTCACTGCAACCTCCACCTCCCAGGTTCAAGCAATTCCCCTCCTTCAGCCTCCTGAGTAGCTGGGATTACAGGTGTGTGCCACCACGCCCAACTAATTTTCATATTTTTAGTAGAGATGGGGTTTCACCATGTTGGCCAGGCTGGTCTTGAACTCCTGACCTCAAGTGATCTGCCTGTCTTGGCCTTCCAAAGTGTTGGGATTACAGGCATAAGCCACCACACCTGACCAATAGCACAGTTTTTAAAGTTATCTGAGACCTGAACTCAGAGTCCTGTATCTGATTATAAACTACCTTTTGAAAAGGACTAAAGCAAGACAAAATGTCTGTGGATGACAAAAGTCTATAGCTACAATTGACTAGGAATTTTGGTTACTTCTGTGGCATACAACAATTTTACATAACAATTATAATTATTGATAAAGTACACTAAATTATATCAACATTATAGAAGTTTCTCATAATTTTGGAACACATACCAATAACATATTTATACAAATACAGTCCAAAGAAAACCAAACACTATTCACTCTTCTATTTGAAAGTTTTTTTTTCTATTCTAATGTCACAATCTCCTAGTTATTAATCAGAAAACTGGATTTAAGAGCACCTGTTAGGCTGGGCGCTATGGCTCACGCCTGTTATCCCAGCACTTTGGGAGGCCAAGGTAGGTGGATCACCTGAGGTCAGGAGTTCGAGACCAGGCTGGCCAACATGGCAAAACCCCGTCTCTCCTAAAAATACAAAAATTAGCCAGGTGTGGTGGCAGTTGTCTGTAATCCCAGCTACTTGGGAGGCTGAGGCAAGAGAATTGCTTGAACCCAGAAGGCGGAGGTTGCAGTGAGCCAAGATTGTGCCATCGCACTCCAGCCTGGGGGACAAGAGCGAGTGAGATGTTGTCTCCAAAAAAAAAAAAAAAAAAAAGAGGACCTGTTAAATTTTGTAGCTGATTATAAAATTACCTTTTAAAGAGGAGCAAAGTGAGACAACAATTATCGGCAGATGACAAAAACATTTTAGGGCAGCCACAGTTAAAGGCACAATTGACAAGGAAATTTACCTCTGTGGCACACAGTCATTTTTGGGTTTTAGAGGACCTAA
The DNA here is from genome assembly GCF_000001405.40 of Homo sapiens. Taxonomy (NCBI): domain Eukaryota; kingdom Metazoa; phylum Chordata; class Mammalia; order Primates; family Hominidae; genus Homo; species Homo sapiens. Next base: position 43,829,767 of record NC_000007.14, on the reverse strand, counting down.
TATCTAAAATATTAGGTTAGGAAGAGACATAATTTATAATTTGATTTTGGAAAATTTGTCAAATATCAAAGGTTTAAAACACTGGATGTCACAAAATAGATTCTTGAACTCCTGACCTCGTGATCTGCCCACCTCAGGCTCCGAAAGTGCTGAGATTACAGATGTGAGCCACTGCGCTCGGCCGGGCACTTATTTTTCTAAGCCAAGTAATCAGAGCTCTTTTATATGTAAACACACACACACATGCAACACATATAAATACAGACAGACAGAAGATTCAGCACTTGTAAGATTTTTCATTTGCCAGTTTCTTAATTGGATTACTGGCTTCAGGCTGGAGCCCTTGGAGGAACAGGACCAGGAAAGCATCCATTTCTAGGGCCAAATAAGCAGCAAATAAGCAGCTGAAGGCAAAGACAGAGCCCCAAAATTAAGGGTGCCATTTTATACTGGATCCCCAAAAGGAGAAGACAGTGCAGTGCTTCTGCTCTGCATTTCGCTGCAGGTAACCCAAAGCTAATCAGCCCATTTTGTAATTAGCCCATCCTTCATGGGAGTTTCATCTCCCAGTGTGGGGTGAGGATATTCCCTTATCTTCCAGGTGGCCAAGAGCATGCTTCCCTGATCCAAGTGTGCAAAGAGTCAAGTATCCCTCCATAAGTACTATTAGCCATCCCTTAAAGTGTATTTCCTACCTAGTGGTTACACACCAAAGCTCTCTCATAATGCAAAGTAATTTCTGATACCCCCAAAACTCAAAACCGTCAGATAACACAATGTAAAACAGAACAGAGCCTTTGATTTTGAGAGGGAGCTATCCACTTTTAATTCCTGGAGTTTTATAAGGAAAACAGAGGTTTTTCCCCAAAACGGGGTCTGTGGTACTTCCTCTGTTTTTCCCAATGAGTCCCAGGCTACCAGAAGTTATCTCAGAGCCTCTCATGTGTGCATGAAGAGTGGCAAGACAAAAAAAAAAAAAAAATCGGAGGAAAATAATTCAGTTGACTGAGAAGAAAAAAACCTTTTTCCAGAAAAACAAGGTCCGAGAAGAGAAAAAGTTAAAGGACTTTAAAATATATCTATAGCTTGTTTATCCACTTTTAATTAAGCTGAATTTTAACCATAGTGCTCTTTAAAAAAGAAATCCGTTCAGATCTCTTATTACCCAACTTTAGCCATGCCAAGCAGCCAATATTTCTAGTTTCTGAGCTTTACCAGAGGTAAACTCCTAGGTGCTTCAAAGACATGGTAGGCAGTTTCTTTTTTACAAGATTTAGAATCTCCACAAAGTAGCTCAGAGAAAGGAAAATTCAAGAGAGGAAATTAGAAGCTATCAATCGGGGGGGGGGAGGGGGGGAGAACCTCAATAAATGGCAAAGTTACAGAAATAACAAACCAGAAAGGAATCATTCCAGACGCCAACAATTGAACCCAGGCCACCACTGTCAAAAGATAATGCCTTAGCTACTGAGCTATCCAGCATTGAGCAGTTTCTAGCTTTCCCCAGAAGGAGCCTAAAGAAGCCAATTTCAAATTTGCAAGACTTTTAACTGTTCAAGAAAAATTTTTAGGACTATGATATGAACCCCAAAATTCCTGTCTTCTGGATGGTGGAAACCAAAAGAAAGTATCTCCACATTGTCACAAGGTTAAGCTCTTAAGCACACAGAACAAGACAGAGAAATTTCATACAGTATTGGCTTCAGGAACCCGTAGCAAAGTTTGTAACTGACCAGCCTGCTGAGCTGGCTTGAAAAGCAGGCTTATGGGGTCCTAAACCCACGTTCTATCCTGTGATACCCCTTTCTCCATTGCAGAATACAGAAGGACAAATTCTTAGCACAAACTACACCAGATTTGCTACAGCCTAAGACTAGTCTCGCAAATCCTTTTTTCTACTAATCAAACCCTCGCAGAGGAGACAGTTTACTATTTACCAAGACAGAGAAAGAGAGAGAGAGACCAGAAACTTGGCTAATAAGAATTTCTTACCCTTTTTGCTGGCATATCAGGTTTCCGGGTTCCCTTTCTCTGCAGCTTCCAGAAGAACGGAGTGGCTTCTGATGCCCCTGCTTGCTTGTGCTATAGATGTGGGTTTCAAGCCACTTTACAAGAGAAAATCACCCTTTATTGTTTTATGAAACCATAGACAATATTCTTAATTTGCAAGATGCTGCCCAATGGGCTGCATGGGGAGCCGAATTAACATTTTCCAACCCAGCAAAATATACATAACAAAACAGACATTAGTTACCTCGTTCAGCACCCATAATCAACCTAGCAAAGCTCAAACTTCTTCCCGTTGGTCCCTGTTGTCTTTGATCCACTCTAGGTGGGGAGGGACGACCTCCGAATGGTAATTCACAGTTGGGGTCTCTGGGCAAGGCAAAGAAGAGATAGTCACCTTGTTGAGCCTCCTTTAGGGCTCATTGAATGTGACCAGACAAATAAGGAGGGTTCTCTGAGTTGGGCCTGCTGGACTTCCATCAGCAACCCCTTCTGAGATCCCTTTCACATGTACAAACACACACAAAGATGAGATGGACAGAAGGCCTTCCAAATCAGATCCCTAACCAAGAACTCCGAGAGTATCCCTTCCAAACTGTCCTCCTATTCTCCATCTGAGAAACCTCCTTGAAATCTTCCTGATTGAGGAGAAGTCTCCCGAACCAGGACTCTTCCTACTAGTTAGAAAGAGCCAACTGAGACCCTCACAGGAGCTGAACAGACACCCCTCAGTGGGGCTACAGACACAGAGACCCCATGGTGGAGCCACAAACAGATGCCCCACAATGGGGCTACAGACACCCCACCACAGGGCTACAGAACCAGTCAGGAGAAGGAAGTCAGCGTTGGCAGTGCCTAGGATACTCATCAATCCAGACACCCTGCAATGGGGCTGCAGACAGACATCCACCATGGGGCTACAGGCAGATACCTTGTGATAGGGCTACAGTTAAGGGACATCTCCCCAGGACTATTACTCCATTGCAATTAAACCCATGCACATTGGGTTGGCAGCATCCTGCCAGTAGAGAGAGTACCAGAGACAGCCCCCAGTCCAAGAGAACTAGGTAGCTGCTTGGGCTTGCTTCTGGATCCATCGCTGGAGGGGGGCCACTGACCCACGGGCAGGTAGCCACACAGGCAGTGCTGGGACCGGGTGGTTTCAAGAGTTTCCTGTTTCTTAGTAGCTCATTCTTATTCCACAACTAAAAAAAAAAAAAAAGAAAAGAAAAGCTGGGTTTAGAGAATTTAAGGTACCTGTTACATTCAGGGAAAGTGCTGGCCTCAGATGTGGCTGTACGCAAGGCTTCTGCACATGCTAGTCCCTCTACCTGGACTGCTCTCCCCATCCCTTGCCCACTGGCACCTGGTGAAACTCGTCAACCTTCAGGTTTTAGCACATTCTTTAGGGAAGTCTCCTCTGACTTGCCTAAAAAAAACTCTCCCTAGCTTAAGCCTTTAAAAATCTCTTTGTAGGCCAGGCATGGTGGCTTATGCCTGTAATCTCAGCACTTTGGGATGCCAAGGTGGGACAATCACTTGAGACCAGGAGTTTGAGACCGTCTCTATAAAAAACAATTAGCTAGGGTGGCCTATAGTCCTAGCTACTTGGGAGGCTGAGGCAGGAGGATTGCTTGAGCCCACAAATTTGAGGTTACAGTGAGCTGAGATCACTCCACTGCACTCCAGCCTGGGCAGAAGTTTAGCTGTCTTGGGCCTCTTACTCCCTTTACACCTCCATCTCCAATGTCACAACTAATTGGCTGGGTTATCGCAGGATTTTCCAAAAACAACCCTTTTCTGGAGGAACTCAGGTGTCATTGACTAAAATGTAATACTTAAAAAATTTTGACTTGATTCCTTGAGGTGGAGGATCATGAGGTATATTTTTGGGATTTCAAGGTCCCATAAGGAATATTTTTTTCTCTCCTCCCAATTTTGGAGACCAATTAAGCTATAGATGAGAGAGAGAGAGAGAGAGAGAGAGAGAGATATGAAGTTTTAAAAAATAGTTTTTTGGTAAAGTTGGTTGGGGAATGTGGGGATCTGCAGCCAAATAGGTTTGGCTCTGTCTTAGGGTAACTGTGTCATAGGGTAATGCAGAGCACCCGATCCTGTTGCTGTTCGGGGCGCCACTTGTAACCCCCAACATAAGGCTGGAAAGTCCAGAGTGAGTTTAAGGTTGTAAAAGTTCTTTAATAAATAAACAGAGTAACCTTAGCTCTCTGGGGCTAGTAAACTCAGATCGAGTGATTGAATTATGTGGTCTCTACTAGACAGCCGCTTTTCCATCTTTACCAGACCTGTCAGTAAACAGTGTTAAAGCATTAAGTATTGGGGAGTGCAATGCTGCTCCAAATTGCCTTTTACTTAAAGGAATCCTGATGATATCAGGGTCATAACTTAGCAATTGACTTCATTAATCATTAAGATGGCAAGCTGAAATAAGTAACAAGAAGTTTAAAAAGAAAACCTGAAAGCATCTCTAGAAGCAGAGACTTAAATAATAAACTTTAACCATGTGCTTAAAGCCATAGGCAGAGTAGCTTAAATCTTGTAATTGAGTTTTCAGGCTGGCCAAGTTTATAGACTTTAATCTAGCAAACAGTCTTGAAAACTGTGACTCACTAGCTGGGAAACTCAATTTAGGACTCTTTTAGCGAGTACAAATCAAAGACTCTCTGTAATCAGTGGGTTAAGATAGTCATTCATGCATAAGTTTTCACTACACTTAGAACTTTTCTTCACTTTCTGAGAAGGACACAACATTTTTACCCTCTAATTTAACTGTAGCAGGATGAGCTGCAGACAAAACCCCTCAGACGCCGAGTTAAAGAAGGAAGGGCTTTATTCAGCCAGGAGCATTGGCAAGACTCACGTCTCAAAAACCGAGCTCCCCGAGTGAGCAATTCCTGTCCGTCTTAAGGGCTTACAACTCTAAGGGGGTCCGTTTGAGAGGGTCTTGATCGATTGAGCAAGCAGGGGGTACGTGACTTGGGGTGCATGCACCGGTAATTAGAACGGAGCAGAACAGGACAGGGATTTCACAGTGCTATTCTATACAATGTCTGGAGTCTGTAGATAACATAACCAATTAGGTCAGGGGTCGATCTTTAACTACCAAGCCCAGGGTGTGGCGCCGGGCTGTCTGCCTGTGGATTTCATTTCTGCCTTTTAGTTTTTACTTCTTCTTTCTTTGGAGGCAGAAATTGGGCATAAGACAATATGAGGGGTGGTCTCCTCCCTTATAACAAATATCATTTAATTAGGTTTACAGTTCTCCTTTAAAGGGTAATGTGTGGTTTTACATGCCTAGCTTTTAATTACTCTTTAATTCATGGGCCCTCTGTAATCTCTCTCCCTTCAGAGGTTACTGTTATATTTAATTTGAATTTGGAAAGCTACATCAGGGGTAGGAGAGAGATAACAATAGTGGCCATTATTAGAAAAGAGGCTTTTCAAATTCTTACATTTTACTTAAATCTTAGTAGAGAATCATAGCCTGGGACATAACACATGAAATTTTGCTATGGGCTGCCCACAGAGCCAGAGGGCAGCGGTGCAGGTCCTGGGTGGCAGCCATGTTGTACTTGCTTAGGCTTTGCCTGTGTCTGCCCCGCTCCCTCCTTCCTTTGCTGGGGGGATGCTGCCGGCCTGGATGGACCTTGTCAGCTTGATCACTGAGAACTTTTCTGCCGCTGAGCATTTTCTTCCACCCACTGCCTGCTTGGCCATGCGGTTTCAGCTTCTAATGCCTTTTTTCTTATCTTTTTATAAACATACACCTGATTGCCTTGCCGATTTTGCATTACTGAGCAGGTTAAGAGCTTTCTTTCCAATGCTGCCTGCTTAGGACAGGGACTTGTTATAAGTAAAGTTTCAGTGCCACAAAAGAAATAGCACTCGAATATAAAGTTTTCTTTTTAATTCTCAGCAAGACACCGTACTTCTGTAGAAGGGTTCACCCTTACAGATGGAGCAATGGTGAATGCACACCTGGACAAGGGAGGGGAAGGGGTTCTTATCCCTGACATATGTGGCCCCTGCTGCTGTGTCGTTCCCCTATTGGCTAGGGTTAGACCGCACAGGGTAAACTAATTCCGATTGGCTAATTTAAAGAGAGTGACAGGGCGAGCGGGTTAGTGGGAAAAATGGTTATGGCAGAGCAGGAAATCGGAATGAGTCAGGGTGGAGCAGGTAATCAAAAAAGGTTGTTTTATGAAGAAGTTAAGTTTAAAAGTCAAAGGCAAAGAATTAAACATACTGGCATATTGATTCTTTGAAGAGAAATTTAGAACTCATATCTAACATTCCCTCCTCTTGCATTTCCTTACAGCTCTTTCTCTTCAAACTTCTTTAACATGCCTTGGCTTAGTTGTTCTGCTTGATTTTCCAAAAGAAGAACCTTCTCTGGATAAGGCAGAGGATAGTGAAGGGAGGATTTAGTAAGTACCATTTTTATGAGCCTCTGCACCAACCCACTGATGCATGGTGTGACACAGCACCTGACAAGAATAAGTACAACTATTACGGCTGCGAGGGAAGTAAGAATTGAGGCTATTATTGTTTTCCATTTACCGAACCACCTTTCTAGCCATCCTGTAAAGGAGTCATTTACCCCTGAGTTGTTGGCTAACTCACTGGACAGAGCAGTCAGACCTTGCAATGGCTTTGTTATAGTTCCATCAGGGGTGGTGTTGTTTGGGATGAAGGTACAACATTGAGTTTTAATCATGACACAAACTCCTCCTCTTTCTGTTAATATCATGTCTAAGGCTATTCTGTTTTCCCAAGCCATCTGGCTGGTAGCCCGTAATTGCTCAGCTATTCCTTTAACAGCATCTCTACCATAGTTAATAAATCATTGTTGGTTGTAGTAGATGTAGGCTATCCAATCTACATTTTTATGGTCACCCACCAAAATATTGACTCAAATCCTGTAGCTGTTTGATTTTGGGCTTTAAATTGATCTGATATTCCCCAAGGGACTCCAATTGCATTTAAATGGATGTGAGAGTTGAAAGACCCATAAGGGTTTTCTCTCACTTTACCATGTCTTATTTTTCCTCCCTCTGGTTGATGAAATGCCAGGGTGAAAGGGATAGCCAATTGGACTAAAGCACAAGTGACACTCCAATTATTTGGCAGAGTGCCCAGTAAAGGTCCACCACAATACCACCACACCTCCACTCAGGGATGAACAAGGGCTGACTGATAAGCTCTTGAAAATTCTTAAACTCACTGCATCCCTTCAGGTCTCCAAGGAATGCTGAGTTTCCTCCCTGTCGTGAGAAACATGAAGTAAACTTAGTGTTGGGAGATGGAAGCTGGTTGGCACTTGGGGGCCGACATACAGGGTGCCGGACTTCGGGATATAGCAGAGAGAGAGCTTGGCACGACTTACTACTCCAGGCTGTAGAATCCTGGAAAAGACCTACCGTGCAGCCCTCGCCCAGTCGACTGGAGGACCACCCTAGTGGAAAGGGGACAATCTGGGCCTCTGGCCTGCCATGTGCACAAGCATAACAATTGCTTTTGTTTAACGTGTGGATGGAATATTTGATCCATTCCAACCAGGCATTTGCATCTTGGTATTCTGTCTTAATTGCCAAAGTTTAAGTCTTTAACTTCTACAATAGCTATCTTGGTCTTGTCATTAGATGGAGGAGGAACAGTTGTTCCATTGCGAGACGTTTTGGAAAAAGGCTTAGAGGAAGGTGCAGGCAGCAGTGGATCAAAGAAATGCATTTCAAGGAATCCAATAGGGTCTGTCCCTGAAACCTCAGCCCCCATACCATAAAACCAGCTTAAAGAAGGAAACTGGCTTAGAAAAGGGGAAGAACTTCGAGGGTTTGAGATAATAACCTGTGTAGGATTGCACTGGTTTAGCTGACAGTTAGTGAAGGGCTGTCCCTCTGGTAAAATAAATGTATGGTTTTAGGAAATTACAAAAACCGGTTGGGGCAGTCCATTCTTGCTCTTTAGTGGTCCACAGAATGTAGGACCAACTACGGCATAAAAGCTCCACCTCGGATGGGGCAAGACTCCTGGCTGACACTGGGGTCTTTATTGAAATCTTCCCAGATTAAATGGTCCCAATTCACTAATGCCCAGTCTGAGGAGAGTCAGGAGGAACAAAGGTACTTTTCTGAAGTAGAGAGCTGTCTTTGACTTGGCAAGTCCCCACAGGGTATAACAAGGCAAGCATTAAATGCAATAGTTTGAGGCAAAATTGACTTGGTTATGTTAAAAACTAGATGTTCAGCAATAGAGTGAGGAAAGAAGAAAGAGTAATAGAATAGGTGAAAGAGGGTTAAATTTTCCTTGGCTTTAGTTGGTAGGGTTTTCCCCTAGGACTATGGCCCACAACTCTGGAGGGGGCAGCGCTTTCTTGACTCAGGTGTGATGAGTCCTTACCCTTTTTGCTGTACAAACAGCAGTCTCAATGGTTAGCAGCACAAGGTAGGGTCCTTCCCAGGCTCGCTCGAGTTTTCCTTCTTTCCACCCTTTGATGAGAAGGTGATCCTCAGGCGGGTGCTGGTTTACTGGAAATTCTAGGGGTGGACCTGTGCTAAAAGACTTAGTTTTGAGGGAAAGGAAAGTGGAAGATAAACCAAGTATATAATTTCTAAGAAATTGATCTTTTGTCTTAAATGTGGGGACATCAGCAGTGGACTTCATAGTCCTTGGTGCCTTCTTATTGAGAAATTTCCTTTAGCACCTATTTTTATTAGTTTTTAGACCAAAGAAAGCCAAACACCATTTCATATTTGACAATGCTTCCTGTATGATTTTATACCAGAAAAGCTAAATTTCACCTTGATATTAGTGTGTTATTAATGTTAAACTAAATTTTAATAAAACCTTGTAGACATATTTATCTAATTTTAATGTCTCACCATAAGGTAAGATTTTTATAGACTCTTTTTCACATTTTATAATTTTTGTTAAAGAGCAGGTTAGTGCTTTTAGAAAAACCTGTTGTGCTTTTATTTTAATGTCCAGTTCACAGAAAGATTGGATGATACCCCTTTTACTTTAGCCAGTATGTTTACACACAGAATTTCTTTTACAATTAACATTTTAAAGCTTGCTTAAGCCTTTAAAACAAATTTTTAAACCTTTTAATGTAGGTAAAAATCCACATTCTTATGCCTCCTTATAATCCTTTTACCAAAAGTGTATTTTACTTTCCTTGCACACCTTGCACATAAACTGTTTCTTCAATAGTTTTACATTCAGGAGGCCTAATTACTTGTACATTATACAATATCTCTTGCATAAATTCTCTTTTATAACTTTTTTTTTCATGACTTTCACAATCTTCAACATGCCTCAACTTTCTGACTTGTTGCAAACATCCCTTTCTTTAAACAACCAGTTAACTTATTTTAGGACAAGAATTTACCATGTAACATTCATTTTATATAAATTCTTCCCCCCCATCCCCTTTTTTTTCCATTCTTCTCCAAAGCGAACTTCCTTCATGTCTGTGGACTAGACTGCCTAAGGCCACGAGATTAGAAGTTAGGATAATACATGTTACACTGTTAACTTTTAGCAAATTTTACTTTTGTTGAAAACCTTGTAAGTTTGGGATTTCCATTATCCTTTGCTATTAATAAGACCTTGTTTAGTCCAAATTAACTTAGAATTGGTATAGATGGTTCCTTCCTGGTTCTCTAAGTACTTTAAGGCTTGGCTGAGTGCAAAGAGCTCACACGTTTGAGTAGACCAATTATTAGGCAATTTCCCTAACTCTGCTTCTACAAGAGTTTCCCTATTGTTATATATAAACTTTCGGTGCCGCAAAAGGAATAGCAATTGAATATAAAATTTTCTTTTTAATTCTCAGCAAGGCAAGTTACTTCTATAGCAGGCTGCGCCTTACAGATGGAGCAATGGTGAGCACACACCTGGCCAAGGGAGGGGAAGGGGTTTTTATCCCTGATGCACGTGGCCCCTGCTGCTGTGTCGTTCCCCTATTGGCTAGGGTTAGGCCACACAGGATAAACTAATTCCGACTGGCTAATTTAAAGAGAATGGCGGGGTGAGTGCTTTGGCGGGAGTCAGGGCAGAGCAGGTAGCAGGTAATCGGAATGAGTCAGGATTGAGAAGGTAATCAAAAATGTTGCTTTACAAGGAAGTTAAGTTTAAAAGTAGAAGGCAAAGAATTGAACATACTGACATATTCTTTCAAAAGAAATTTAGAACTCATATATAACAACCCCTTCCCTTGTATTTCTTTACAGCTTTCTTTTCAAAAGTTTTTTTAACATGTCCTGGCTTAGTTGTTTTGCTTGATTTTCCAAAAGAAGCAGCTTCTCTGGATAAGGTGGAGGATAGTGAAGGGAGGTTTTAGTAAGTGATATTTTTATGAGCCTCTGCACCAACCCAGGATGCATGGTATGACACGGCACCCAACAAGAATAAGTACACCTATTACGGCTGCGAGGGAAGTAAGAATTGAGGCTATTATTCCTTTCCATTTACTGAACTACTTTTCTAGCCATCCTGTAAAGGGGTCATTTACCCCTGAGTTGCTGGCTAACTCATTGGGCAGAGCAATCAGACCTTGCAATGCCTTTGTTATACTTCCATCAGGGGTGGTGTTGTTTGGGATGAAGGTACAACATTGAGTTTTAATGATGACACAAACCCCTCCTCTTTCTGCAAATATCATGTCTAAGGGTATCCTATTTTCCCAAGCCATCTGGCTGGTAGCCCGTAATTGTTCAGCTATTCCTTTAACAGCATCTCTACTGTAGTTAATAAATTGCTGTTGGTTGTAATAGATATAGTTTATCCAATCTACATTTTTATTAATTGTCACCTACCAAAAATATTGACTCAAATCCTGCAGCTATTTGATTTTGGGCTTTAAATTGATCTGGTATTCCCTGTGGGACTCTAATTGTGTCTAAATAGACATGAGAGTCAAAAGACCCGTAAAGGGTTTCTCTCGCTTTATGATGTCTTATTTTTCCTCCCTCTGGTTGATGAAATGCCAGGGTGAAAGGGATAGCCAACTGGACTAAAGCACAAGGGCCACTCCAGTTATTTGGCAGAGTGTCCAGTAAAGATCCACCACAATACCACCACACATCTGCTCGGGGATGAACAAAGACTGATTGATTGATAAACTCTTGAAAATTCTTAAGCTCACTGCATCCCTTCAGGTCTCCAAGGAACACTAAGTTTCCTCCCTTTCGTGAGAGACATGAAGTAAACTTAGTGTTGGGAGATGGAAGCTGAATGGCCCTTGGGGGCTGACCCGCAGGGTGCTGGACTAAGGGATATAGCAGAGAGACCGCTTGGCACGACTTGTTGCTCCAGGCTGTAGAATCCCGGAAAAAAGCTACCATGCAGCCCACACCTGGTCGACTGGAGGACCACCTTAGTGGAAAGGGGACAATCTGGGCCTCTGGCCTGCCATGTGCACAAGCATAACAATTGCTTTTGTTTAACATGTGGATGGAATATTTGATCCATTCCAACCAGGCATTTGCATCTTGGTATCCTGTCTTAATTGCCAAAGTTTGTTTTAAGTCTTTAACTTCTATGATCCTTTAGTAAAATGAATGTATGGCTTTAGGAAATTACAAAAACTGGTTGGGGCAGTCCATCCTTGCTCTTTTGTGGTCCACAGAACATTGGATCAACTATGGCGTAAAAGCTCTACATTGGGGGCAACAATCCTGGTTAACAATGGGGTCTTTATCAAAGTCTCCCTCGATTAAATGGTCCCAGTTCACTAATGCCCAGTCTGAGGAGAGTAAGGAGGGCCAGAGGTACTTTTCTGAAGTAGAGAGCTGTCTTTGACTTGGCAAGTCCCCACAGGGTATAACAAGGCAAGCATTAAATACAATAGTTTGAGGCAAAATTGACTTGGTTATGTTAATAACTAGATGGTCAGCAATAAAGCTAGGAAAGATGAAAGAGTAATAGAATAGATGAAAAGAATTAAATTTTTCTTTGCTTTAGTTTGGTAGGGTTTTCCCCAAGGACTATGGCCTATGACTCTGGAGGGGGTGGCACTTTCTTGACTCGGGTGTGATGAGTCCATCCTTTTTTCACTGTACGAATAGCAGTCTTGGTGGTTAGCAGCACAAGGTGGGGTCCTTCCCAGGCTGGCTGGAGTTTTCCTTCTTTCCACCCTTTGATGAGACCGTGATCTTCAGGCTGTTGCTGGTTTACCGGAAATTCTAGGGGTGGTACCTGTGCTAAAAGACTTTTAGTTTTGAGGGAAAGGAAAGTGGAAGATAAACCAAGTATATAATTTCTAAGAAATTGATCTTTTGTCTTAAATGTGGGGACATCAGCAGTGGGCTTTATAGTCCTTGGTGTCTTCTTACTGAGAAATTTCCTTTAGCACCTATTTTTATTAGTTTTTAGACCAAAGAAAGCCAAACACCATTTTATGTTTGACAGTGCTTCCTGTGTGATTTTATACCAGATAAGCTAAATTTCACCTTTATATTAGTGTGTTATTAATGTTAAATTTAGTTTTCATAAAACTTTGTAGACATATTTATTCAATTTTTAATGTCTGACCATAAGATTTTTATAAACTTTTTAACCTTTTATAATTTTTGTTAAAGAGCAGGTTAGTGCTTTTAGAAAAACCTGTTGTGCTTTTAAGGTCCAGTTCACAGAAAAACTGGATGATACCCCTTTAACTTTAGCCAGTATGTTTACACACAGAATTTCTTTTACAATTAACATTTCAAAAGTTGCTTAAACCCTTAAAAGAAAATATTTATTTATTTATTTAACCTTTTAATGTAGGTAAAAATCCACATTCTTATGCTTCCTTATAATCCTTTTACCAAAGGTATATTTTACTTTCCTTATACACCTTGCACATAAACTGTTTCTTCAATAGTTTTACATTCAGGAGGCCTAATTACTTTTAAATTATACAACACTCCTTGCATAAATTCCCTTTTATAACATTTTTTTTTTCCACGACTTTCACAGACAATTCTTCAACATGCCTCAACTTTCTGACTTGTTGCAAACATCCCTTTCTTTAAACAACCAGTTAATTTATTTTAGGACAAGAATTTATCATATAACATTCTTTGAACATAAATTATCCTCCCCCTCCCCCTGCTTATTTTTTTTTCAAAGATGACAACCATTCTTTTCCAAAGTGAACTTCTTTCATGTCTGTGGACTAGACTGCCTGAGGCCACAAGATTATAAGTTAGGATAGTACACTTACACTGTTAACTTTTAGCACATTTTACTTTTGTTAAAAACCTTGTAAGTTTGGGATTTCAATTATTCTTTGCTATTAATAAGACCTTGTTCAGTCCAAATTAACTTAGAATTGGTATAGATGGCTCCTTCCTGATTCTGTAAGTACTTTAAGTCTTGGCTGAGTGCAAACAGCTCACACGTTTGAGCAGACCAATTATTAGGCAATTTCCCTAACTCTGCTTTTACAAGAGTTTCCCTATCAATTACTGAATACCTATTGTGTCTTTTTCCCTCAATCACCTGGGAGGAACCACCTATCATCCTGTCCTGAAGGGAGTTCCTCCTAGGTCTGGTCAAGGCTTTGTATGGTCATTAAGATTTAGATCCCCTGTTAAGAAACTTGCTGGGTTAAGGGAATTATCAGTGGTTAATGTTAAATCATCTTTTTCTAACAGAATAGCCCCATATTTTAAGATTTTTGAGTTAGTAAGCTACCTTTGTTTTCTTTTTTTACTTAGGATAGTTCTGAACTGGTGAGGTGTGCTCACAACGAGGTTTCCTCTAAAAGCTATTTTTCTACTTTCTTCTCTTAGGAAAGCAATTGCCGCTACAGATTAAATGCATTTGAGCCACCCACTACTGAGTTAAGGATTTTTTATAGGAAAGCTATGGGTTGTCAGTGGCCTCAGTGCTTTTGAGCTATGCCCTTGTTTACACTGACAACAAGGTGGTATTGGAGTGTTATGGGGTCATGGAGAAGACCTTCAATTATCAATTATAGGTTTTAAATTTACCTGGCTTTTAAAGGAATAGGGTACACTGTTTTCTCTTTACTACTTCTCTCTCTCTCTCTGGCATTGTCTCTCTTTCTCTTTGACTCCCTCTTTGTCTGTGTCTCTTCCTGTCTCTCTCTGCCTTTCTTTCTCTCTCTCTGACTCCCTCTTTGCCTGTCTCTTCCTCTCTCTCTGCCTCTCTTTGCCCTCTCTCTCCACCCCCCCCCCACCTTTCCTCTCTGCTGTTCTTTCCCTGCCTCTGCCAGCCACTTACACTGCTGTTCTCTCCTCTCCTTCCCCTTCCCCTGGGGAGGGACCGGCAGGAGCGGAGCTACTCTTTCTTCCCCTGAAAAGAGGATGCCCAAGATGGACATTAACTCGACACAAGTGTACAACTGAGGTTCTAAGAATTGGTCAATATGGTCTGCCACTCTGTAAGGGTCATCTAGTAGCAGTTTAAGCTCCTTTTTAAAATTCTGGACTTCTGAACTGGTTAAGGGAGCATTTACAAAGCCAATGGCCCCCCCTCCTTGTGGTAACTCTTTCAAAGGAAAGAGCGTCGGGGCTGACCCCTTAGGTACAGAGGGAAATGGGAAATTCTGAATATCCTTTTTTACATTGTTCTATCTCACGCTGGAGTCCTTTTAGAGAGGGGTATTTAGGCTGAGAGGGAACAGGCTGTTGGGATGGTAATTCCCAAGAGTCAGGGTTATAAGGAGGAGGGATAATGTGAGTAGAGAAGGACTTTGGAACGGGATCTGAGGCAGCACTGGCTGTCTGAGGGGAAAGACTGGGGACACTGAACAGGGGAAGATAGTCTAGGGGATTCCATGTGCTGGAATTTTTAGGCATGAGAACTAGCTCCTCTGACTTTTCATTTTGAGGTGCCAGATTGGGTTCTTCCCTATTTGTTTTTAAGGGAAAAAGGAGGGCAAGTCCTTGCCTCCAACGAAGGGCATAGCCTAGTCCTTCTTGAGACACTGGACCTTTAACATATCCGATTAGAAGCTGACACATTACATCCTCATTCGACACAAACTTTGGCCAGAAGATTGAGGGTTTGAGGATGGGTCCCTGAGTCCAAATAAAACAGAAATATTTTATCATTTGTTGCTTTTTCCTATGTTTAGTCCTTTCATTATCCTTCCAGTTTTAGCATGAGACCTAGGGGGCTATCCGGGGGGATATCTTTGTTACCATCTTATTCCCCTTGCTCCCTGTCTTGCTTGGGGTATTTCCCATCTTGTTGGTTTTGGGGTAAGGTTCAAGGTTCAATTTCCCTTACTGGAAATTTCTTTGTTTTTTTGGGGTGAGGCTTGATTTCCCCACTGGAAATTTCTTGCCTTATGGGGTGAGGCTCGATCTCCCCACTATAAATTTCTTGCCTTATGGGGTGAAGCTCAATTTCCCCACTGGAAATTTCTTGCCTTTTGGGGTGAGGCTCAATTTCCCCACTGGAAATTTCTTGCCTTTAGGGGTGAGGCTCAATTTCCCCACTGAAAATTTCTTGCCTTTTGGGGTGGGGCTCAATTTCCCCACTGGAAATTTCTTGCCTTTTGGGGTGAGACTCAATTTCCCCATCGGAAGTTTCTTGCCTTTTAGGGTGAGGCTCAATTTCCCCCACTGGAAATTTCTTGCCTTTTCTACTACTGGAGGTTTATGTGAGGTTCAATCCCCCCCAGTGGGGATGTCTTGCCTCTTTTTAACCTCTAAGCCACCCCGACCAAGGAGTACTTCACCACACCCCACCCCCACGGCTTTTTTACCTTGGTTCTGACCCAGGAAATACTTTACTGGCTCCCATGGCTTCTCCTTCCTTGGTCTGTGCACAGAGTCATCACCGCAGTATGTGAGGATCCTTTAAGCTAGGTTGCTGGCCAGTTTTTTTTTCTTTTTTCCATGTTGCTGAGAGCTCAGGCTATTCCTTGCATTGGGTGGGTCTTGATTTCTCACTCCTGAGGCCACCAAAGGGGACAGGGTGCACCTCCTCACGAGAGAGAACCAGAGACCACCCCCGGAGGGGAATGTAATCAAGGGCAAGTCTCCAAATTGTTATATATAAAGATTCGGTGCTGCAAAAGAAATAGCACTCGAATATAAAATTTTCTTTTTAATTCTCAGCAAGGCAATATACTTCTATAGAAGGGTGCGCTCTTACAGATGGAGCAATGGTGAGCGCACACCTGGACAAGGGAGGGGAATGGGTTCTTATCCCTGATGCACATGGCCCCTGCTGCTTGCTGTGTTGTTCCCCTATTGGCTAGGGTTAGAAGCACAGGCTAAACTAATTCCGATTGGCTAAAGAGAATGATGAGGTGAGTGCTTTGGTGGGAATCAGGGCAGAGCAGATAGCAGGTAATCGGAATGAGTTAGGGTGGAGCAGGTGATTGGATTGAGTCAGGGTGGAGTAGGTTAATTGGAAAAGGTTGCTTTATGAGGAAGTTTAAAAGTAGAAGGTAAAGAATTGAACATACTGACATATTAATTCTTTGAAAAGAAATTTAGAACTCATATCCAACTCTATCAGTTACTGAATACCCATTGTGTCTTTTTCTCTCAAACACCCAGGAGGAACCATCTATCATCCTGTCCTGAAGGGAGTTCCTCCTAGGTCTGGTCAGACCTTTTTATAGTAATTAATTGAGATTTAGATACCCTGTTAGGAAATCTGCTGGGTTAAGGGAATTTTCAGTAGTTAATGTTGAATCATTTTTTTTTAACCGAATAGCCTCATACTTTCTTCTGTTAGCAAAGCAGTTGTTGCTACAGATTGAATGTATTTGGGCCATCCATGGGTTACGGATTTTTGATTAGGAAGGCTATGGATTATCAGTGGCCTCAGTGCTCTTGGGCTACGCCCTTGTTTACACTGACAGAAAGGTGGTATTGGAGTGTTACAGGGTCACAGAGAAGACCTTCAATTATCAATTATAGGTTTTAAATTTACCCTGGCTTTTAAAGAAATAATGTACACTGTTTTCTCTTTACTACTTCTATCTCTCTCTTTCTCTCTTTAACTTTGTGTTTCTCTCTGACTCCCTCTCTGTCTCTTCCTCTCTCTCTGCCTTTCTCTTTCTCTTTGACTCCCTCTTTGTCTCTTCCTCTCTCTCTCTCTGCCTCCTCTCTCTCTCTCTCTTTCCCCAAAACATAAGTTTTGTCTTTTGTTTCTGTTTTTCTTTGTCCCTTTTCAAGTATACTTTCTGAGCTTCCCTGAGAAACTCACTTAGGAGACAGTCTTCCCAATTGTCTGTCTTTTGTAACTTTTTTGAAATGTCTGGCCAACTTTTAGTGACAAATTGGAGTTTCAACATTCCTTGCCCAAGGGGATCATCCAAATCGAGGCCTGCATATTACCTCATTTGCTCCCTCAGTCTGTCTAGGAATCTCATAGGCCCTTCATCCTTTTCCTGTTGTATATCAAATGCTTTAGAAAGATTTGGGGTTCAGGGTACTGATTCCCAAATCCCTGTTATTATCATCTCCCTTAGGTCCTGCATATTTTCGCAGTGGTCTGCGTTGTTATTGTCCCACCAGGGGTTTCGAGCGGAGAATTTCTGGTCCATGGTAGGAACATTTTCAACGGGAGTGTGCTTATGTTCCCAAACTACCATAGCAGCCCTACGAATTATACTCCTTTCTTCCCCTGAAAAGAGGATGCCCAAGATGGACATTAACTCGACCCAAGTATACAACTGAGGTTCTAAGAATTGGTCAATATGGTCTGCCACTCTGTAAGGGTCATCTAGTAGCGGTTTAAGCTCCTTTTAAAAATTCCGGACTTCTGAACTGGTCAAGGGAGCATTTACAAAGCAAGTGCCCCCCTCCCCCACCCCTCCTTGTGGGACCTCTTTCAAAGGGAAGAGGGTCGGGGCTGAACCCTTAGATACGGAGGGAAATGGGAAATTCTGAATATCCTTTTTTACACTGTTCTACCTCACGCTGGAGTCCTTTTAGAGAGGGGTATTTAGGTTGGGAGGGAACAGGCGGGTGGGATGGTAATTCCTAAGAGTCAGGGTTTTAAGGAGGAGGGATAACGAGAGTAGAGGTGGGGATTTGGAACAGGATCTGAGGCAGCAGTGGCTGTCTGAGGGGAAAGATTGGGGACACTGAACGGGGAAAGATAGTCTAGGGGATCCCATGTGCTGGAATTTTTAGGCATGAGAACTGGCTCCTCTGACTTTTCATTTTGAGGTGCCAGATTGGGTTCTTCCCTATCTGTTTTTAAGGGAAAAAGGAGAGTAGGTCCTTGCCTCTAGCAAAGGGCATAGCCTAATTCTTGAGACACTGGACCTTTATCATTAACACGTCGGATTAGAAGCTGACACATTACATCCTTATTCGACATAAACTTTGGCCAGAAGATCAAGGATTTGAGGATGGGTCCCTGAGTCCAAATAAAACAGAAATATTTTATCATTTGTTGCTTTTTCCTATGTTTAGTCCTTTCATTATCCTTCCAGTATTTTAACATGAGACCTAGGGGGCCATCCAGGATGATATCTTTGTTACCATCTTTATTTATCTTGCTCCCTGTCTTGCTTGGGGTATTTCCCATCTTGATGGTTTTGGGTTAAGGTTCAAGGTTCAATTTCCCTTACTGGAAATTTCTTGCCTTTTGGGGTGAGGCTCAATTTCCCCCACTGGAAATTTCTTGCCTTTTGGGGTGAGGCTCAATTTCCCCACTGGAAATCTCTTGCCTTTTGGGGTGAGCTCAATTTCCCCCCTGGAAATTTCTTGCCTTTTCTACTACTGGAGGTTTGTGTGATGTCTTGCCTCTTTTTAACCTCTATGCTACCCCAACCAAGGAGTACTTCATTGCCCCCCCGCGGCTTTCTTACCTTGGTCCTGACCACCAAGGATATACTTTACCGGCTCCCGTGGTGTCTTTTCCTCCGTCCGTGCACAGACTTGCATGGCCGTTAGGGAGGCCATTATGGAGGATCCAGCTAGGTTGCTGGCCAGTTTCTTTTTGCTTTGCTGAGAGCTCGGGTTATTCCTTGCACTGGGTGGGTCCTAATTTCTCACCCCTGAGGCTGCCACAAGGGGGCGGGGCGCGCCTCCTCATGAGAGAGGACTTGAGACTACCCCTGGAGGGGAATGTAATCACAGGCGAGCCCCCAAGTTGTTTTAAGTAAAGTTTCGGTGCCGCAAAAGAAATAGCACTTGAATATAAAATTTTCTTTTTAATTCTCAGCAAGTCAATGTACTTCTACAGAAGGGTGCGCCCTTACAGATGGAGCAATGGTTGAGTGCACACCTGGACAAGGGAGGGGAAAGGGTTCTTATCCCTGATGCACATGGCCCCTGCTGCTGTGTCATTCCCCTATTGGCTAGGGTTAGACCACACAGGCCAAACTAACTCCAACTGGCTAATTTAAAGAGAGTGACAGGGTGAGTGGTTTGGCGGGAAAAATGGTTATGGCAGAGCAGGAAATCGGAATGAGTCAGGATGGAGCAGGTAATCGAAAAAGGTTGCTTTATGAGGAAGTTAAGTTTACAAGTAGAAGGCAAAGAATTGAACATACTGACATACTGATTCTTTAAAGAGAAATTTAGAACTCATATCTAACACACTGATGGCTATAGCATATCCTCTGTCCTTTTTCCTATCTATTGGAGGAGGAGACTTAGGTGAGACCTCCGTTTCCTGTTATTTTGACCCAGTGATATTGGGACTGAGGGAAGAGGAGGTGATAAGGCAGGTGACATTTTCTCCTCCTTCCTCTTTTTAGGCTCTTCTGTGTGTAACTGAGCCAGGGCTGCTCTAATTAAAGCCCATAACATTAAAGATTTTACTGGGACCTGATGCCTTTGCACCTGATGTTGTTTAAGATTTCTCCCCACTTGTTCCCAGAGTTCTACATCTAGTGTTCTTTCCTCTGGGAACCATGGGCTTTGTACTCCATTATTGACCACACTAGTTTTTAATTCCTTCAACAACTGAAATTCTAGTGGGGTGTGTTCATGAATAAACTGCTGTGGATTATTGGGATCAGGCCTTATGGAAACAGGAACAGCGCAAGGTCCTAAGGGCTCTCCAGCTATGACAGCAGAGCGTAAAATTCTTTGTATTGGGGTTTCTATTTGTGCTACTGAAGGAGGCAGTACAGATGTTTCTGCAATTGGAGGAGGCGGTATAGGCCAATTTTTATCCTCTCTGTTTTTTATTTTCAATTGGAGCTGTGGGTGGGACAACATATTCTTTCAGATTTTTAGATTCAGGCTGTTGTCCCACAGAATAATAAGGAGATAATGGTAGAAGTACAGTACAAACTAAACTCCAAGTGGAGAAAACAGAAGAATCAACTAAGAATCAGCTAAGACCTTTTTGATGAGCCTGTTTTAATCCTTCTCCTGCTTTGTCTCAATTTTCCATATCAAGGATGCCTGCCTGTGGGAACCATGGGTTATGCGTAATAACCTTTTGTGGCTTCTGCAGGAGGTTAGTGTCTGCGAATTAACCTAAGCTCCAGACTGTCTCTACAGAACTTTAAGCAACTGCACATAATGTTTTTCTTCAATAGACAAATTCTTCCCCTTGTTAGCCTGATTCAGAAAACTTCCTGTTCCTAGTACTTCTTTAAAGCACTGCTCCCAGTACCTCTTTACGGCACTGATCAGTACCTCTTTAGGGCACTGACCTTATCTCTGCTGCTGGCAGACTCGTTTCGGGGTCCCCATTCGCCTTGTCAATTTCAGTTCCTCTGCTCCAGCGGACTTTCTTCATTCATGTCCTCGAAGTCCTGTGTTCGGATGCCACTATGCAGAGCACCCGATCCTGTTGCTGTTTGGGGTGCCACTTGTAACCTGCATGGACCTCGGGGGACTGAACAAAGGGGGGCGAATGTGGGAATAAAAGACAAGACACAAAAGAGTATATTTGGAAGAAGAGGTCAAGGGGCATCTTGCCTCTAGTGGACAAGGGCCGTGAGCTTTACACAGCCCTCTGTATTTATTAGGTGAAAGAGACAGCAAGAAAGTGGGAGGATGGTTGTCGGGTAATTGTCAGTCAGCCGTTTGGTTCACAGCGGGCTTGTGAACAATAGGCGCTAGATTTCTCAATAGATAACTTCCAGGAGCCCGGCGCCAGGGCATGATGTCCCTCAGCAAACATTTTGGTGGCAAGGCAGTGTGAGTTTGCCCACATCCTGCATTCATGATAAACAGTTCGCTGTTTGATCATATAGCCTCCAGCGGAATGCTGAGTTGGTCACGTCCCGCGGGCCTTTGGCTCCCTGCAGGGTAACTCTGTCTTAGGATAACTCTTAGGCTCCACCTTAGGGTAACTCTGTCTTAGGCTCTTAAACTCTTAGGGTAACTCTTAGGCTCTGTCTTAGGGTAACTGTCTTAGGCTCTGTCTTAGGGTAACTGCCCTGTCTTAGGGTAACTCAATTCTTCATCACAGCTGCAGGTCACCTACTTGCAGAGGAAGAGTCTGCTTTAGTCACCTGCCACGTGGACAAGCTTGGGTGCATCCTAAGGATGTCGGTTCAGAGGGAGAAGGTGGCTGGGTGTCATGTGTTTAGTCCCTTTTCCAGCTTCACCAGACAGGCAGGTCACTGCTGCCACAGGGAGAGGGGCTGAGGGGCAAAGGGCACCTCTGTGGTCACTCTTGCCTGGAGACACAAGGCCCTCCTGAAGGACCCCTCAACACTTAGGAGCATTAGTACAGCGGGATTAAGGGCTTTTTTTTTCTTCAAATTGGACAGAGGGACAGACTGCTGAGGAATACATGTGGATTCTTTCCTTCTGTGACACTCTGAAAGAATTGTGACTGGGGCATGGGGTGCCACCTTCAGAGGCAGGAGTGTTTAGGAAATGCCACAGTGGCACATGACCTGCGTGGGCTCCAGCAGCAGCAGCAACCTGCAGGGTAGATAGGGCAGCTGAGAACACGAGAGCAGAAGGGCGGTGACTCTATCATCTCGGAGGGTTCTGTTCAAACAACATTTTCTAGTATACAATGAAAAGAGACCTGGTGCCAGGCATGGTGGCTCATGCCTCTAATCCCAGCACTTTGGGAGGCCGAGGCAGGTGGATTACCTGAGGTTGGGAGTTCGAGCGAGACCAGGCTGGCTAACGTGGCGAAACCTCATCTCTACTAAAACTACAAAAATTAGCCAGGATTAGGCACGCGCCTGTAATCCTCAGCTCCTTGGGAGACTGAGGCAGGATAACTGATTGAACCCAGGAGGTGGAAGCTGCAGTGAACCGAGATGGTGCCACTACACTCCATCCTGGGTGACACAGTGAGACTCTCAAAAAAAAAAAAAAAAAAAAAAGAGGCCTGCTAGTACTCATCTCATAGGGCTGTTAGGAGGAGTAAGTGAAATCAGACATACAAAGCATTTAGCTCAGCTCAACCAACGCTCATTCTCGCCTTGTCCCCACTGCATAGCCCCTAACCCCAAATATCCCAACATAGCTCATAACAATAAGATTCTTGTTTCCCCAACATGTTTAATTTTAAGAATAGAGATAATGGTCAACTCTTGAGAAGAACCAAATGCTGGTGCCATCTTGGAAGTGCTACATCACCTCCTCCTCTTACTTCCTTGAACAGCAATATTTCTGGATTTCTTCTGCAAGCCCCAGGCAGTGCAGGATGCGTTTCTTTTCAGCAGCCAGTTCCTTCTCAGAGAACTGGCCCAAGAGTTTCTGGACAAATATATTTTGATCTTTCAGAAATATGTTCTTATTCACTCCTACATTTGGCACATTCTCCAAGGACCCAGACTTGAAATGGAAGCTTAAATATCTGTTTCGTTTTAGACCAGGTCCTTTTTCTTCAATCCATGACAGTGGACTGCAAAGACAAAAGACAAAAGAATCATGTTAGAGATTACACAAGAGCACAAGTGGGTGCTTGCTGGCACCAGACCGCCTGGTAACATGTCCTTGTCAGGCACCCATCCTCCTTGCAGCCACCAGCCTCCCAGAGGCTGTGGGTGACTGTGTCAACCTCACAGCCAAACAGTCTTTAATTTAATTTTGCCATCAGGCAGGGGAATTCATTCAGTGACTTTTTTTTTTCTGGGATGGAGCCTTGCTCTGTCACCCAGGCTGGAGTGCAGTGGTGCAATCTCGACCCACTGCAACCTCTGCCTTCTGGGTTCAAGCAATTTTCCTGCCTCAGCCTCCCAAGTAGCTGGGATTACAGGCGCCTGCCACCATGCCTGGCTACTTTTTAAAAAAATATTTTTAGTAGAAATGGGGTTTTGCCATGTCAGCCAGGCTAGTCTTGAATTCCTGACCTCAAGAGACCCACCTGCCTTGGCCTCCCAAACTGCTGGGATTACAGGCGTGAGCCACTGCACCTGGCCTCCCATGACTAGTTTTAAAAGCTCATAGTACAGTCTAGCAAATGTTCTGGGAGATGGCAACAAAGATTAACTTTTATTTTGGCACTGAATAAAAATAAACTTGAGGTATTCTACGTAGTCTGCCTAAGAAAATTTCTCATGTCTTTTTTTTGAGATGTTTGCTCTTGTTGCCCAGGCTGGAGTGCAGTGGTGCAATCTCGGCTCACTGCAACCTCTGCCTCCAGGTTCAAACGATTCTCCTGCCTCAGGCTCCCCAGTACCTGGGATTACAGGCACCTGCCACCACGCCTGGCTAATTTTTGTATTTTTAGTAGAGACAAGGTTTCACCATGTTGGCCAAGCTGGTCTTGAACTCTCAACTTCAGGTGATCCAACTGCCTTAGCCTCCCAAAGTGCTGGGATTACAGGCGTGAGCCATTGTGCCCGGCCTCTCATGTCCTTTTAAATAATATGGAATCTTGGGATTTGAGGGAATGCAGAATGTCAAGATCTTTCTTGTACCTCAATTTCCTCACTAGTAAAAATAAGTAATGGTAATAAGTATACAGCTTTACCTATCTTGCTGTGACATTGTGAGATAAAAATGCAGTTTGTGGCCAGGCGTGGAGGCTGATGTGGGTGGATCGCTTGAGCCCAGGAATTTGAGACCGGCCTAGACAGTATAGCAAAAACCCATCTTACCCAAAAATACGAAAATCAGCCAGTCTCATAACCCGGTCTCAAAATAAATAAATAAATAGATAAAAAAATTTAAAAATGCAATTTGGGACACGGAAAGTACTATGATTTTAAGAAGTTACTATTATATTATATTAACTGCTCTCTGTCCCAATCCCTCATCTGATGCTTGCCTCTCCTGTGCAAAAATGAGAGCCAGGGCTGGGTGCAGTGGCTCATGCGTGTAATCTCAGCATTTTGAGAGGCCAAGGTGAGCAGATCACTTGAGGTCAGGAGTTCAAGACCATCCTGACCAACATGGTGAAACCTTGTCTCTACTAACAATACAAAAATGAGCCGGGCGTGGTGGCAGGCGCCTATAATCCCAGCTACTCGGGAGGCTGAGGCAGGACAATCACTTGAACCCGGGAGATGGAGGTTGCAGTGAGCTGAGATCACACCACCGCACTCCAGCCTGGGTGACAGAGCAAGACTTTGTCTCATAAAAAAAAAAAAAAAAGAGAGAGAGAGTCAGCCTCTGCCTCCCCAACATCTTGCTTCCTCATTGACTTCTACTCAACTTCAAGACCAAACAAGGCACCGCCTCCCATCAGAACCATGAGCTGACCTAGTCCAGGTTCCCCTTCCCTGTGCTCCTACAGCACCCTACAGTATCTTTACCTCTAATTACAGGGTGCTACAACTGTCTGTGTATAGGTCTGACCACGGCTGCAATCCTAACACTCACATGGCCACACCAGAGCCCGGGCCACCACTGTTGGTCACTCCATAGGGAGCACTGCCAAGTTCCATGTGCTTTGCTTTCATCTGCCAGGCCTCTCTGCCTTTTCCTAGCGAAGAAGAAACTCCTCAAAATGGACTAGATCAGGCTTCATTCAGGAACTCAAATTCTTTTTTCTTTTTAAAATACCCAGTGTCTGCTTCTTTTACTACCAGGAGACCCACCTCTCTGCAAAGGCATCCAGAAACACTCTAAAACCCTTACTGTTCTAAATAATTTACAGAGCCCAGGTGCTTTGGGAGGAAAATTATGAATGTGCTTTTGTTAAAAAAGACCTGGTATGAGAAATAAGTCAGAATGTTTTGGGAACAGTGTGACAGGGTGATGGGATGCTAAAGCTGAAACACAGACCCTCACACTCTGGCTGCACTGAGGGGTGAATGTGTGGCCCTGCGGGGAACATGTACAGTGTTAATGGCAGGGTCTAGGGAGTAGGTGGATGGGTGTTTACTTAAAAATTCTTTCAACTTCACAATATGCCCGAAAACTTTCATAAGAAAACACAGGAAAAAAATCAGGTCACAGAGTTAACATAATTTCTTTTTCTTTTCTTTTTTTTCAAGAAGGAGTCTCGCTCTGTTGCCCAGGCTGAAATGCAGTGGCCTGATCTCAGCTCACTGCAACCTCTGCCTCCCAGGTTCAAGCAATTCTCCTGCCTCAGCCTGCCAAGGAGCTGGGACTGCAGGCATGCACCGCCACACCGGCTAATTTTTGCATTTTTAGTAGAGACAGGGTTTCACCATGTTAGCCAGGCTGGTCTCAAACTCCTGACCTCAGGTGATCCACCACCCTTGGCCTCCCCAAGTGCTGGGATTATAGGCCTGAGCCACCACGCCCAGCCAAGGTAATGTAATTTCCACTACTAATCTGCTATGAATGACTTGCATGACTTAGGCAACCTGCTGGCATTCTGTAAGCCTCTGTCTACTGACTGGCAGATGGGATTATGTTTGTCTTCTTTACCTCACAGGGCTGCTGAGAGGATGAGATGAGGCAACACAAGTGCAATCTCAGCACTCCATCTGCAGAAGCAGACAGCCCTTCTGGAGCTGGGAGTGAGGGTCTAGCCCCTCGGGGCTCCCTTTGGATCATACCTGCAAATGTACTAGGATGTCCTTAAATTTCCTCCTCCTCATGGCTTCTCATGACTTACCTTTTCTTCTCTGTCTCCAGACACACTGTCATTTTCATATACTGATCTTCCTTTCGCTCTTCCAAAGTGGCAGACACAAGAGAAAGCTCCCCAAAGAGGGAGACCAGCCAGGTCAGGCGAGAGATGCCGCTGAATGCAGGGAAGCCAAACCGCTCTTCTTCCAACGGGCCAGCTGTGGGAAATCACAAATGCTGTGGGAACTGGGAAGCAGGAATGCCAAGTGGAAAGCAGGACAGGGGGGTGGGGGTGGCGGGGGTGTGAAAAGATGTGGCCGAGTGATCAGTACAATGGGACCTTGCCTTATGTGGTAGGCAGGCAACGTGATTAATGATACTGATGAAAACTCAGGTGGCTGAACTTCAACTCTATCATAAAAGCATCTCTGTCTTTTCCTGTTTATTAAATTGAGTTTTAGTAAAACATTCTACTGGAAACAGCAGTCAATCCAGCCAAACAGGATAATAAAAAAGTTTCAGGCTTCTAATATATACATCTATGTACACATATGTAGATATACATACACACACACACACACACAACACATACCTACATATACATATATATATATCCTCTTTAGTGATTTAAAGTAGTCTGGTAAAAGTAGAAGAATCAAAGTATTTTAGCCCTGCAAGCCTGTATTCTTATAACTACCTGATGTGTAAGTGGCAATAAGGTATGAAGGTATTATAATAGCTATGGAGAAAATGGTAATACCTTTGAGCTATTTCAATATCAAGAAAATTGATACAATGTTAAATGTTTTCTTAGTCTTCCTAATCTTGTGAACAAAAAAGTACACTCAAAAGAGTATTGGGGCCAGGCGTGGTGGCTCACGCCTGTAGTCCCAGCACTTTGGGAGGCCAAGGTGGGTGGATCACTTGAGTTCGAGACTAGCCTGGCCAACATGGCAAAACCCCGTCTCTAGTAAAAAAAAATACAAAAATTACCCGGGCATAGTGACGGGTGCCTGTAACCCCAGCTACTTGGGAGGCTGAGGCAGGAGAATCACTTTAGCCCGGGAGGCAGAGGTTGCAGTAAGCCTAAAAAGGCCACGTACAGTAGCTCATGCCTATAATACCAGCACTTCGGGAGGCCAAGGCTGGCAGACTGCTTGCGCCCAGGAGTTCAAGACCAGCCTAGGCAACATAGCAAGACTCTGTCTCTACAAAAAAACACACAAAATTAGGCGGGTGTCGTGGTGCACACCTGCAGCCCCAGCTACTCAGGAAGCTAAGGTGGGAGGATCATCTGGGCCTGAGGAGTTCGAGGTTACAGTGAGCCATAATTGTACCACTGCATTCCAGCCTGGGTGACAGAGTGATACCCTATATCAAAAAAATATATATATATAAACATAAAAAAGAGTATTGGTGTGAGAAATCCATTTGGTCAAGATACTGCTCCCGTCTGCCTCCAGCCAAAATCTTAAACATAACCTAAGTTTAAAAGACTTCATATCTGTTACATTACATTATAAACAAAACATTTCTTATGACCTTGATATTCACTTAAAACAATGACTAATAACAATGAGTATATTCTTAAAAAGTAATAAGTTATATATAAAACCAAACAAAAATTAGAATTTTCATAGACAATATGGTTTGAAATCACTGGGGCCTAAGTATCAAACTTACAAAACAAAAAGACTTCCCCAGGGCTGGTTACTGTCTGCTCTAGTTCTTTTTTGTTTGTTTGTTTGTTTGTTTTTGAGACAGAGTCTCGTTGTCACCTAGGCTGTGCAGTGGTGCGATCTCGGCTCACTACAACCTCTGCCTCCTGGGTTAAAGCGATTTTCTTGCCTCAGCCTTTCAAGTAGCTGAAATTACAGGTGCGTGCCACCATGCCCGACTAATTTTTGTATTTTTTTTTTTTAGTAGAGACGGTGTTTCACCATGTTGGCCAGACTGGTCTCAAACTCCTGACCTCAGGTGATCCACCAGCCTCAGCTTCCCCAAGTGCTGGAATTACAGGCGTGAGCCACTATGCCCAGCCTAGTTCTTTGGACAGAATACTAAGCAGCCACCCACAACAGTTCCAGCCACTTAGAGAGCTGAGCTCCAATCCAGCTCTGTCTCATGACCGCTACGTTACCTCTGTGAAGCCACTCATGCCTCTGAACTTCAGTTTATCTGTATAATGGGGGTAGTGAATACCACTTTATAGGATTGTCATATGGATTAATGCACATCACAGTTACTTGTACTTAACTTACTTAACTTAACACAGTTTCTTGTACAAATTAATGGTTTGTACTCTCATTATATTACCATTTTCAAGGATGAAGACAGATTTTGAAATGAGGTTCTACTATGTATCAGTGGCTTTACCGTGCAAAAATGCCAGGCCATGTCAGGGTCTCCTTTCTGTAATGAAAGCCCTCAGGAATGGTGGCCCAGGTGCCCAACGATACGGCCAGAGAAGGAGCCCATCCAAAAGTGGCCACAAGAGCAGGAGCTTCCTGCATGCCCATTTCCTATTGCTAACGGAGCTGCTCAAAGAGTGACCAACATCAAGTAAACAGCTACAAATACAGATCAGATACTGTGGTCAGCTGGGCACGGTGGCTCATGCCTGTAATCCCAGCACTTTGGAGGCCAAGACAGGTGGATCACTTGAGCCCAGGAGTTTGAGATGAGGCTGGGCAACATAGGGAGACACTGTTTACACAAATTTTAAAATTAGCTGGGTATTGTGGCGCACATCTGTGTTTCCAGCTACTTGGAAGGCTGAGGTGGGAGGACTGCTTGAGCCTGGGAGGTTGAGGCTACAGTGAGCTATGATTGCACCACTGCACTCCAGCCTGGGCAACAGAGTAAGACCTGGGCAACAGAGTAAGAACAGAATAAGTAAATATTTATTATTTATTATAAATAAATAAATAAATACTGTGGTTGCTGCCAATGTCCTTGTAACTTGCTAGAGGAGGAAGGGAGCTCTTCATATTATATTTGCTTTGCAAGGAAGTATAAAAATGTTCTCCTCTCCAAGCACCTCTCATCCTTTTAAAAGAGTTTTAATGTACAACTTCCTGTTGAAAAATAATCTCCAACTAGTTAATAGGTTGGGACAGAGCACAAATATGCTTGAGATTTCTAACATACTCTTTACCCAAGGGCCACCAAGGAATTAAATCCCATCTGGGAAAATTAAGTGGCCCTGAGTCAGAGAGTCTTGAGCAGAAATGAATATAAGCTCCCATCCCAGAGAGCCAGGAAAGAATCTGGCTGGTCTTTGGACCTCACATGTGACCTGTGATCCCACGTAGCACTGACCTGTGAAGAGGAGCGACCCTTTCAGCAGGTCTTTCCCCACCACTTCTTTTTTCAGGAAAGCGAATTCCTCCATCAAGAGTTCAACATGCTCCTCGTGCAAGACTTTTCCTGTAACGACAAAAATGGAATAAAAAGGGCAGTCGTCAGTTGTGTCTAGGTGTGCATCCCAGAGGGTACTCTGTCATCCCCTAACACAAGACATGAAGCACTCATAACTGCCCTGGGCACATGGCCAGGATGGCCTCCCTACCACTGTCACCCACCCCAGCTGAAGAGGCTGCTACTTCTAAGCTTACAACAGAAATGAATGAAATGAAGGCCAGGCATGGTGGCTCATGCCTGTAATCCCAGCACTTTGGAAGGCCGAGGCTGGCAGATCACCTGAGGTCAGGAGTTCCAGACCAGCCTGGCCAACATGGTGAAACCCCACCTCTACTAAAAATACAAAAATTACCCAGGTGTGGTGGTGGGCACCTGTAAGCCCACCTTCTTGGGAGGCTGAGGCAGGAGAATCACTAGAACCTGGGAGGCAGAAATTGCAGTGGGCCAAGATTGCATCACTGCACTCCAGCCTGGGCGACAGAGTGAGACTCCGTTTCAAAAAGAAAAAGAAAAAAAGAGAAATGAATGAAACGAAAACCTGAGAAATGAAATGAAAATTTAAGAGAACAAGATGGTATCTACCTGTGTCCAAAGGCAAGATGAGATCAGGGATGTGTCTGTGGGCCAGGAGACAGTTAGCTACTGTTCTAGACAGGAGGAGGCAGTGCAGCATAAAAATCTAACAGAGTAAGAACGTGCCCAGGCTTGGTGGCTCATGCCTATAATCCCAGCACTTTGGGAGGCCAAGGCAAGTGGATTGCCTAAGCTCAGGAGTTTGAGACCAGCCTGGGCAACATGGCAAAACCTGGCCTCTACAAAAAATACAAAAAATTAGCTAGGTGTGGTGGCATGCACCTGTGGTCCCAGCTACTTGGGAGGCTGAGCTGGGAAGATCACTTGAACCTGGGAGGTGGAGGTTGCAGTTAGCCAAGATCGTACCAGTGCACTGCAGCCCATCTCAAAAAATAAAAATAAAAATAAAATAAAATAAATTTTGGATTATAAAAGAAAGCTGTTAACAATTTTTTTGCTATATAAAATTTTTTCGCTCTATAAAAATTTTTTCATTTCTAGGCCAAAAGCTTCCTAAAACACCAGAACTATTTTGTGATTAAGTACAAAGTGTGGTTATGATCTACAGTTTCACTGAAACAGACAGAAATCTGGGTCAGTGGGAGATGCTCCTGGGACGGTTGCCTTTGTCTAACCCAGCATCACAGCAAATACTGCCAAATGCTCTGGGCTTGACCTGCACCTCAGGAGCAAGGAGGATGTCTGTCGCAGGAGTCTCCAGAAATGTCAGGTGTGTGGGAGGATGGGGTCCTTCCCACCCACTCCTTCAGACGTGAATGTGGCAAAAGGAACTTCTTGTGATAAGTAGAAGCTTTCTGGCACAAAATGGCTTTGCAACAACTAAATGGCACAAAATGCTTTGCAATAAGTACAAGCTTTTCTCCTCACAGGTAGTTTCGCCCACTGCCCCCCACCCCACCGTGAAACTCTGGGGAACATGTTATATTTTCCCCAGCACTATGTAACAGTCTCTGTGTTTCCACATCCATGGTTATTAAAGAAACTATGTATTTTCCAGCTGTGTCTTTTGTTGTTTTCCTGTCGTTCACTCAATGCCTGATTGTGATAAACACACATGGTAACCACAGTACACACACACATCCGTATCCATATATTCCCAGGTCTGTTCACTGAAAGGGCTTGCAGAGATAGCCCAAAGCCATAAGCACAAGCAGTGTCCAAATCTTGCCATCAAAACGTTATTAGCCATTGGAGAACTGACTAATTCCAAGGCTGAGGCAGAGAAAGTACAAGATGAGCCTTAACCACTTTGTGCCAGAAAGCAAGAATTCAAAGAATAATGGAAACATAACAAAATGACAAGGGAGCTGGCAGGAAGAGGTTCCCCACTGAGCAAATTTGGAACAATGTGGACATCAATATGAATAATAAAAAGTAACAACAGCACTGAATAGAAAAACAAAACAAAGCTATGAGTTTCTACTGATATAAAATAATAAATGAATATCAGACAGTGTGATGAGAATGGATATTTAACTAGTTATAAACTACCTTCTCACAAAATAATCACTGATTACAAAGGGAAAAAAAGTAACTTTCAGTGGAAAAGCCCGTCAGACACCACCTAATGAAGTGATATCATTAGTAATTAGATGAACTGATATTGGATGTTACCTGACAGAACACAATGTGAAAAACAGCATCGTTTCCTTTTTTTTTTTTTTTTTTTTTTTTTTTTTGTGAGATGGGGAGTCTCCCTCTGTCACCCAGGCTGGAGTATAGTGGTGCGATCTCGTCTCACTGCAAACTGTGCCTCCCGGGTTCAAGAAATTCTCCTGCCTCAGCCTCCCGAGTAGCTGGAATTACAGGTGCCCACATCATGCCTGGCTAATTTTTTTGATATTTTCAGTAGAGACGGGGTTTCACAGTGTAGGCCAGGCTGGTTTTGAACTCCTGACCTCAAGTAATCTGCCTGCCTTGGCCTCCCAAAGTGCTAGGATTACAGGTGTGAGCCACCATGCCTGGCCACTTGCATACTATTTCTGTGAAAGATGCATACCCCAAATCTAATCATGAAGAAACATCAGATATATTCAAATTTAGGGACATTTTACACAATAACTAACTGTAATATTCATAATTGTCAAGAAAAGATGGAGGAACTGTCCAGAATGAAGGACACTAAAAGTGACATGTCAATAAAAGATAATACATGATTTTGAACTCAGTCATTTTGCCATAAAGAATGTTATTGGGACAACTGGTGAAATTTGAATGAGGTTTGAGGATTAGATTGTTGTAATGTACCAATGCCAATTTCCAGATTTTGATGGTTGTATGCGGTTACATGCATACCTCAGAGATCCTGCAGGTTTCATTCCAGACCACCACAATAAAGTGAATATTGCAATAAAGGGAGTCACATGAATATTTTAGTTTCCCGGTTCATACACAAGTTATGTTTATACTATATTGTAGTTTGTTAAGTATGTGATAACACTATGTTTAGGAAAACAACGTACGTACCTTAATTTAAAAATACGTTATTGAGCTGGGCATGTTGGCCCATGCCTGTAATTCCAGCACTTTGGGAGGCTCAGGCAGGCGGATCACTTGAGGCCAGGAGTTCAAGACCAGCCTGGCCAACATGGCGAAACCCCATCTCTGCTAAAAATACAAAAATTAGCTGTGTGTGGTGGTGTGCACCTATAATCCCAGTTACTCAGGTGGCTGAGGCACAAGAATCACTTGAACCCAGGAGGCGGAGGTTTGCGCCACTGCGTTCAAGCCTAGGTAACAGGGCGAGACTGTCTTAAAAAACCAAAAAACAAAAACAAACAAAAAATGCTACCATCTGATCCTCCATCTTTTTGCTGAAGGAAGGTCTTGCTTCCATGTTGATGGCTGCTGACTGATGCTGGTGGTTACTGACGGTGGCTGTGGATTTGATTTGCATTTTCTATAAGGATTAGTGGTATTGAGCATCTTTTCATATGATTGTTTGCCGTCTGAATAACTTCTTCAGAAAAATGTCTATCCAAGTCCTTTGCCCATTTTAAAATCAGTTTATTTGGTTTGTTTGTTGTTGAGTTGTAGAGTTCTTTAGACATTCTGGATATTGATCTCTTATCAAAGATAAGATTTGCAGATATCTTCACCCATTACATAGACTGCTTTTTCACTCAGTTGATTGCTTCCTTTGAGGCACAGAAGGTTTTAAGTTTGATTAGTCCATTTGTCTGTTTTTTGCTTTTTTTGCCTGTGTTTTTGATGTCGTATGTAAGACATTATTGCCAAATCCAATATCTTGATGCTTTCCCATGTTTTCTTCTAACAATATTACAGTTTTAGGTCTTAAATTTAGTTCTTTAATCCATTTGAGTGAATTTTTTATATGGTGTAAGGTAAGTGTCCAACTTCATTCTTTTGCATGTGGATATCCTGTTTTCCTGGGACCACTTTTTGAAGAGACTGAAACACTTGGTAGAATTCTCCAGTGAAGCCATCTGGTTTTAGGCTTTTCTTTATTGGGAGGTGTTTAATTACTGGTTCAATCTCCTTACTAGTTATAAATCTGTTCAGATTTTTGTTTCTTCATGATTCAGTCTTAGTAGGTTATATGCTACTAGGTATTTATCCCTTTCTAGATTATCCGATTGTTGGAGTATAACAATTGTATAAGTGTTCATTGTAGTCTCATATAATCCTTTTTATTTCAGCAGCATTTGTTGTAATGTCTCCTCTTTCACTTCTGACTTTAGTTTGAGTCTTTACTCTTTTTTTCTTTTCTTTTCTTTTCTTTTTTTTTTTTTTTTGTGAGACAGAGTCTCGCTCTGTTGCCCAGGATGGAGTACAGTGGTGCAATCTCGGCTCACCACAACCTCCCCTCAGCACAACCTCCACCTCCTGGGTTCAAGTGATTCTCCTGTCTCAGCCTCCCGAGTAGCTGGGACTATAGGCATGTGCCACCATGCCTGGCTAATTTTTGTATTTTTAGTAGAGATGGGGTTGCACTATTTTGGCCAGGCAGGTCTTGGACTCTTGACCTTGTGATCTGTCCTCCTTGGCCTCCCAAAATGCTGGGATTACAGGCGTGAGCCACTGCACCCGGCCGACTCTTTTTTTTCTTAATCTGCTAAAATTCTGTCAATTTTATGGATTTTTTTCAAAAAAACTTGGTTTTGTTGATTTTTTTCTATTGCTTTTCTACTCTCTATTTTATTTATGTTCTAATCTTTACTTGCTTTTTTCTGCTAATTTTCGATTGAGTTTGCTCTTCTTTTCCTAGTCCCTTGAAATGTAAAGTTAGGATGTTGAATTGAGATCTTTCTTCTTGTTTAATGTAAGCATTTACAACTATCCACTTCTCTCTTAGTACTGCTTTCATTACATCTTGTCAGTTTTGTATTGTTTTGTTTTGTTTGAGCAGAGTCTCACTCCATCGCCCAGGCTGGAGTGCAGTGGTGCGATCTCCCTCACTGCAACCTCTGCCTCCTGGGTTTAAGCAATTCTCCTGCCTCAGCCTCCCCAGTAGCTGGGACTATATGTGCGCGCCACCACACCTGGCTAATTTTTGTATTTTTAGTAGAGATGGGGTTTCACCATGTTGGCTAGGCTGGTCTTGAAATCCTGACCTCAGGTGATTCGCCCGCCTCAGCCTCCCAAAGTGCTGGGATTACAGGCACAATCTATTTTTATTATTTATTTATGTATGTATTTAATTTCTGAGATGGAGTCTCACTGTGTCGCCCAGGCTAAAGTGCAATGCCACAATCTTGGCTCACTGCAACCTCCACCTCCTGGGTTCAAGCGATTCTCGTGCCTTAGCCTCTGGAGTAGCTGGGATTACAGGCACGTGCCACCAGGCCCAGCTAATTTTTGTATTATTAGTAGAGACGGAGTTTCACCATGTTGCCCAGGCTCCTCTTGAAATCCTGACTTCAGGTGATCCACCAGCCTCGGCTTCCCAAAGTGCTGGGATGACAGGCATGAGCCACCACACCCGACTGCATAATCTATTTTAAACTGCTAACAACTTAACTCAATCACATACAAAATTCTACTCCTTTATATCTCTGACCCCCCATTTTGCTATTAATGTTACCAATTACATCTTTTTATACTATACATCCATTAACATAGTTTGTATTTTTTTGTCTTTTAAATTCTATGCCAGGATTTAAAGTGATATTTATTTATTTAGAGATAGAGTTTCATGGTGTTACCCAGGCTGGAGTGCAGTGGCACCATCTCAGCTCACTGCAACCTCCGCCTCCCAGGTTCAAGCAATTCTGCTGCCTCAGCCTCCTGAGTAGCTGGGACTACAGGCAAGCGCCACCACGCCCAGCTAATTTTTTTATTTTTAGTAGAGATGGGGTTTCACCATGTTGGCCAGGATGGTCTTGAACTCCTGACCTCAAATGATCTGCTTGCCTCGGCCTCCCCAAGTCCTGGGATTACAGGCTTGAGCCACCGTGCCTGGCCTAAAGTGATTTATATGTCAACATTACAATACTACGGAAGTCTGTATTTGTCTATATATTTACCTTTACCAGAGAGCAATATTTTTGTGTTGCTGTCTAGTGTTTTCACTTTAACTTGAAAGACTTCCTTTAGCATTTCCTGTAGGGCAGGTCTAGTAGTGATCAACTCACTTGGTTTTTGTTTGTCTGGGTAGGTCTTTTAAAGAATTTTTATTTTTATTTTTGAGACAGGGTCTCACTCTGTTGCCCAGACTAGAGTGCAGTGGCCCGATCATGGTTCAGTGCAGCCTCAACCTCCTAAGGTTCAGGTGAACTTCCAAGTAGCTGGGACTACCGGTATGCACCACCACACCCAGTTAATTTTTGTATTTTCAGTAGAGATGGGGTTTCACCATGTTGCCCAGGCTGGTCTCAAACTCCTGGGCTCAAATAATCTATCCATCAGAGCCTCCTAAAGTGCTGGGATTACAGGTGTGAGCCACTGTGCCCAGCTGAGTCTTTTTTTTTTTTTCTTGTAATTAAAAATTTTGTATGCCGGGCACGGTCACTCATGCCTGTAATCCCAGCACTTTGGGAGGCCGAGGTGGGTGGATCGCGAGGTCAGGAGTTTGAGACCATTGTGTCCAACATCGTGAAACCCCATCTCTACTAAAAATACAAAAATTAGCTGGGCATGGTGGTGGGCGCCTGTAATCCTAGCTACTCAGGAGGCTGAGGAAGGAGAATCCCTTGAACCCAGGAGGCGGAGGTTGCAGTGAGCTGAGATGGTGCCATTGAACTCCAGCCTGGGTGACACAGCAAGACTCTGTACCCCACCAAAAAAAAAAAAAAAAAAGTTGTAAAAGATTTTTGTAGAAACAGGGTCTCATTATGTTGCCCAGGGTTGTCCCAAGCTCCTTGGCCTCCCAAAGTGCTGGGCTGACAGGGCATGAGCCACTGCGTCTGGCCTGGGAAAGTCTTAATTTCTCCCTTCTGGAGGGTGGTATGGCTTAGGGGAACAAATGTGAACTTAAGAGCCCTGTAGGATTTGATTAAAATCTCTACCTCCCACTTAGTAGTCATGTTATTAGCTTTGTGACCTGGCACAAATTAACTTCTTTGAGCCATATTTTTCTATACAGCATCTAGAGAAAATATATACCTCCAAGGGATTCTAGAAGAATTAAGCAAAATAACATATGAAGTGCTTAGCAGAGTTTCCAAGTTCCTAGCATATACTAAATATTTAATAAATGGTTATTCCTGTTTAGAAACAACAAAAACTACAAACTATGCAAATAAGACAATCAGTTTCTCTGATTTGAGCATTTTTAGGATATCCCAGCATTTAGCAATATAAGTATCACATGAATAAAGCCAAAATAATATCATGACATAAGCATAGGTGAAAACTAATTCATATTTTTTCCTTAGAGTGAGTAAAATAAGCTGATAAGCTTTGACCAAAAGTTTGCAAATTCCCACCCATCCTTCTGCCCTCCACTATCTGTGTTTACAGTGTGGGGGTGAGGAGGCAGTTGGGAGCCCACAGTGCCAGTGTAGCCAGGAGGAGGAGATATCTGAAATGGGGTTAAGTT
Organism: Homo sapiens; assembly: GCF_000001405.40. Taxonomy (NCBI): domain Eukaryota; kingdom Metazoa; phylum Chordata; class Mammalia; order Primates; family Hominidae; genus Homo; species Homo sapiens. Next base: position 43,792,876 of record NC_000007.14, on the reverse strand, counting down.
TTAAAGGCATAAAGATGATATCACAGAAATCCTGGAGGCAGAAACTCTTGGTAAGATACATTACCTTTCTGCTCAGCCAGCTCCCACAGTTCCTGAGCGGCCGCCAATGACAGTGTCATGGGGTATTCCACAAGGACGTGCTTGCCAGCATTAAGGAACTGCCTTTGGTAAACGAGACAAATACAGAGAAAGAACACTTCGAATAAGCTTCACTGAAATGCTCTGCATAATAGAGAACAGAATGTTATAAAGGCATGAGAGTTTCTGTGTGTGAATGTGTCATGACTGGGGGTAGGAGTCAGTGCCACGGGATATGGAGGAAGAACTGTATCCCACATTGTTTTCTACTATCCTGTGACAGATCAACTTTCTGGTTATGTGTTAATTTGAACATTCAACCATTCATTTATTCAACTAAGTACTATTTACCAATTACTGTGGAGGAGAAATAAAGACACATTAACAAATAAATTTCCTATCACCACATGGTAGCTATAAAGGCTACAAAACCCACAGCGGCTAGCTTTGCCTGAGGCAGTCTGAAAAGATTTCACTAAGGACCTATGAACTGGGTCTCAAAGTATGAGCAGACATTTTCCAGGTGCAACATGTGAGTATATTTCACTGTGAGCAGCGTATGCAGGGGCTTGGGCATTTGTGGGGCTTTGTTCAATCGGCAAACTTCAGTGTGGCAGGGGAGTGGACTACAGGCCGTGGAGGATAATAACGTTGGAAAAGTAGCTGGGGGCCTGACTGTGAAGGACCTACAATTCTGTGCTCAGCAGTTCAGATTTCATTCTGTGGATACCAGAGTACAAATATTTATAAGCATGGGACTTATGTCAGAATCACTTTTCTTAAGGAAATACACTCTGGTGCCAGAAAAGGTTAAGGAAAGCCAAGGAGAGGTGTTTTTGTCTACTCTAGAGCTAGACTGATAAAGAGGAAGCATCTTACCCGTGGGAAACAGCATGGTGGGAGCAGCTGTAAGAACCTAGAAGGAAGCTAGACTGAGGAAGGCAGCTGGCACTTCCCTGTTAGCTGCCAGGTCCTGAGGGTTAAAGGAACTCAACCGTTATTTTATGACATTGAAAGCACAAAGGAGAAAACGTTGGAAGCTGATCCAAACTGAGAAGGGAGTATGATAATTTGCCAAGGATGCCGGCTCCACATCCTAAACTGTCTGGTGAGAAGAAGGAGGCCACTACTGTTGAAAACTACTCTCGATGGGTTTTTACAGAGAAATAAAACACTTTAATTCTGAATGTTTCTAATGTTTCAAATTACACATACTAAATATTAATTTTACTATTTTTCACTTCCTTATATATTTATAACCAGCAATAAGAATTTCTTAATGTTTTGACACTTCTGTGATTGGTCACAGAGCAATTGTAATTTTCTCACTGGCTCTTCTGACTCCTTTGCAGGGTGTTTTAGCTTGCTTGCTCATTTTTGCAGTACTGCACTGCTGTGTAAGGCAAGGACTGCCTGTGTGGAAAACCCACCTGATGTAGTCCTCATGGCTGGAGCTCTCACTGCAGATATAGGCGACCTCCACCTCTTGGCTGGAAAGAGCATCCTCCAAAGAAATCTGCTGGACTCCATCAATGCTCCCGAGCTCCCTTCTATTTCAGAGTAACAGAGAAATGGAACTCAATGGTAGACAGAAGAAAGGAGCACCATCCTTCTCCCCTCCTCCCGACAGGTCCTGGTGATCTGCTGCCAGAAATGAAGAAATGAGTTTCTTCTCTCCCACTTCCAGGCTATTTTCCATTGTGGAGTGAGAAAAATAGCCTCAGAGTTCAAGTCAGGGGATCTGGCATTGAGTGCCAACAGTACCATTCACAGCGTGTATGACCTGGGAGAGTCTTGAATTACTTCATCTCCAAAACAAAAGAAACAGCTGGGCGCGGTGGCTCAAGCCTATAATCCCAGCACTTTGGGAGGCCGAGGTGGGTGGATCACTTGAGGTCAGGAGTTCAAGACCAGCCTGGCCAACATGGTGAAAACCTGTATCTACAAAAAATACAAAAGTTAGCCAAATGTGGTGGTGGGCGCCTGTAATCCCAGCTACCTGGGAGGCTGAGGCAGGAGAATCACTTGAATCCGGGAGATGGAGGTTGCAGTGAGCCGAGATTGCACCACAGCACTCCAGCCTGGGTGACAGAGCAAGACTCCTCAAAAATAAAATAACATAAAAATAAAAGGAACAATCTACTTTTATCTCATGAGAAGTGATCTCTATGGTCACTTCCAGTTCCAAGCACTTGGCCAAACATTGTGACTACCAAACCTAATCCAAATCCAATACGTTAACACATTTAGGGTGCAAACTGGCATGCGACTTCGAGCTACTTTATAGCTAAGCTAACGAAGCCCAGTAGTATGTACGCACACATGTTTGTGTGTGTGTGTGTCTGTGTGTGTGTTTGTGTGTGTGTGTGTGTCTTCCTCCCTCTGGCCGACTGAGCTCATTGGAAGGTGAGGAATTCGTTCTCCATGATTTCTCCTATAATGCCTAGCACATAATAGGCAGTGATAGCCTTGACTAACCAGGAGCAGAAGCAGGAGGGGAACCCAAGGCCTTCTGACTCTTCTAGAGCATGGGGGAGCTGCAGTCTTCGAAGAGCCAAAGCCCCAGCAGTCCGTACACCTCCCAGTGCAGCGGCTGGGGCAGGAGAGTAGCCCTCTAAGGGTGGCAGTCATGGGGGAATGTGGGACAGCTAGCAAGCAGAAGGCCCTCAGCCCGCTCAGAGCTCCAGCTGAGCTGCAGCAGGCAGAAAGCATTCAGGAAAATTTAGCTCCCAAAGAGTATTATGCTAGGTTTCTTTAATGGGGCCACCCAAACTAAATTGCTCAATTTCAGCAATACTTATTGTTTGCCTATTATGTACTAGGCGCTGTAGGAGAAATCATGGAGAACAAATTAAAATCATCGCCTTTCAATGAGCTCAGTCAGCTAGAGGAAGACACACACACACACACACACACACACACGTACATACCACTACCACAAGACTACCAGGAGAAATGTGGTGCTTGGAAGTAGGAGATGGAGACTCAGGGTGGGAAAGGAATACACCAGAAAAGCTTCCTGGGGAGGAGGTAGAACTTAGCAGGTAGGTCAGGAAGGGAAGGGTATGTGAAGAGGGAAACAGTGTGAGTACTGGCAGGGCTGTCATGCAGGGGTGTGACCTGGCCATCCTCCCATACAACCTGGGTAGTGTAGGTGTTCCCACTGAGCTGACCCTGGAAGCCAACTGGCAGAGGACTGGGGCTTAAGGGAAAAGGAAAGGTCCCATTTCAGCCTTGCGCCCAAGTGCTGTGTGTGGTCCCAGCTCCAGATAGGGGTGCGATGGGGGTTACGGTGCTGCCTGATCTTAACTTTGCTCTCCCATTTGTGTGCAGCTCCCTTGGAATCTTATGGGGAGGAGAAGGCTGGCCCAAGGGCAGATTCTAGCACTTCTGGGTCTCCCTGGTGCTTCCAAGCCCATTTTAAATCCTTAAAAGTGGGGCCATGTTTTGAGACAGGCCGGAAGAGGATGGCCCCATGAATGAAAACATGAAAAAATTTCTACATAGACTATCACAATTGTTACTTATGCTTTGTGTAAATATTTATCTGATGTCTCTAAAGCACTAGAAAAAGAGTTGCCTAACTTGCTCACTACCATGTCTTCAGGCCCAGCCCAGTGCCTGCACCTAGTCCAAAATTAATATGGATAAATGATGTTACACAGGATTAGTCTGGTGCCTGTATCTAGTTCACAATTAATATTGACAAATGATGTTATACAGGATTAGTCTGGTGAGTGGTGCGTGTGTGTGTGTGTGTGTACAGGGGTGAGTGGAAAATTTGAGCATGGGGGAAGAAGAAACAAGGTGATAAGTTTGATTTTGACTGGAGATAAATGAATCCTTAAAGAAAAGGGGGAGGCTGGGTGCACTGGCTCACGCCTATAATCTCAGCACTTTGGGAGGCCGAGGCAGGAGGATCACTTGACCCCAGGAGTTTGAGACCAGTCTAGGCAACATAGGGAGACCCTGTCTCTACAAAAAAAAAAAAAAAATTATCCAGGCGTGGTGGTGTGTGTGTCTGTAGTCCCAGCTACTCAGAAGGCTGAGGCAGGAGGACCACTTGAGCTGTGAGGCGGGAGGATCACTTGAGCCCAGACGGTCAAGGCTGCAGTGCGCTGTGATTGCACCATTGCGCTGCAGCTTGGGTGACAGAGTGAGACTCTGTCTCAAAAAAAATAATAATAATAATAAAAGTGAGGCTCAAAATTACCAATGGCAAAAGAACACATGGTGTTTAAAAGATGGGCTTTGGAAACAGACTTCTGCTCAACTTCAGTTCTTAGACTTTCCAGCTGTGTGACCTCAGGCAGATTACTTAACCTTTCTGTGGTTCAGCCTCCTTATCTGTAAACTGGGGGGTTAATAACACTACGCAGAAGGAAATATCACATGTAGAGCCCAGGACCACCTAGGATGGCTGTCATGATGACTATGTCAGGATTCCCCGGTGCACACCGAAAGCCTTTCAGGCCAAAGCCCCATGCATGTGTTTTCTGTGCCCCTTCTCTAACTGTCAGCCTTGAGCTCACCCTCCTGCCTCTGTCTTCCAGTCTCCCAGGCCAACCTACTGTGCATCCCAGCTGCAGGCCCAGCAAGCTTCAGTTCCCAGACCCATCCCAACCTGAGATCTTATGGGGCTGACCCTAAGCACAGTTCTCAGTTGGGAGATGGCTCTCCCTGCCCTGGGTCTGGAAAATCTCCATGTCCTGCAGCTAATCCGCCTCACTGGGCTTTCCATGAATTATGAAGCACAAAGACATTGTGAGCCACCTCGACACGAAGCCAATCAGGTTCAGGAACGCTGAGGAAGGGTGTGGATTCCGCAAGTCCCTCATCCGCACGGAGCCGGCTCGGCCAACACCAACCACCACCACGCCAAACTTCCTCTCGGGCTGAAACACAAGGGACCAAGGTGGAGTCTGAAAACACTGTAGGCATCGAGCAGAAAACTACAAAACAAAGGAGCTGGCAGGGTCCCGACGAGCAAGATGGAAGCCAGCCCAAAACACACAGGAAGCCACAGCATCAGGATGGGATGAGACAGTCCCCGAAATGGGGGCTTGGAGAGAAGTCAGTCCCGCCAAAACCTGTTCTTGAAGGTGCTCCACCATGTCTTTAGGTTGAAAACCTTCCGAGTACCCACAGAAAGTGTTCCCCCAATTTGGCTCTCCACTTCTACTGCCCCATCTCCAATAATGAGGGAGCTTTCCCCATTAACCCAGACCCAGCCCATGGCCTGGTACTTCTGCCCTCCCTGGGTCCCTCCTCCAGTGGACACATGAATCTGATACTACTGGGAGTCATTCAGAGGGCACAGCTTCTTCATCAGATGCTGGCAGAGGAGGCAAATGGGCAAACCATGATTGGTCACCTTACTCAGCGTGGGATCCAGAGGCTTTGACTCTTCACTACAGCCTTCTGAGTTCCACATTTAAGATACTGCAGTATCTTAAATATTATTTAAGTGCACTGCTGGAGGCTGTATGTGAACAGTATTACAGTGAAAAATCAAACTGACTTTTAAGTTATACAGCAACTCAGTATAATAAAAACTGATAAAATTTATCTCCATGCACTGGGCACGGTGGCTCACGCCTGTAATCCCAGCACTTTGGGAGGCCGAGGCAGGTGGATCACTTGAGGTCAGGAGTTCCAGACCAGCCTGGCCAACATGGAGAAACCTCGTCTCTACTAAAAATACAAAAATTAGCTGGGCCTGTTGGCAGGCGCCTGTAATCCCAGCTACTTAGGAGGCCGAGGCAGGAGAATTGCTTGAACCTGGGAGGCGGAGATTGCAGTGACCCAAGATAGCGCCACTGCACTCCAGCCTGGGTGACAGAGTGAGACTCTATCTCAAAAAAAAAAAAATTATCTCCATGCATCCCTTAAACTCACTTCTTGGATGCCTCTGAGCATAGAAACATGAATGTCATCTCAGATTTGCCCCTTTTCTTCACCTCTGTACCCAGTTGTCACCACTTCCCACTGACTCTGCCCCTCTTCCTGTGCCCACTGCTCTTGTCTTCTCCTTCCAGGATTTCTTCCAAATGTTTGGGGATTTGCCAAATGTTTTTCTATTATTGATTTCTCATTTAATCCCACTGTGGTCAGAGAACATTCTTTAAATGATTTGAATCCTTTTAGATTTATTGAGATATTTTATGATACGGGATGTGGTCTACCTTGGTTAATGTTCTGGGCACACTTGAAAAGAATGTGTATTCTGCTATTGTTGGGTGGAGTGTTCTATAAGTCTGTTAGATCAAGTTGGTTGATTGTGTTGTTCAGGTCTTCGTATCCTTCCTGATTTTCTGTCTCCTTGCTCTAGCAATTATTGAGGGTAGAGAAATCTCTGAATATAATTGTATATAACTGTGTATTTCTCCTTTCAGTTCTATCAGTTTTGACCCACATATTTCAAAACTCTGTTATTAGATACATACAAGTTTAGGATGGTTATGTCCTTTTTTTTAATTGACCCCTTTATCTTTCTAAAATGACCATTTTTATTCCTGGTAATATTTTTTGCCCTATAATTTATTTTGTCTGATATTAACAATCCATTCCCAATTTCTGTTGATCAGTGTTGCATAATACATTTTTTCCCCAACCTTTCACATTTAATCTATATGTGTTTTCATAGCTATAGTTAGTTTCTTATAGGCAGCATATAGTTAGGTCTTGCTTTTTTTTACTCAGTCTAACAATCTCTGCCTTTTAGTTGAAACGTTTAGACAATTTACATTGTGATTATTGATATGGTTGGGTTTCCATTCAAATTCTATAGAAATCCTGCTATTTGTTCAATCTGTTCTTTTTCCCCTCTTTTCCTGCCTTATTTTGGATTAATTAGAATATTTATTATGATTCCATTTTATCCCATTTGTTGGCTATTAGCTATAACTCTTTTTCAGAAGTTAAGGATTTTATATTATATATTTTACTTACCACAGTCTACTTTAAAGTAATATTATGCACTATTCCACATATACTATAAAGAACCTGACAACAGTACACTTCCATTTCTTTTCTCCTAGACCTTGTACTGTTGTTATACAATTCAATATTGAAGCGAGAGATTCTCCAGAACTTGCCCAGAAGCCAAGACGTCTGGAAAGGATCTCAGCCTCTGTCAGCCTGCAGCTTGGGAAGAGTGATTCACAGAGCCTGACTGTCCACTGCTGCTAAACCATACACTGGCCTTGGCTCACACATCTGACTGAACTGTCTCCTATGACTAACTGCCTCTCTTTCTTCAGCCTTGCAAGTTTCCTGGGAGTCCTGGGAGTGGACTTCACATATAAAAGGGGACTCTGGGAGACCTAGTTCCTGGCTTCTCTTCTGGAAGTCAGGGAAGAGTATAGGAAGGAGTGGCCACAGTGCCCAACTGACAATTGACAATTTCACCAAGTAAGTCCTTTTTGGGTTACTAGTCTTGTTTTCTTTTCTTTTTTTTTTTTTTTGGTAATTTCTAATTACCAAAAAGCAGTAAGACAGCCTCTGGAGAAATCTGTACAGCCAAAACACATATTAATGATCAAATATTAATATTTGTTTCCCTTTCAATCAAGAAAAGAAGACTAGCAATCCCCTTATTAGGTTAAATATTTATGGCATTCTTAAGGTTACCGTATTACTACATTCCAGATAATAACCAGGATATGCTTCTACCAGCTTAAAAAAAAGGCACAAGGTTAAGAAACAGCTCCATTATCTATAAATAAGCCAAACTGCTTTTTAAGATTTCATTAGTTAATGATACACACAAACTTGCATACAAAACCTGGCTTGCACAGTGTGTCAGGCTAAATTATAAACTGCTTTAGGATTTGGTTTCGATATTACTGCCTTGCAAAACTGACACACAGGGACAAGATATGGGTGAAAGGCCCAGTGCAGTAGCTCATGTCTGTAAACCCAGCACTCTGGGAGGCTGAGGTGGGCGGATCACTTGAGGTCAGGAGTTTCCAGACTTGCCCGACCAACATAGTGAAACCCTGCCTCTACTAAAAATACAAAAAATTAGCCAGGTATGGTGGTGGCGGGTGCCTGTAACCCCAGCTACTTGGTAGCCTGAGGCAGGAGAATCGCTTGAACCGGGGAGGCAGGGGTTGCGGTGAGCCAAGATTGCACCACTGCACTTCAGCCTGGGCGACAGAGCAACACTCCATCTCAAAAAAAAAAAAAAAAAAAAAAAGATATGAGTGAAGACACTGGTATCTTAATAGTCAAGCTGCTCTTAGGGGAAGAACTTTATTTTTGAGAAAAATTACTTGTTAGGCCTTTTAACGTGAGCCTCTTCATTTTACATGAGGGATCTTGAAGGTGCGTTCTGAAGGGAAACTGCAAATCAGAGATGGCTAGACCACTCTGTAGTAGCAGCTAAAACTTTGGGGCTAGGAACCAGTAGGAGGCAGAGGAAAGGGGAAAGTGCACGCAGGTTAGCAAAAGGCTAAAATCTGCAGAGAAGGAAGCCAGTGAGAAACGCCCAGTGGAGGAGGGAGCAATGGACTTCCAGAAACCAGGACATCCACAGTTCCATTTTCAGTTGTCTGCTGTGCTCTGCTATCCTGAACCTTTGGGAAAATGCCACTACAAATAGCCCTATAGAGGTGGTATTTAAGGAACAAAGAACAGGAGCAGTTTTGAGACAGCAGAAAAGGACACATAAGCACAGCAAAGTGACTAAAAAACTCACTTAGGTCCAAATCACAGTCACAGAGTGAGCTTGCGCCCCCACCCTTGGACTCAGAGAAGCTGGTGTTTGGCACTCCAGATGCAAAAATGGAGTTCATAGTTAGGAATGTGCTCTGCCAACTTAGAAAAAAAATTTTTTTTGAGATAAAGAGGGTAGAAGAAAATGTAAAATCACTGTAGAAAAACTTCAAGGTGAGGCATGAGGGCAGGTGCTGAAAAGGTGGAAGGAGAGTCCAGGCAGTTGGACAGAACAAACTAGTCGTTTTCATCCACTATTTGCAAGAATTAAAAAAAAGTTTGATAACACATTGGTTGGCCTGGGGAAACAGGTATGTTCATATGTTGCAGGAGGGAGAGAAGAACCTGCTTTATGGAGAGCAACTTGGAAATATTTATTACAAATTAAAATGCAAATGCCCTTTGTTCTGGTAAATCCAACTGTAAGATAATGTGTCCTATAGAGCTACACAAGTCAAGTGACTTAGGCTTACTGCAGCCTTGCTTATAACAAGCAAAAGATGGAAATAATCTATATGTCATTAATAACAGGCTGGCTATGAAAGTTATGATAGACTCGTGATATAGAGTATTACATGGCAATATAAAAATAAAAGAACGAGGAAGCCCTTTATATATTGAAAGGGACTGGTCTCCAAGATAGATGATCGGGTGAAAGAAGCAAACGACAGCCTAGTGTGCACTGTGTGCTACAGTCTGTGTAGTAACAGGAGGGGTGGTAGCCAAAGGAAAAAGATACTGTCTATGTTTAGAATCTCTTTGAAAGGACAGCCCAGAAACCTGTAACACTGAAACTGGCGACATGCTCTTGCTGGGAGCAAGAAAAACAGAGTGGCTGGGAAACAGGGATAGGAGGGAAGAAGGCTTCTCATAGAAAATATTTTTTTTTCTTTTTTTCCTCTTTAAAGTTTAGAATCACACAAATGTATTCACTATCTAAAATATAAACCACCACTGAAAACAGACATAAATATCAGAGGGCTGCTCTAGGAAGGTGAGAATTCTGCAGTGTATAGCGCCTTGGCTCACTCCCGCTTCCCTTCCTGGAGCTCCCTCTACAGTGCTCAGAGTCCTCTGCTGCCCCTGCCCCTGCCCTGTCCAATGACCCCAAGTGCCCCAGACTCCTCTCACCCCTCCTGGCCCTGCTGCAATTGGTTTTCACTCCCATACCTCCCTGCTTCACCGTGGGTCATCCAAGACCTTCTCATCACATTCAAGGGCTTCTTCTCAGCCACATCCTCCTGGACTTCAGACATGAGTGACCCTTACCTGGACCTTCTTCAAACTCACTCCTTCCTTTCTTCTCTTACCTCATGCTACCGAGGTTTTCTTTTCACATTTCACTTTCTTTCTTCATTTTACCCAAGATGTGCATATTTCCCAAAGCTCAGTCTTCATCCCTCTATTTTTCTCTCTCTCCCATGTCCCCAGAATATGGGGGTCCCTCATTCTCAGGGTTTCCATGACCACCTCTATGCCAAAGACCCTAGCATCCTGAGCTGTGGGCCATCCTCTCTTCCAAGCCGCATTCCCAAGGCATTTCAACCTGGCTTTCCCACCGCGCCCTGGATCTTCACGCTGTGTGCTAAACTCCAATTATCCACCCTTCCTGACAGGTTGTACTCTGAACTTCTGGGCAAAAGCCAGTAGCTCTAGGAATCCTGGCAGCCCCCAGCTTTAAATGCTTGGAGTCATTCCTGCATTCAACAAACATCCTGGGATCAAAGCCCGACTGTGGCCGATGGTCCTTCTTCTGTCTTTCTCCCTCCAGCCAGCCTCTGGGCCACAACTAGTTTTGCTTGAAAATTTCTGTCATATGATTTCCTTTCTCTACACTTTCACTGACCCTCCCAAGCTCTGGATTGCATTAGAAGATTACTTAACAGTCTCTGAATCATCCTATCATTTAGTCAACTGATAATTAGTGAAGATAAGCTATGCATGAGGCATCAAGTCAGATGCCATGGGGATGCTAAGATGAGCGAGGCACCCCGACAGCTACAGTCAAAGCAGGAGGGGAAGGTAACGAAAGAAAAGATACATAAAGCACAATGGAAATTCATAAGAGGGAGGTATGACTTCCCGAGAGAGGACTCTTGAGAAAACTGTTTGTGCAGTACAAAGGACATTTGAACTGGATGGATGGGATTAGCTGGATATAGGCAAGAACAAAGGCATTCATGGGTCAAAAACATCAGGGCTTAGATCTCTGTGATGCTCCTTAACCCCCTGTGACTTACAGCAATTGACTTATTGCTCATTTTCCTCATCTACAAAATGGGTAATAATAGCATCTTGCTCCTAGGCCTTTTGTTAGGACTAAATGGATGCACATTCTGGGCTGCTGTGTAGCAGATTAACTATATATCTTTAACATACAGAAAAATGGAGAATGAGATATAAATGATATAAAATACAATTATGTACATTAAAAGTATATCAGGCTGGGCACTGTGGCTCATGCCTGTAATCCCAGCACTTTGGGAGGTCGAGAGGCATTTGGGTCACTTGAGGTCAGGAGTTCAAGACCAGCCTGGCCAACATGGCAAAACTCAGTCTCTACTAAAATTAGCTGGGTGTGGTGGCCCACTCCTATAATCCCCGCTACATGGGAGGCTGCAGCTGAAGAATTGCTTGAAACGGGAGGCCGAGGTTGCAGTGAGCTGAGATCACACCACTGCACTCCAGCCTGGGTGACAAGGGTGAGACTGTTTCAGGAAAAAAAAAGTATATCACACAGGAGGTGATATATGTTGCCAGGGGTCAGTAGCAAGGGGAGGTTGTGACTATAAAGGGGCAACAGAAAAGAATGTTTTGGGGTGAGGTTCTGCATCCTGACATCCTGGGGTGATGGTTACACATATGTGTTTTAATGGGTAAACCTCTACACCAAAAAAAAAGAGGCAGTTTTACTGCATATAATTTTTTTTTTTTTTTTGAGGCAGAGTCTTGCTCTGTAGCCCAGGCTGGAGTGCAATGGCACAATCTTGGCTCACTGCAACCTCTGCCTCCTGGGTTCAAGTGATTCTCCTGCCTCAGCCTCCTGAGTAGCTGGGATTACAGGCATGTGCCACTACGCCTAATTTTTGTATTTTTAGTAGAGATGGGGTTTCGCCATGTTGGCCAGGCTGGTATCAAACTCCTGACCTCAGTTGATCCGCCCACCTCGGCCTCCCAAAGTTTTGGGATTACAGGCATGCGCCACGGCGCCCAGCCTACTGTATATAAATTTAGAAGGTATTTGCACAAAAACAAAATGTTTCATGAACATACACAAATAAAAAAGGAAAACCACTTAATTCATTAGAATAGTTGGCTTTGGCAGGGTGAGAATGGGGATGGAGAGAAAATGAATAAAATATAAATAAGTCTGAGAGCGGGGCCTTGCACAGCACAACAGAGGCAATGTGTCAGGAACTGGGTGTGTGGACCGTCCCTGTGCCTGAGGTCTCTTCCCCCTGCCTTCCAAAAGGGAGAGGGAATGGCCTAGAGGAGGGTGAGGAAAGCAAAGGAGAAGAAGAAAAGAATTAGGTAAGTGAGGAAGTGATGAGGAGGCAGGAAGTAGGATAAGGAAGGGACAGACTGGAAAGATATGGTGGTCCCACTTAGCGATAAGTTCCATGAGCATGAGTACCACACTTACATTTTTACCATTAGAGCCATCAAGCCAGGTCTAGAGTCTGGTACAGTATGGTGTCACATAAATATTGGTGACTACATCAAGGCAATGACAGGATTTACAGCCTTGGTCACTGGCTGCTGGCTTGTGGGAACAGAGTGAGGGGACTGGAGCGCCTGGCCCACAGATGGCCCTTCGAGGAGGAGCAGATTTGGGGCAGGTGAAAGCAGAAAGTACAGCCTGGGTTATAACGGGCTTGGGGTCCCTGTGGCAGCTGTGACTGAGATGAGTGACAGGCATGGTGGCTCATGCCTGTAAACCCAGCACTTTGGGAGGCCGAGGTGGGAGGATCACTCGAGGTCAGGGGTTCAAGCCCAGCCTGGCCAACATAGTGAAACCCCATCTCTACTAAAAACACAAAAATTACCCAGGTGTGGTGGTGCTCCTGTAATCCCAGCTACTTGGTAGGCTGAGGTGGGAGAATCGCATGAACCCGGGAGGCAGAGGTTGCAGTGAGCCAAGATCACGCCACTGTACTCCAGCTGGGTGACAGAATGAGGCTCTATCTCAAAAAAAAAGAAAAAGAAAAAAAATATAAAATATATATATGTAAGGAACAGCAGAGGAGGACCCAAGTCTAGCATGTTCTTACAAGGTTAAGAGGAAAAGCCATCAAAAAGGACAGAAGAGATCACTGATGACTGATGGAACTGCTCCTGGACCAGGGTGTATAAGCTTAATATTAATGCAAAGCTTCTATTGTTTCTTTAGAACTTAAAAGATCCTAAGAATTAGAGCAAGCCACAGGGTGAGCCACAGGGGCCTTCAGATAAGGAGGTCAGAGGCACAAGAAAGTGGTTACCAGAAGTCAGCCCCAAGTGGGGCAGGGCTGGTCAAGATAACGTAATAGGGAGACTTACTTTTGGCTGTTTTCCATTCTGTAGCCTGAGTTTTACACTATGAACATGTGTCTACATTATTACAAAATAAATTTTTATAAAATTTACAGAGATCATCATTGACCCTGACAAGACTCATTTCGGTATATAATATGGGAAAAGAAACCAGACTGCAACAGGCTGAGAATGACCCAGGGAAGAGAAAACGGAGAAATTAACTGCAGGTATCTTTTTTGAGAAGCCTGCCTTGCAGGGGATGAGAAAGATAGGATAGTGGAGCCAAGATGGCCGAATAGGAACAGCTCCGGTCTACAGCTCCCAGCGTGAGCAACGCAGAAGACGGGTGATTTCTGCATTTCCATCTGAGGTACCGGGTTCACCTCACTAGGGAGTGCCAGACAGTGGGTGCAGTGCACCGTGTGCAAGCCGAAGCAGGGCGAGGCAGTGCCTCACTCGGGAAGCGCAAGGGGTCAGGGAGTTCCCTTTCCTAGTCAAAGAAAGGGGTGACAGACAGCACCTGGAAAATTGGGTCACTCCCACCCTAATACTGCGCTTTTCCAACAGGCTTAAAAAACAGCACAACAGGAGATTATATTCTGCACATGGCTCGGCGGGTCCTATGCCCACGGAGTCTCGCTGATTGCTAGCACAGCAGTCTGAGATCAAACTGCAAGGTGGCAGCAAGGCTGGGGGAGGGGCGCCTGCCATTGCCCAGGCTTGCTTAGGTAAACAAAGCAGCCGGGAAGCTCGAACTGGGTGGGGCCCACCACAGCTCAAGGAGGCCTGCCTGCCTCTGTAGGCTCCACCTCTGGGGGCAGGGCACAGACAAACAAAAAGACAGCAGTAACCTCTGCAGACTTAAACGTTCCTGTCTGACAGCTTTGAAGAGAGTAGTGGTTCTCCCAGCACGCAGCTGGAGATCTGAGAACAGGCAGACTGCCTCCTCAAGTGGGTCCCTGACCCCCGAGCAGCCTAACTGGGAGGCACCCCCAAGTAGGGGCAGACTGACACCTCACACAGCCAGGTACTCCTCTGAGACAAAACTTCCAGAGGACCGATCAGGCAGCAGCATTTGCGGTTCACGAAAATCCGCTGTTCTACAGCCACCGCTGTACTGCAGCCACCGCTGCTGATACCCAGGCAAACGGTCTGGAGTGGACCTCTAGCAAACTCCAACAGACCTGCAACTGAGGGTCCTGTCTGTTAGAAGGAAAACTAACAAACAGAAAGGACATCCACACCAAAAACCCATCTGTACATCACCATCATCAAAGACCAAAGGTAGATAAAACCACAAAGATGGGGAAAAAACAGAGCAGAAAAACTGGAAACTCTAAAAAGCAGAGCGCCTCTCCTCCTCCAAAGGAATGCAGTTCCTCACCAGCAACGGAACAAAGCTGGACGGAGAATGGCTTTGATGAGTTGAGAGAAGAAGGCTTCAGATGATCAAACTACTCTGAGCTACAGGAGGAAATTCAAACCAATGGCAAAGAAGTTAAAAACTTTGAAAAAAAATTAGATGAATGTATAACTAGAATAACCAATACAGAGAAATGCTTAAAGGAGCTGATGGAGCTGAAAGCCAAGGCTCGAGAACTACGTGAAGAATGCAGAAGCCTCAGGAGCCAATGCGATCAACTGGAAGAAAGGGTATCAGTGACGGAAGATGAAATGAATGAAATGAAGCGAGAAGGGAAGTTTAGAGAAAGAAGAATAAAAAGAAATGAACAAAGTCTCCAAGAAATATGGGACTATGTGAAAAGACCAAATCTACGTCTGATTGGTGTACCTGAAAGTGACGGGGAGAATGGAACGAAGTTAGAAAACACTCTGCAGGATATTATCCAGGAGAACTTCCCCAATCTAGCAAGGCAGGCCAACATTCAGATTCAGGAAATACAGAGAACACCACAAAGATACTCCTCGAGAAAAGCAACTCCAAGACATATAATTGTCAGATTCACCAAAGTTGAAATGAAGGAAAAAATGTTAAGGGCAGCCAGAGAGAAAGGTCGGGTTATCCACAAAGGGAAGCCCATCAGACTAACAGCGGATCTCTCGGCAGAAACTCTACAAGCCAGAAGAGAGTGGGGGCCAATATTCAACATTCTTAAAGAAAAGAATTTTCAACCCAGAATTTCATATCCAGCCAAACTAAGCTTCATAAGTGAAGGAGAAATAAAATACTTTACAGACAAGCAAATGCTGAGAGATTTTGTCACCACCAGGCCTGCCCTAAAAGAGCTCCTGAAGGAAGCACTAAACATGGAAAGGAACAACCGGTACCAGCCACTGCAAAAACATGCCAAATTGTAAAGACCATCAAGGCTAGGAAGAAACTGCATCAACTAACGAGCAAAATAACCAGCTAACATCATAATGACAGGATCAAATTCACACATAACAATATTAACTTTAAATGTAAATGGGCTAAATGCTCCAATTAAAAGACACAGACTGGCAAATTGGATAAAGAGTCAAGACCCATCAGTGTGCTGTATTCAGGAAACCCATCTCACGTGCAGAGACACACATAGGCTCAAAATAAAGGGATGGAGGAAGATCTACCAAGCAAATGGAAAACAAAAAATGGTAGGGGTTGCAATCCTAGTCTCTGATAAAACAGAATTTAAACCAACAAAGATCAAAAGAGACAAAGAAGGCCATTACATAATGATAAAGGGATCAATTCAACAAGAAGAGCTAACTATCCTAAATATATATGCACCCAATACAGGAGCACCCAGATTCATAAAGCAAGTCCTGAGTGACCTACAAAGAGACTTAGACTCCCACACAATAATAATGGGAGACTTTAACACCCCACTGTCAACATTAGACAAATCAACGAGACAGAAAGTTAACAAGGATACCCAGGAATTGAACTCAGCTCTGCACCAAGCAGACCTAATAGACATCTACAGAACTCTCCACCCCAAATCAACAGAATATACATTTTTTTCGGCACCACACCAGACCTATTCCAAAACTGACCACACAGTTGGAAGTAAAGCACTCCTCAGAAGATGTAAAAGAACAGAAATTATAACAAACTGTCTCTCAGACCACAGTGCAATCAAACTAGAACTCAGGATTAAGAAACTCACTCAAAACTGCTCAACTACATGGAAACTGAACAACCAGCTCCTGAATGACTACTGGGTACATAATGAAATGAAGGCAGAAATAAAGATGTTCTTTGAAACCAATGAGAATAAAGACACAACATACCAGAATCTCTGGGACACATTCAAAGCAGTGTGTAGAGGGAAATTTATAGCACTAAATGCCCACAAGAGAAAGCAGGAAAGATCTAAAATTGACACCCTAACATCACAATTAAAAGAACTAGAAAAGCAAGAGCAAACACATTCAAAAGCTAGCAGAAGGCAAGAAATAACTAAAATCAGAGCAGAATTGAAGGAAACAGAGACACAAAAAACCCTTCAAAAAAATTAATGAATCCAGGAGCTGGTTTTTTGAAAAGATCAACAAAATTGATAGACCGCTAGCAAGACTAATAAATAAGAAAAGAGAGAAGAATCAAATAGACGCAATAAAAAATGATAAAGGGGATATCACTACCAATCCCACAGAAATACAAACTACCATCAGAGAATACTACAAACACCTCTACGCAAATAAACTAGAAAATCTAGAAGAAATGGATAAATTCCTCAACACATACACCCTCCCAAGACTAAACCAGGAAGAAGTTGAATCTCTGAATAGACCAATAACAGGCTCTGAAATTGTGGCAATAATCAATAGCTTATCAACCAAAAAGAGTCCAGGACGAGATGGATTCACAGCCAAATTCTACCAGAGGTACAAGGAGGAGCTGGTACCATTCCTTCTGAAACTATTACAATCAACAGAAAAAGAGGGAATCCTCCCTAACTCATTTTATGAGGCCAGCGTCATCCTGATACCAAAGCCTGGCAGAGACACAACCAAAAAAGAGAATTTTAGACCAATATCCTTGATGAACATTGATGCAAAAATCCTCAATAAAATACTGGCAAACCAAATCCAGCAGCACATCAAAAAGCTTATCCACCATGATCAAGTGGGCTTCATCCCTGGAATGCAAGGCTGGTTCAACATATGCAAATCAATAACGGTAATCCAGCATATAAACAGAACCAAAGACAAAAACCACATGATTATCTCAATAGATGCAGAAAAGGCCCTTGACAAAATTCAACAATGCTTCATGCTAAAAACTCTCAATAAATTAGGTATTGATGGGACATATCTCAAAATAATAAGAGCTATCTATGACAAACCCACAGCCAATATCATAACGAATGGGCAAAAACTGGAAGCATTCCCTTTGAAAACTGGCACAAGACAGGGATGCCCTCTCTCACCACTCCTATTCAACATAGTGTTGGAAGTTCTGGCCAGGGCAATCAGGCAGGAGAAGGAAATAAAGGGTATTCAATTAGGAAAAGAGGAAGTCAAATTGTCCCTGTTTGCAGATGACATGATTGTATATCTAGAAAACCCCATTGTCTCAGCCCAAAATCTCCTTAAGCTGATAAGCAACTTCAGCAAAGTCTCAGGGTACAAAATCAATGTACAAAAATCACAAGCATTGTTATACACCAATAACAGACAAACAGAGAGTCAAATCATGAGTGAACTCCCATTCACAATTGCTTCAAAGAGAATAAAATGGGTAGGAATCCAACTTACAAGGGACGTGAAGGACCTCTTCAAAGAGAACTACAAACCACTGCTCAATGAAATAAAAGAGGATACAAACAAATGGAAGAACATTCCATGCTCATGGGTTGGAAGAATCAATATCGTGAAAATGGCCATACTGCCCAAGGTAATTTATATATTCAATGCCATCCCCATCAAGCTACAAATGACTTTCTTCACAGAATTGGAAAAAACTACTTTAAAGTTCATATGGAACCAAAAAAGAGCCCGCATTGCCAAGTCAATCCTAAGCCAAAAGAACAAAGCCGGAGGCATCACACTACCTGACTTCTAACTATACTACAAGGCTACGGTAACCAAAACAGCATGGTACTGGTACCAAAACAGAGATATAGATCAATGGAACAGAACAGAGCCCTCAGAAATAATGCCGCATATCTACAACTATCTGATCTTTGACAAACCCGACAAAAACAAGCAATGGGGAAAGGATTCCCTATTTAATAAATGGTGCTGGGAAAACTGGCTAGCCATATGTAGAAAGCTGAAACTGGATCCCTTCCTTACACCTTATACAAAAATTAATTCAAGATGGATTAAAGACTTACATGTTAGACCTAAAACCATAAAACCCTAGAAGAAAACCTAGGCAATACCATTCAGGACATAGGCATGGGCAAGGACTTCATGTCTAAAACACCAAAAGCAATGGCAACAAAAGCCAAAATGGACAAATGGGATCTAATTAAACTAAAGAGCTTCTGCACAGCAAAAGAAACTACCATCAGAGTGAACAGGCAACCTACAAAATGGGAGAAAATTTTCCCAACCTACTCATCTGACAAAGGGCTAATATCCAGAATCTACAATGAACTCAAACAAATTTACAAGAAAAAAACAAACAACCCCATCAAAAAGTGGGCGAAGGATATGAATAGACACTTCTCAAAAGAAGACATTTATGTAGCCAAAAAACACATGAAAAAGTGCTCATCATCACTGGCCATCAGAGAAATGCAAATCAAAACCACAATAAGATGCCATCTCACACCAGTTAGAATGGTGATCATTAAAAAGTCAGGAAACAACAGGTGCTGGAGAGGATGTGGAGAAACAAGAACACTTTTACACTGTTGGTGTGACTGTAAACTAGTTCAACCCTTGTGGAAGTCAGTGTGGCGATTCCTCAGGGATCTAGAACTGGAAATACCATTTGACCCAGCCATCCCATTACTGGGTATATACCCAAAGGACTATAAATCATGCTGCTATAAAGACACATGCACACGTATGTTTATTGCGGCACTATTCACAAAAGCAAAGACTTGGAACCAACCCAAATGTCCATCAATGATAGACTGGATTAAGAAAATGTGGCACATATACACCATGGAATACTATGCAGCCATAAAAAATGATGAGTTCATGTCCTTTGTAGGGACATGGATGAAACTGGAAATCATCATTCTCAGCAAGCTATCGCAAGGACAAAAAACCAAACACCGCATGTTCTCACTGATAGGTGGGAATTGAACAATGAGAACACATGGACACAGGAAGGGGAACATCGAACTCCGGGGACTGTTGTGGGGTGGGGGGAGAGGGGAGGGATAGCATTAGGAGATATACCTAATGTTAAATGACAAGTTAATGAGTGCAGTACACCAACATGGCACATGTATACATATGTAACTAACCTGCACATTATGCACATGTACCCTAAAACTTAAAGTATAATAATAATAAAATAAAATTAAATTAAAAAAAGAAAGATAGGATAACAGTTGCTGGACAAGATGTGAGGTGTCATTTTGTTCTGAAGAAAGCATTTTGAAATATCGATGAGAAAGAGGTAGTGGGAATTAGGTTAATGATGCACATGGCAAAGGAGATAACTAAGGAGGTGGTGCAAGGTCTGAGCAGGCAGGAGTGTGCAGTTTCAGAGGAGAAGGGTATACCGTCACTAGGTGATATGGTTATACTTTGTGTCCCCACCCAAATCTCATCTTGAATTGTAATCCCCATAATCCCTGTGTGTCAAGGGAGGAGCCAGGTGGAGGTAACTGAATCACGGGGGTGGTTTCCCCCATGCCGTTCTCATGATAGTGAGTTCTCACGAGATCTGATGGTTTTATAAGGGGGTCTTCCCCCTTCGCTCAGCACTTTGCCTTCTTGCCACCTTGTGAAGAAGGTGCCTTGCTTTCCCTTTGCCTTCCACCATAATTGTTGTTTCCTGAGGCCTCCCCAGCCATGCTGAACTGTGAGTCAATTAAACCTCTTTCCTTTTTAAATTACCCAGTCTTGGGCAGTTCTTTATAGCAGCATGAAAATGGACCAGGAATGTCTCATACCAGACAGGGATACATCCCCCTTTCTTCTTTCCACACCCAGCCCTGGGGCAGGGGGGAAGCTGCTCCAGGATGGGCCTGAGTAGTTGAAGCCAATCACAAAATCCCTGCTCCTCAGACACACTATGGTCCAGGACCTGATTCTGGCCAATAAGACCGAAGGAGACATTTGATGGGGCTTCAAATAAAGGCTCCCACTCCCCTGAAGGAGTTGCAGGAAGCCACTTCTTCCTGCTGATGAAAGGGAATGCGAACATATGTGGCCCCAACTGCCACTGCAGCCATCTTGCTGCCACATGGGCACCTGCCCTAGGATGCAACCAACAGCTGGATGGAGAGCAGAGAGATGAAAAGCTCCTGGATCCTTGAGGCAGTCACTGAGCCGCAGGATCGACCAGCCCTGAAGCCTGCCCTTCACCTGGACTTCCAGGAAAAAGCCACATTAAGTCAGGCTTTCTGGTGTTCACAACCTGGAACTTTCTCACTGACAAACATCCCTTGCACTGTGACAGGAGGAACAGGACAAATGGAGAGGCAGGAATTGAGGGAGATGATGTCAGATGGAATGTTTACATTTTCCTCTGTAAAATGAAAAGGGATCCTGATGCTAAGAGTGAGGGGGACCTTCGAGGAGGACAGAGCTTAGGGAGAGGGATGAAGCCTGGAGCTGGGGGTTCAGGGCACTGGCAAGGAGCTGCCTAGAGTGACAGGGGGCCTGGCGGGTGGTGCTGAGCACCAGATAAGGGTGTTGAGACATCTGCCAGCTGCAAACAGCACAAGGCTGTGCCACTCACCCAAGACCCCCCTCTTGTGGGGATGGCCTCTGTGTTTGCCATGTGGATGGACAGGACAAGTGGGAAAAGCATAGTGGGCGTCAGCACAGCAGTGGCTGAAGTGATGAACCCCAAGGTCTAGGCTCCACTTGGAAGGGAGTGAACAGAGGAAGGGGCTGATGGGTAAAACAAAAGGAAAAAACAAAAGGATAAGGAGCTAGACATCTCCATGCATCAAAGAACTGGAAGTGAGAGCACCAAGGAGACAATGCAGAGAAAGTGTTTCCAGAATAACACAAAGCAGGGATCTGGGCCCAGCAACCTCCATGCCCCACTACTAGCCAGAGCTAGGGAGTGTTGTTTCAGGATTAGCTGCAGTGGGTAAGTTCGAATGAAGCCAGACAGACACAGATAAGAACTCAGAGGGGCCTAGTTCTTCCTGCATCACCCAGAACCACGTGCACTTCAGTAGGCTAGAGGGGAAATGTTCTCAAGTTTGTGCTGATGTTTCTGAAAGGGAATGGAGACTCTGCAAAGGAGAAATGAGGGACACAATAAGAAAAGCATCCCTTAAACTGGTCTTTGTAAAGAACTCACCTCTGCATTCATCTTGGTCTCTTCCTTCGGTCACTGTAAAGACAAAAGCAGAGGTTCAGGTCCCTGGTGGCACCTGCCCAAACTCCAGGCAAACATTCCCCTTTGCCACCCCATGCTCCCCCACTGCTTCCTGTCCCATCATTCTCATGTTTCCCAAATGCCTTCACCACCTGTGCCTTCCAGCTAGGATACCCAGGCCAGTGTCTACTTTGGGGCTGGTGGTAGCTGACTTCCCTGGGATGTCACACCAGCAATGCTTCCTTAGAGAAGGGCATTTCCAAGCCCAGATCCGTCTCCTACATTGGAAGAGCAGCTGCAATCGGGATGCCTCCATGGGAAGGATGCACTTCCCAAAACTGGTGCTTGAAGAGGACAGTTTTTTATCTGGCTTTTTAAATGGGGACAAGCAAGGCAATAAGAAATATGTACTTTTTTTTCTTCCTAGCTGAGTTTCTGGAGGACTGCAATTTAGTATGTTCAAAGAATAGTCCAAGAAGCCGCTCCGGACCCTCAGCATTAAGACGAAGGAGGGGGCAAACAGGTGAGCAGGGGTAGCAAGGAAGGAGGGGTGACAAGAGGAGATGAGGGGAGACCAGAGAGTGAAGGAAAAGAAAGCAACAACACGGCTTAACAGGGGTCCTCAACTTTAATGTACCCCTAGGATTCTTGTTGAAAATGCATATTTCTGGGTTTCACTCCCAGATTCTGATTTGGAAGGCCAAGAGTGGAGGGGAGGCCATGAATCTGCATTTTCACCAAGCATCCAGGTAAAGGCACACAGACGGTCAGGAGCCACACCTGGACAAACACTGGAATGACAGTAGAACAGAGGCCTGTAAAGATTAATTTTTTCTCTCACTTGTTAGAGCCACTAGAATCACCACTGTATTTTAACTAAAACTGGGCAGGAAAGGTCAGGCAAATGGATAACCAGAGGTGATGAAAAATGCACTACAGATGCCTCTCCAGCCCCTCCACCTGCATAGGCTGTCCAGGAAGCCGATGACGATGACCACTCCTAGCTTGCAGAGGGCAGAAGGCCTCTGAAAAGGGAAGGCTGTGGCAACCCCTGCCCTTGGACCCAGCACAGCATTTGATCTCATTCTCTTTGGTTAAGCACAGGGATGAGAACCATGAATGACAGTGAAATAACCACCCCCATTCCAAAACAAACAAAACCGACCTTGGCAACCTTAAGACTACCCGGGGAAGGGGGCATGGGTGATCGTGTAGGCTTTGTGTTGAAAATAGCCTGCTTTTGGAGCTGGGCGCAGTGGCTCACGCCTGTAATCCCAGTACTTTGGGAGGACAAGGAAGGCAGATCACCTGAGGTCAGGAGTTCCAGGCCAGCCTGGCTAACATGGCGAAACCCCGTCTCTACTAAAAATACAAAAATTAGCCGGGTGTGGTGGCGCATGCCTGTAATTCCCACCTACTCGGGAGGCTGAGGCAGAAGAATTGCTTGAACCTGGGAGGAGGAGGCTGCAGTGAGCCAAGATCGAGCCACTGCACTCCCAGACTGGGCGACAGAGTGAGACTCTGTCTCAAAGAAAAAAAAAAAAAGAAAATAGCCTGCTTTCGGCAACTCCCCTCCCTTCTCTCTTCCCATTGCTCCTTCCTGCTTTGAGAGTGGGTCTCATGACCCAACCTGGCCAGCACACATGATGCCTTTCCTTTTGCAGTCTGGAGCCTTTTCACATCTGAAAAAAATCTGAAAAAGGGAACCTACTAGAAGAAAAACTCCAAAAAGCAGAATGTGACAAAGAAAGTGGACTTTCTTCTCAGATCCTGGGGAGGCAGTATAGGTGTGATGTCTTTTTATGCATAAAATATCTCAGAAAGGCCGGGCACGGTAGCTCACACCTGTAATCCCAGCACTGTGGGAGGCTGAGGTGGGAGGATTGCTTGAGCCCAGGAGTCCGAGACCAGCTTGGGCAACATGGCAAGACCCTGTCTTTACTTAAAAAATTAAAAAATTAGCCAGGCATTGTGGCATACACCTATAGTCCTAGCTACTTGGGAGGCTGGGGCAGGAGGATTACTTGAGCCCAGGAATTTGAGGCTGCAGTGAGCTATGATCACGCCACTGCACTCCAGCCTAGAGTGATAGTGACATGAGTCACTATCTCACATGTCGTCACCTCTGTCACTCACAGGGTGACAGAGACCTTATCTCTTTTTTCCCCAAACTATTTTGTACCCAGATGAGAGACCCTGTCTCATTTAAAAAAAAAAAAAATCTCAGAAGGATAACTAAGACACTGAGAGCTGACCCGCAGGTGGTGGGTGGGGTGGGAGCGCCAGCACTCTAAGTAGGAGGGTGCATGAAGACACGGGAGCAGAGGGTCCCCAGCAAGCACACTCTGCTCGCCCTCCCCTGGCTACCTGGAGGCCCCACAGAGATGCCCTCCCCAACACCCTACTGTGCTTTACTTCTGTTTTTAAGAACTTTCATTCAAGTCTCCCTTGGAGCTTGCACGTGAGTGATAGTCAGATAACAGAACAGTGACAGAACAGATAACAGATAACAGAACACCCAAATGTGAGGAGGATGAGAACAGATGTGAGCCTCTCTGGGTCAGCTAGTTCATACACATTAACCCTAATCCTCAGAACCCTGGCAAAAAAAAAAGCTAGTATTAATTCCATTTTACAGACGAAGTGCCTGGAGTTCAGGGAGGGTAAAGCACCCTGCTTCACAGCCAAGGCACTGCGGCACTGCCCTGCAATTTCCAGACTTTCTGGTTCTAGACTCAAACCCAGGCTGTGCCAGAGGCCTTGACAGGTCCTGTCTTACATTCACCCAGAGAGCTTCAAGGATAAACAGGAGACCTGGTGTCCAGTCCTGTCAGTCCTGAACTACCCAAGCAACAACGACGGTCAAACGGGTCATAGGCTGTAGGCTGAATGGTTGGACTTCATCTCCAAGGTCTGCTCCAGCTCTAAATTGCTCTCTGGTTCCCAGAAAAGGAAATTCAGGTAACTCTTATAACAGGCAGAATGATACCCTCAGTCATGATCACAGAATGTAAATTCTGATTATAGCAAGAAGGCCTATCTGACTGACAGATCAAAATGTTTGCCAGAGTGTGTTGGTTAAAGTGTGGTCAGGAATACACTCTGATATTATTGGGGGACTACAAGTGGGTAGCATCTCTGTGGAGGGTAGTGCAGCAATAGCTCTTAAAATTCCAATCTGACCTAGCAATTCTACTGCTTCCTATTTCTTTCTCCAGCCCCCAAACTACATTCAGAAGAAACTGCCCTGAGTCCTTTGACCTTGCAGAAATCTCACTACTACTTGCTCTCCCTTTCTTTTTTTTTTGTAATTAACATATCTATTTGTAACTAATTTAACTTTTCCAAATTCTCATTTGCAAATGAGATTCATATAGTTAAAACTGAATATACAAACAACATATTAGGAGGATCAAAATTTACACTACTCAAACATGACTCCTTAAGACTGACTTTAACATGTTCTTTCAATTTTATTCAAATCAGATGTCCCCCCTCCAGCATTTATCATTTTAAAAAATGAATTTAATGCTATCAAAAGGTGATGTTCACTTTAATCCTGTTTGCCTTCATGTCACTGTCATGAGCCTTCATTCCAGACCACATACATAAAGAGGGCCAGCACCACATGGCCGGTGACCACGGCAACAATAGCAGCATAAAAACAGCTGTCCTTATTGGATATCCCAAGGGCGCCTCCAGATATATAAGATTTAGTTGTGAAATATAAATAACCCGATAGGAACAGTGATCATTAAAGCTGTGAAGAACAGGAGCGTCTTCAGTGTAGATGCTAATGAGCTTTCTTTTCCGAACTTAGGAGGCTGCAGTGCGTTCAGCGCCACTTTATCTGGGTGCTCCACAGTGTAGTTGTGCTGGCACAGGTGCTCGGTGGCAGGCTACTTGCTTTTCTTTTCTAATGAGATCTTAGAGGAAAGTTTTCCTATAAAAGTGGCCTACAGAACATTACTTATGAACTTTATTGTTTTCCTACATAATCTGGGGAAAGCAAAACAAAAGAAAACAAACAAACGAAAGGATGTGGAGAGATGCATATGCACGAGAAAGAAGCCTAAATGGAACTCGTACACTGGGCATCAGGGGTGTACCACCTAGAATAAGTGGCATTGCTGTTTATTTGTTTATTTTTCAGGGTCAGGGTTTTGTTCTTTAACACAGACTGGAATGCAGTGGCACGCATGATCACAGCTCACTGCAACGTCGAACTCCTGGGTTCAAGTGATCCTCCTGCCTCGGCCTCCCAAAGTTCTGAGACTGCAGGCATGAGCCACTGCACCTGGCCACATTGCTGTTTTTAAAGCACATTCAGCTGGGGTACCCCAGCTAGTTGCTCACAGAGCTGTGAGTGACTGGCAGGACCTGCCATGGTCACATAACTGTAACGGCCAGACAGATCCTTTCTGTGCTGTTTCCCCTTCTGCTTTCAACTCCCCCTTACGATAAGATGCACCGTCAGGAGAGGCAGCAATCCCAGGCCAAGCGAGATCTGGCTCCACCTTCCAACTCTCTGCCTGCCCATCACACAGCTCCCTCTCCTTTCCTCCCCATTGTCTGGCCAGGACTAGTTAAACTCTGAACAGAATCAAGGAGGAACTTTATTCTGTATTTTAATATATCTTAAAATATCTAAGACCTAATCCTGTAACAAAAAGGTTTTGGTTTGTTTAGTTTTCCTTTTTTTATTTAAATTTCAAAGGTGTACTATTTAAATGGTCAAACACAAAAACATTCTATTTTCTAACTTTTAGTATTATGCTGAGAAATATTTTCCCAAAAGACTTATATTAAATAGATACATTTTTATTTTCTTTTAGATTTTTAACTTTTTTTTTTTTTTTTTTCCCTGAGACAGAGTTTCACTCTTGTCACTCAGGCTGGAGTGCAATGGTGGGATCTCGGCTCACTGCAACCTCTGCCTCCCAGGTTCAAGCCATTCTCCCACCTCAGCCTCCTGAGTAGCTGGGATTACAGGCGCCTACCACCACACCACCACGCTAATTATTTTTAGTAGAAATGGGGTTTCGCCATGTTGGCCAGGCTGGTCTGGAACTCCTCACCTCAGGTGATCCACCCACCTCGGCCTCCCAAAATGCTGGGATTACAGGCATGAGCTACCACGCCTTGCCTTAACTTTTCTTTATTTACATTTTTATTTTTTAATCAAATCTAAATAGTATTTTGGTATATGGCATGAGATAAGGCTCTAAATTTACATTTCTCCAAATAGTTGAGTTGTTTCTACATTATCGAATATTTAATCCTTTCCCCCAGTGACTCCACATTTAAATTTTTATGAATACAGTTATTCTTTTTTTCACTTTTTTCTGCTGTATCACAGACCTCTATTCCCATGGTTATAACATACTGTTTACATGATTGTGGCTTTACAGTGTTTCAATACCTGGTAATTCAAGTTCTCTCATTAATTTTAGAACATCTTACCAAGTTAAAAAATTCCACTGGGACTGTGACTATGATTGCATCAAATTTATACATTAAATTAGGGTGAATTAATAAGCCTTCCCATCCAGAAACATGGTATGCCTTTCTAAGAGCAGCCAATTTAAAAATAAATAAATAGGCCGGGTGTGGAGGCTCACGGCTGTAATCCTAGCACTTTGGGAGGCCGAGGCGGGCGGATCACTTGAGGCCAGGAGTTCAAGACGAGCCTGGCCAACATGGTGAAACCGTGTCTC
The DNA here is from genome assembly GCF_000001405.40 of Homo sapiens. NCBI lineage: Eukaryota > Metazoa > Chordata > Mammalia > Primates > Hominidae > Homo > Homo sapiens. The sequence continues at coordinate 43,765,435 of NC_000007.14, read as the reverse complement.
TACTAAAATTACAAAAATTAGCAGGGGGTGGTGGCACGAGCCTGTAATACCAGCTATTCGGGAGGCTGAGACATGAGAATTGCTTGAACCCAGGAGGCAGAGGTTGCAGTGAGCCGAGATCACACCACTGCACTCCAGCTTGGGCAACAGAGCAAGACTCTGTCTCTAAATAAACAAATAATTTAAAAAGAAGAATCTTGAGTTAGTTCCTGAATTATTGCATAATGACAAATAACAGCTCAGGCTGCAGTGACTCACTAGAAAGTTGAAAGAAAAAAGTCAACACCTTTGCAGAAACAACTTGCTTGAAGCAATTTAAAGCAGGTTTCTCCTCCCCCCGTATCTACTGCAGCCGGTCTGCAAAACAGTCTTGGAGTTTGAGCCTTTATTTGCTTTGACTCCGAAACACAACGGGCTCAGGTGCACACAGATGAGCTATCTCTCTAGAGGGATGAAGAGCCAGCCTGTGACCCCAGAGAACAGAGTTCTAGACCTGGCTTGGCACCCACTAGCTATGTGATCAAGAGCAGGACACGGGGTCCCTTGTGCCTTAGTTTCTGCACCTTGAAATAGAAGAGGGGGCAGATGAACTTAGATGACCCTTATGTTCTCTTTCTGTGCTAACATATCACTTTAACCCACTTTACTTCTTTTTTTTGCGGGGGGTGGGGGGTTCTCTTTCGGTTTAACTTTCTTGGTGTCTGGCTTGGTTAACTGAAGGTTTTTAGCTTCTCTTCTGGCTCCGCAAGCAAACTAGGTTGAGGCTCAGGTTGCAGCCATCAAGTTCCCAGGCACAAAGGTTCTGTACAGATAGGGCTTTTCCTTGGTACTCTGCCAAAGAGAAGCCACTCTCTTCCCCACCCCACTTTCCAGCCCCTATCTGCTCTATGTCCCTCCTCTACCTCCTCCTCACCACTTCAAAAGCTTCTACCTTTTACTGAAAGTGATCTTAATATAACAGGAGAGAAATGAGATGAGGTCAATTACTTTCACTAAAGTCTAGTGTATTTAAACTTGGAAGGGCATAATCACGTTTGAAAAGAGCTGCTTATTAACTCAAATAATTGTAGAACAATGTGTAACTCTATTTCAAAATAGGGTTGAGAGCAGAACTTTCTGGAGTCCCATACCTGTTCTTGGGCACTGACCACTCCCAGAAGGTCCAGATCATAACTATGTTCCCTTAGTGCTGAAAGATGATTTCTGCCCAGCCGAGTGCTACAGGAACTGCGTACACAGGCACAACTCACAAGTGCGGGGGCGGGGCGGGCAGGGGAAGGAATGCAAATCTTCCACACGCCAGAATATGTGTGGGTCTAACTTTTGTTTCTAACATTTTAAAAGCTCAATAATTATGCTTTCAAAGATCTCTAGAGAGAACATCTTTCTTCAGCAGATCGAGATTTTTTACAAGCAAGATTTCACAACGTGTTATCTGCATCCTCAATATTAATTACATAAATAATTTTATTCTCTACACTGACTATATCATGTTCTTTCACTGTTTTGTTTTCCTTTAGATTTTTTAAGGCGCTCCAAGTTCTCAGATTTCAGGTGAGGAACTTCAAGGCCTTTTCAAAGTCTGAGGTTTTCTGAGTTTGTAAAAGAGAAACGGCTAAGTTACAAGAAAAATCATTACGTATAAATTTGACTTATATAAAATATTCAACTATTCACTCAGGCATCAGCAAATATTTGTTTTAGCACAACAAACAGCACACATGAGTTGAAATATGGTGGACAGAAAACAAACCTAAAGAAATCCTGTAGCACCTAAAAAGAGAATGACACGACATTACTTCATGAAACAGAGCCAGGGGTCAAAAGCAGTAGTGGCCCACGGGTGCGCAGTATGTGCTTTGTTTTTCAAAAACATTTTTTGCCTATTTCCTTTTATTCCCACAATATCCCTAAGAAGTAGAGCGCCCCCCGTGCCCCAACCTTCATTCTGCAGAGGCAGAAAGACATTGGATCCCTTGCTGATGGTGGTCCCTGGTGGTCCCTCCTCAGCAGGCAGGCTGACTGTACTCTTAGCATCCAGCTGGGTTTAGCCAGTGGAGGAGATCGGCAGGCAAGAAACAGAAAGAGAGAGGCTAGGGTACTTGTGCTCCCCCTGCCTGGTTCCTCAGGCTGCTGCTCTGGCAGTGGCTGCATTCTGTGATGGCCACAGCAGGTCTGGAAGGGAGTGGCTCCTCCAGCAGTATTCCAGCCCCCTCCTCCCAGCTCTGGTCCCCTCCCTACCCCTTCAAACCAGAGAGGGGATGGTGCCCACTGAAGCTCTTCCCTGTGTGCCTCACCATCACTTGTTGGCTCCTCCAATCCTGCCCACTCTTCTATAAAAAGTCTCCTTAAAATTCCTTTCATTTTTATGCTTTTCACTGTTGGGATTCCCAACTGATAAACTTGGCAGTATATCAGTTTGCAGCATCCCTGGCCTTTCCCCACTAGATGCCAGTGGCACATACCGTTTTCCCCCCAGCACGACAATCAGAAATGTCAGTAACAACTACTGGGTTAAGGGCCGGGCACGGTGGCTCATGCCTGTAATCCCAGCACTTTGGGAGGCCGAGGCGGGCATGGGGCTGATCATGAGGTCAAGAGATCGAGACCATCCTGGCCAACATGGTGAAACCCCATGTCTACTAAAAATACAAAAATTACCTGGGTATGGTGGCGTGCACCTGTAGTCCCAGCTACTCGGGAGGCTGAGGCAGGAGAATTGCTCGAACCTGGGAGGCGGAGGTTGCAATGAGCCGAGACCGTCCCACTGCACTCCAGCCTGGGTGACAGAGCAAGACTCCATCTTAAAAAAAAAAAAAAAAAAAAAAAGGAACTACTGGGTTCATGGAAATCACTAAATTATTGCTGACAAAGCTCTAGAGTTTCACATTCCAATTTGCACGTGGGAGAGATGCAAAATCTCACAGTAAATTAATAGCACAGCCAGGACTAAACAGCTTCCTTGGCTTACATTATGTTTCCCTTTTGATTTCAGTCTCTTTCCCACATGCAAATTGGAATCTGAAACTCCAGAGCTTTGTCAGCAATAAATTAGTGATTTTCATTAACCCAGTATTTCTCACCAACATTTCTGATTGTTGTACTCGGGGGGAAAAGGGTATGTGCCATTGGCATCTAGTAGGGAAAGGCCAGGGATGCTGCAAAACATCCTGTGATGCACAGGACACCTTCCTACCCCAACTACACATACACAAAGAATTATCCAGCCCAAAATGTCAACAGTGCCAGAGTTGAAAAAGCCTGGATTACACATCATGCAGAATGAACTACAGCTGTGACCTTCCTCCTTGTTCCTCCTCAAACGCCCTCTCAAGTATCTATTATTGCCCCAAAGCCAGGTGACTCACAGAAGTATGGGGAAGGATTAGGGAGAGGGTGACCCTCTCAGGTGGGGCCAGCTGCCAGCCTCAGAGGTCTAAGGGTAAAGGTAAAAGCAACTCTTGCCCTGGAGGGAGTTGGATACTTTGGGATCTATTGAGAAAAATATAATAGCTACATGGGACACAAGTCTGGAAATATATACATCAAAATATTACCAGTAATTATGTCTCTAAGTGGTGAAACTTTTAGTGACTACTTTCTTTTTGCTTCTCTGTACACTTTAAACTTTTCTATAAAGATTAGTTAACATAATTATTCAAAACTCTAAAAAACATTACAAACTATGCCACTTTCACTGACTGCATCCCTCCTAGCCCCAAACTGAACAGACTTTCACAGGGCAATAACATATCAAGGTGCTCTGATAATGAAGTCCACAGAAAATTTTCCCTATAACTGAGAATCAGGAAAGGCTCTGCTTCCTTCAAGGCCATTAACATTTGGGGGATCAATGAATGAATGAATGAATGAAGTTGCCATGTATGTTTTACTTTCAAAAGACAAGAACCATGTAACTGACCAAGTTTACCTTTCTAGAAACAAATTTGGGACTCAACTACAAAAATATAGGCCTGCAATGACCTATAAGGGAGCCGCTACACAGAGTGGCTATTGGAATATAAATTAATTAAATATAGCACATTTTCATAATCACAGAAAATTCTATTGGATAACACTGAAACACTTCATTCTTTTTTTCCCCTGGAATAGTTTCTTGTACTTATACTTTCTCTCATCTCAATTCCTGGCCATATTTATCTTCTATTTATTTGTTACTATTCTGTGATTTTGTTGCAAATGACCTTAATTCCTTTGTGGATCAATTTGGGGCATTGTACTTTGGAAATATCAGTGTGTATATATGTCACTGTTCCTGAGAGTTCAACCTTCATTTCTGACCATAAGGCAGATCTAGCAGCTCATGTAATGTAGCTATTTCCTCACAGCTCAAAGACGGAAGAGAGGCCGGGTGAAATGGCTCACGCCTGTAATCCCAGCACTTTGGGGAGGCCATGGTGGGTGGATTACTTGAGGTCAGGAGTTCGAGACCAACCTAGCCAACATGGCAAAACCCTGTCTCTACTAAAAGTATAAAAATTAGCTGGTCATGGTGGTGCGTGCCTGTAATCCCAGCTACTTAGGAAGCTGAGGAATGAGAATCACTTGAACCCAGGGGGCGGAGGTTGCAGTGAGCCAAGATGGCGCCACTGCACTCCAGCCTGGGCGACACAGTGAGACTCCATCTCAAAAAAAAAAAAAAAAGACTCAAGAGGACATTGTCAGGAACTAAGCTCCCCTGTCACAAAGGCACTATATTCAGTGTTTTTTTTTTTAAATACACAAAAAGGTATACACTGTCCATTAATGGAAAGTTTCACTATTTGATTAAAGCTTAATTTGAAGCTGAGTAATGCAATGTCTTTTTCAAATTCCAAAATACATGGCTATCAACTTATTTCTAAAATCTTAAATATATGATTTACCACAAAAAACAAATGGCCCAACCTGTTACTACTGATAAATATATGATCATGTCATCAGAGTCCTGGATACGCCAAAGAGAATCAGAAATGAAAATGCGCGCAGCTCCTGCACAGTGGGATTCCCTGTCAGCCCACGGTTCTGATGGAGTGTCGCCTCTACATAGAAGTCAGTGCAATTTTGAGTATTTTACCAGATTTTCAGTTCTAGAAAAAATGACTGGGAGTAATAAGCAGTGTAGATCAAAAACTAAATACAATTATAACAAAGATGAAAATTAATAGATGTGGCCCAAAGTGGCAAATCTTTGACTTTAATCACATGCTAACTGGATAGGCAGGGGGTACAAAGAATAAAAAAGTAAAGATCGGCCGGGCGCGGTGACTCATGCCACGCCTGTTATAATCCCAGCACTTTGGGAGGCCGAGGCGGGTGGATCACCTGAGGTCAGAAGAATTGCTTGAACCCAGCAGGTGGAAGTTGCAGTGAGCCGAGATCGCGCCACTGTACTCCAGCCTGGTGACAGGGCGAGGCTCTGTCTCAAAAAAAAAAAAAAAAAAAAATTACATATGAAATGTGGGAAAACACACTGAGAATTATTCCTAAAAAAGTTGAAGTATAATTAGAGACCCTATTGTAATTTTTAGCTCTCTGGCTACAGAATTTCCCTTCTGATACTTTGTCTAACATTTGACTTGTTTTTCTGGAATGCATCCCGTTAAGGGAAGGATGAGCATATTTATCAATACAATCTTTTAGGAAATAATTAGGAATATACCAATACCTTTATTTCCATAATTTTAATATCTTCTTGGGAATCGTACTATAGAAATTACATTAATGATGGAAAAACTTTCAGCACAGTATTGCTTCCTTTGTAGGTGGTGATGATGACAGCTAACATTTACTGAATCCTTCCCATGCTGAAAACCCTATTGTAAGCTATTTATGTTCGCTAAGTCACTTATTCTTCAGGGCTATCCTACTAAGTAAGCATTATGATTACCCCCACTTTTACAGGTGAGAAAATCGAGGCAACAAGAGGTTGGTTAACGTGCCCAAGATCAGATCGCACAGCGGTATAATAGGATGGAAAACTCCTATCACATAATGAACGTTAAGTGAAAAAAATTAGTATCCAAAACTGTAAGTCTGATGTCTCATTCTTTTTATAATTTAAGTAGTTTATAAATACCCTCATTATTAGCCATATTTCTGAGCACTTCATATGTAGAGTGCACTTTACAGAACACTGTCATGTAACCCTCACACCGTCTACGAAATAAGTGATAGTTTCCAGTTTCCAAAAACGAAAGCGGGGCTAGGAGAGGCCAAGTGCCTCGCGTGGCGCCTCAGGATTCGCCCCAGCGGAGCAGACCCCAGGGCATCCCAGGCGGGTCCCGGCCGAGCTAGCGGCCCTGCGGTGGCTACGCCCGGGCCCAGCCGCTCGCGCTCCTGGAGCCGCCGGACTACGCGGCACGCGGACGCCGAGCCTGCCCTCTTGGGTCTACATAAAAACCGAAACTACGGGCAGTCTTAACCGAAATGGAGACTTAATTTTTTAGACTGTCTTTTGTGTAGTTGAGAAAGCCCCTTGCCGGGACCCGCGCTGCTGGGCCTCCGACCGCGTCCTCACTCCGGGCCCGGGCGGGGCGGGGCGGGGCAGGCGGCGCCCAGGCTGCGTCCCGGCTCTGGCGGCCGCGGGCCCGGGCCTCCTGCGGGCCTGGGGCTTCGAGCTCAGGCCCTAGCGCTCTATGGAAGCCGCGCGCGACCCCCGCTCCCCTGCGCGCGACCCCCGTTCCCCGCGCGCGCCTCACCTGACGCGGGCACCGCTCTCCGTGCAGCCTCCGGGCGCCACCGGCTTTGCGGACCGGGGCGGGATCCCAGCTCCGATTGGCTGCCCGGCTGGGGGGCGGGGGCCCCGAAGCGGGGTGGCGGAGACCGGGAGGGGACCGGAGGCGGTGGGGAAGGGAGTGGACGGAAGGGGAGGGAGGGTCCCGGCCTCGTGCGGTCGCGCGTGAGATCCTGGCCTCTGTGCCCTGGGTCTGGCGCCTGGGGCCGTAAGAACCGTCCGTGCGCCTGCCCTGTTCTCTGCACCCAGCTTGGTGGCGAGGGGTGGGTGGTGGGTGCCGGCCGACCGGAGGGCGTATGGAAGTGGCTGGGCCCCCTCACGGTGTGCCTGGCCCCCTCACGGTGTGCCTGGCCCCGGCGTGGGGGGGGCAGGCCCGGGGGGTGTCGCATCTCTCTTATCCGCCCCCCACTCACCACGTAGAACCCACTGGATCCCATTGGTATTTAGTGGCCCCGGGCCGACTGAACTGGCGCCGAGGCTTACCTGAGTCCTTCCTGTAAATGTGAGGAGCGGAGGGAATATTCCAGGAGGCCGGTGTCTGCGATGTCCTGCTCTTGGGTAGCTAGGAAGTAGTGAACGTGGTCTAGGGAACTGCCTGGGCTCTTATCCACCTGGGAATGGGTTTGTTGGGGATCCTGATGTGGGAGAAGCCAGGGAGCTTCTAGCCTAGTGGGGCTAGGGGAGAAAACAGGGAGAGGGGTGGATTAGGCTGAAGGAAAGAGATCTCTGATCTTAAAGGCAGCGTTCTGACGGGTAAGGTTGACTGGCATTTTCCCCAACAAAGAGTTCTAGTACCGTATTCCATGACCTGACAAGCCTGTTTAAGTGAGGTTTTGTTGAGTGCAAAGAGAGAAGGCTTGGCTTTGAATTTTTATCTCCAGGCGGGACCTGCCTCCTGAACTCCATACTCCTCTATCCAGCTGCCTCCTTAATACCTCCTCTTGGATCTCTAAAATACATTTCAATCTCAACACATCCAAATCTGTGCCCCTGATCTCTTCCCCATAGCATCACCATCTCGATGGCAACTCCATCTTCCAGTTGTCAAGGCCAGAAACCTTGCTGTTTCAGAAACCTTTCTCTCACATCCCACCTCCAGGGCCCAAAAATTCTGTTGGTTGGATCTCCCTAGCATACCCAGAGCCTGACCACTTCTTACCTCTGCCTCCATCATCTGCTACCTGGGTCATGACAGTGGTCTCTTCCCTGATATCCCTGCAGCCTGTCCCCATAAAGCAGCCAGAGTGACCTTAAAAAAAGAAAGCCAGATCAAATTCCTCCTCTGCCCAAAACCTTCCCAGTGGTTTCCCAAACTCAGAGTAAAACCCAAAGCCCTGCCTGATCTGCTCCTCTGTTACCCCTACAACCTCATCTGCTACTGCCTCCCCACTGGCTCACTCTGCTCCAGTCACTCTGGCCTCCCTGCTATTTCTTATGCAAGGCAGACAGGGCTCTGCTGCAGGGTCTTTGCACAGGCTCCTGTCTGTTTGGAATGCTCGACTACTTCTCACTCTTCCTGATATTTTCTCAAATGCTGCCTCATTGAGAACTACCCTAACCACTCCATTTGAAATTGCCACCTGCCCCACTCCTGAATGACTTATTTCTTTAGCTCCTGACTGAATTTGTTTATTTAGCTTATTGTTTGTTATCTGTCTCTTCCATCCACCCCTCCCTGCTGCTGCCCCTTGGGTCATGATATGTCCTTTCTCGGAAAAATAACTGCCACTGATGAGGTACCATATTTTCACTGGCAAGGCCTAGGACATAAGCCAAACTCTGGGGTCTGATTGTGCAGTCACTTTAAATAAACCACAAGAGAAAAGAGTGATTCCCCAAAAGGACATGCTGAGTGCTGCTGCTAGGAGAAGGGATGCTGGCTAGGCAAAACCACAGATGTTCACTTGCTGAGTCAGACCAGTACACCCAGAGGAGCTTTGGGAAAGCCTGTGAGAGGGGCCCTCCATGTCCTTGAGAGCAGAATTTAAAGATGAGACCTCTAACCCCCTCACTTTCTTGTAATGATGTGTTATGAATGCATTGATTTATTTATCTTATCCTTCTAAAGTCTAGTTTTGTATTCAGTTTCTACTTTTTTGAGTAAGAGCTTCCCATTCTACAAAGTAGTGACTCTCTTCAACCTGAAGAACTTTGTGGGAGGTTGGGGGGACAGTAAGACTGCTGTAGGCCACAAGTGACAGAAACCCCACCCAAACAGATTAACAGTTAGGAGGTGTATTAAGGCTCCAGCTCCATTTCTGTGTCATTCTCTTAGCTCTTTTTCTCCTATGTGTAACAAGATATGAAAGTATAGATTTTGATTAGGACAACAAGATATACTAATGTGAAATTCTAGGAAGAGATCTCCAAAGATGTAAGAAAGAATCAGGCGGGAGCCACCTGTAATCGCAACACTTTGGGAGGCCCAGGCAGGCAGGTCGCAGCCTGGGCAACATGGTAAGACCCCGTCTCTACTAAAAATACAAAAATTAGCCAGGTATGGTGGCATATGCCTATACTCCCAGCTACTCTGGGAGGGAGGCTGAGGCATGAGAATCACTTGAACCCGGGAGACAGAGGTTGCAGTGAGCCAAGATAGCACTACTGCACTACAGCCTGGGAGACAAAGTGAGACTCCATCTAAAAAAAAAAAAATTAAAAAAATAATAAAAGTAAAAAATAAAATAAAATAAATAAATAAAAAGAAGGAATTGGAGAGTGGAAGGAGGGTTTGGTGAAGAAATCTCTGACAGAGGCCGGGTGCGGTGGCTTAATGCCTGTAATCCCAGCACTTTGGGAGGCCGAGGCAGGCAGATCACTTGAGGTCAGGAATTTGAGATCAGCCTGGGCAACATGGTGAAACCCCGTTTCCATTAGAAATACAAAAATTAGCCAGGCACAGTGGAGCGTACCTGTAGTTCCAGTTATTCAGGAGGCTGATGCAGGAGAATCGCTTGAATCTGAGAGGCAGAGGTTATAGTGAGCTGGGATCTCCCCACCTCACTCCAGCCTGGGCGACAGAATGAGACTCCGTCTCAAAAAAAGAAAAAAAGGGGCAGGCGCGGTGGCTCACACCTGTAATCCCAGCACTTTGGGAGGCCGAGGTGGGCAGATCACCTGAGGTCAGGAGTTCAGGACCAGCCTGGCCAATGTGGTGAAACCCCGTCTCTACTAAAAATACAAATAAAAAAAAAAAATTTAGCCAGGCATGGTGGTACGTGCCCATAATCCCAGCTACTCGGGAGGTTGAGGCAGGAGAATTGCTTGAACCTGGGAGGCAGAGGTTGCAGTGAGCCAAGATCATGCCATTGCACTGCAGCCTGGGCGACGAGTGAGACTCTGTATCAAAGAAAAAGAAAAGGCCAGGCGCAGTGGCTCACACTTGTAATCCCAGCACTTTGGGAGGCCGAGGCGGGCAGATCACGAGATCAGGAGATCGAGACCATCCTGGCTAACACGGAGAAACCCCGTCTCTACTAAAAATACAAAAAATTAGTCAGACGTAGTGGGGGGCGCCTGTAGTCCCAGCTACTCGGGAGGCTGAGGCAGGAGAATGGCGTGAACCCGGGAGGCGGAGCTTGCAGTGAGCTCCAGCCTGGGCAACAGAGCGAGACTCCGTCTCAAAAAAAAAAAAAAAGAAAAAAAGAAAAAAGAAATCTCTGACAGAGCTTTTGCTGTGCTGTGAGTTTACTTCCTCCCCACTGAGGGAAGCTTCCGCAGCCCATTTCCTTCACTTCATGCCTACAGGCTTCCAGCCATTTGGGGAGCTTGTTAGGTATGTTGGTGCACATGGAGACTCTCTGGTCACTTACCTCCCACCTGAAAAAGGCATGCAGTGGTCGGCTGTCAGCCCACACATGCCGAGGGGTCCCAAGATGCATTTGTGTTTCCCATGGATCAGATATGGGCCATGCAGGAGACAGTGCCCTTGGATCCAGTCCAGTAAGGCTGCCTGGAAGGGCAGGAAGCTGGCGGTGAATGCCAGATATGTAGAGGTGAGGAAGAAGTCACAGTACATGTACCCACAGGGAGAACTGCTGGAGAGAGGTCTGGCATGGTCATCTCCAAAGAGCTGATGAACACTACAGTCCAAAAAATGACATCATGTATTGTCATAGTCCATTCAGGCTACTATAACAAATACCTTGGACTGGGTAATTTATAAACAGCAGAAATTTATGGCTCTTAGTTCTAGGGGCCGGGAAGTCTAAGACCAAGGTGCTAGGAGATTCAGTGTCTGGTGAGGGCTCAGTCTGCTTCAAAGATGGTGCCTTCTCATGCATCCTACATGGTGCAAGGGGCAAGCCAGCTCCCTTCAACTTTTTTTTTTTTTTTTTTTTTCTGAGACGGTGTCTCACCCTGTCACCCAGGCTGGAGTGCAGTGGCTCATCTCAGCTCACTGCAGCCTCTGCCTCCCGTGGAACCTCCTGAGTAGCTAGGATTATAGGTGCGTGCCACCACACCCAGCTAATTTTTAAATTTTTTTGTAGAGACAAGCCCTTGCTATACTCCCTGCGCTAGTCTGAAACTCGTGCACTCAAGAGGTCCTCTGCCTTGACCTCCCAAAGTGCTGAGGTTACAGGGGTGAGCCACCACACCCAACCAAGATGTTGCAGTTTTGAAAGGATCTCAGGCAGAAGCAGGACAGTGCAGTATTCAGCGTGCATTAGCCTATTTATGAAATCCTCTGAGATACCACCAGGGGAGGGGGCCACTGAGTAAGGTTCTGCAAGTACAGGTAGAAATAATTATCCAGAAAAAAAAAAGGAGAATAAATCTAAATGTGAACTTATTTATAAGTACAGGTGAGGGAGGTTTGAAAACATGGTGGCACATGCCTGTAATCCCAGGACTTGGGAGGCTGAGGCAGGAGAATTGCTTGAAACTGGGAGGTGGAGGTTGCAGTGAGCTGAGGTCGCACCATTGCACTCCAGTCTGGGCAAAAAGAGTGAAACTTTGTCTCAAAAAAAAAAAAAAAAAAAAGATTTGGAGGAACTCCTCCTTCCTCAGAAAAGACTGCCCAGGAAAATCTTCCTTGTTTTTGAAAAAGGAAGCAGTGATCTAAAATGCTATTTAAAATGTTTACCAGAAAAATGATTCAACTATCTGTTTCATCATTTACCTCTCCACCCCTATTGGCTTCCTCTGTAATCTGCAGTGGGTTTTTTTAATTGACTCCTTTTGTTGACCAGTATTTTATTTTTCTTCTGCAAAATGTGCTAACTCATGCCAATTACCCACAGCTTTAGGATGGCACACCCACATTTTTTCCCTCCACCTGGGTGATAGACTCACCAAGAGTCAGGGTAGTGAATGGACTACCCTGAGTGGAATTGTGTCCCCCCAAAAAAGATACATTGAAGTCCTAACCTTTAGTTCCTCAGAATGTGACTTTGTGAAGATAGGGTTGTTACAGAGGTAATCAAGTTAAAATGAGGTTATTAGGGGAGTCCTACCTAGTATGACTGGTGTCCTTACGAGAAGAGGAAAGTTGGATGCACAGACACTGTATTAGTCAGGGTTCTCTAGAGGAACTAGACCTAATAGGATATAGGAGTTTATTAAGGAATATTGACTTACATGATTACAAGGTCCCACAATGTAGGCTATCTGCAAGCTGAGGAGCAAGGAAGCCAGTCAGAGTCCCAAAGCTGAAGAACTTGGAGTCCAATGTTCTAGGGCAGGAAGCATCCAGCACAGGAGAAAGATGTAGTCTGGGAGGCTAAGCCAGTCTAGTCTTTCCATGTTCCTCTGCCTGCTTTCATTCTGGCTCCACTGGCAGGTGATTAGATTGTGCCCACCCAGATTGAAGGAGGGTCTCCCTTTCCCAGTCCACTGACTCAAATGTTAATCTCCTTTGGTAACACCCTGACAGACATACCCAGGAACGATACTTTGCATCTTTCAATCTAATCAAGTTGACAATATTAACCATCACAGACACCCACACAGAGAAAATGGCCACATGAAGACAGAGAAATGGACTGATGCATCTGCAAGCCAAGGAGTGCCAAAGACTGTCAGCAAACGACTTAAAGACAAGAAGAAGCAGTGAAAGAGCCTTCCCCTCCAGGTTGCAGATGAAGCGCAACCCTGCTGACACCTTGATTTTCAGACTTCCGGCCTCCAGAGCTGAGACAATACATTTGTGTTGCTCTAAGCCACCTAGTTTATGGAACTTTGTTGGGTGGCCCTACAAACTAATGCAGCCTATGTATGCCAATGCCAGTTATATTTTTTATTGTAATTATATAATTTAAGTAAATATATAAACTCATTAATTAATTTAAAAAGAAGTTATTCCTAAGAAAATTAAGTTGAATGCTTTGGAAAGACTTGATAGAAGAGGATCATTTAAAAAATTGCTGTTGGATTAGAAGTGGGAAAGCAACTGTAAAATGCCGGAAGGAAAAAAATGTAGGGTTCTGCACTCAAAATACTCTGAAAGTATTTTAAAGCTCTCCTTTAAATAAATATTAGAAATCTTTGATGATGCCTAGTGTGGGTCATGCAGAAACGATGATATGAAACTCTAGGCCAGGTGCCATGGCTCATGCCTGTAATCCCAGCACTTTGGGAGGCCGAGGCAGATGGATCGCTTGAGTCCAGGAGTTCAAGACCAGCTTGGGCAACATAGCAAGACCTCATCTCTATAAAAAATACAAAAATTAGCCAGGTGTAGTAGTGCATATCTGTAGTCCCAGCTATTTGGGAGGCTGAGGTGGGAGGATAGCTTGAGCCTGGGAGGTTGAGGCTGTAGTGAGCTGTGATCATGCCACTCCACTCCAGCCTGAGTGACAGAGTGAGAACCTGTCACACACACACAAGCACACACACACACCCATGCCAACTTCTAATCATCAGTTATATATTCAAATAAATGCTTTGAATCTATGGAAAAGATTGACAATCAAATATGTATTTATGTGTTTTAGTTTAAATTATGTGAGGTATGCATGTGTCATTTTTTAAATTTTATTTTAATAGAAAAAATAGAGACAGGGTCTCACTATGTTGCCTAGGTTGGTCTTGAACTCCTGGGCTCAAGCGATCTTCTTGCCTCAGCCTCCTAGGGTGCAGTGATTACAGGCATGAGCCACCATGCTTGGCGTGTGTATAATTTTTTTTTTTTTAAGACAGATTCTCACTCTGTCACCCAGGCTGGAGTGCAATGGCATGATCTCGGCTCACTGCAACCTCCGCCTCCCAGGTTCAAGCAATTCTCTTGCCTCAGCCTCCCGAGTAGCTGGGACTACAGGCACACGCCGCCACACCTGGCTAATTTTTTTTTTTTTTTTGTATTTTAGTAGAGATGGGGTTTCATGTGTTGCCCAGGCCGGTCTCGAACTCCTGAGCTCAGGCAGTCCACCCACCTTGGCCTCCCAAAGTGCTAGGATTACAGGCGTGAGCCACCGTGCCCGGCCTGTGTATGAATTTTTAAGTAATTCTTCATTTTGACTTTTGTGGTTAGCTGATCATCTATGTGCAGACTAAATGGATAAGAGAGCCACTAATGTGTTGTTTTGGGGGTTTCAGAACTAGATATGAGTTTGAAAGTTCGTTCAAGGAGCTGTGCATATTGTGCAAGTTACTAAATTTTTCTAAGTTTCAGTTTCCTGATTTGTATAAAATGAGAATAATACCTACGACCCACAAGTGTTGTGAAATTAAGTGACACAATGAACTTAAACGGTCTAGTAGTATTAGATGTTTTTCCACTTAAAGTGGGAGAAAACTCAATCTAACATGGCTTAAACAAAAAGAGAATAAATTGATTTGTGGCAATAACGAAATTGTAAGGGAGCATTGGCTCCAGACACAACTAGTCTCAGTCCTGCAAGTGATGTCCCAGAACCTGGTTTCTCTGTGTATATCTGTCAGCTACTCCTTGTTGGCTTAATCCTTGGACACAATCTCTCTGGCAAGATGTGCACAGCAGGCATTTCCCCCCGCCTTATCTTCCTAAGTTCAAATTCAGTGGCAAAGAGTGCCTGTTAAAGCCCCTCTTGGAGCCCTGTAAAATGTTTTCTTGCATCCCCTTCTGATATGGTTTGGATCTGTGTTCCCGCCCAAATCTCATGTCGAATTGTAATCCCCAGTATTGGCGGTGGGGCCTGGTAGGAGGCGATTAGATCATGGGGGCAGATTTTCCTCTTGGTGCTGGTAATGAGATTTGGTCGTTTAAAAGTGTGCCTCACCTCCCCCCAACCTCTCTTGCTCCCACTCTGGTCATGTAAGATGAGTCTGTTAACCCTTCTGCCAGGATTGTAAGTTTCATAATGCCTTTCCAGAAGCCAAGTAGATGTCAGCTGCCATCACGCCAGCTGCAGCAGAGGCTGCACACTCCATAGAGCTGGTGGGAGCCCCGCCCCTTCTGAGTCGCAGAGGGAGCTCCCTGGGTCCCGATGCAGCTGCCCAAACTGCAGCTGCAGACCCAGGCCTCCAGCTCTATGGAGCAGGCTGGAGCCATGCCCTCCTGGGTGGGGCTGCAGCCACCCAAACCTCGGCTGTGGATCCAAGCCTCCCTGTGCTCTTGGTGGGGACCGTGAGCAGGTAGGATTTGCCCTCCCGGGTGCAGATGCAGCCTTCCAACCACAGTTGCAGACCTGGGCCTCCCACTCTAGGGAGCAGGCAGGAGCCAGGACAAATGGGACCTCCACCCCTTCCGAGTTGGTGGGGCAAGAGCTCCTGGGGCGCAGCTGTGGCCTCCATCCCAGGCTCAGGACCCGGGCATCTCTGCACCCTACACGCTCAGTGGCCCAGGAAGAGCCCCCCAACTTCCCTGGAGGCTGGGGGTGTCTGCCACTGCTGCCTGGCCTCTCTCCTCTCCGGGGGCCTGCCCTGATCTAGGAGAGGGGTTGGGGCTGAGCCCCAGGGCCATGAATGGCAGCAGGAGGCAGACAGCTTCCTGGGTGGAAGGGGGCAGGTCCCTGTAAGGCCCCTCCTTCAGGCCAGGGAGGGCCTGAAGCCTGGGGGCTAGGCTGCCAGTCTTGCAGAGTGGAGTGGGGACTCGGTGCCTCTTCTGGCACCCATGGCCACCCATGGACCAATTGGCATGCACGTCTTCCCCTCTGAGGTCCATAAAAGCCCTGGGCTCAGCCAGAGGAGGGCAGAGGGTGGGGAGTACAGAGAGAGTTGATGGGACAGGACGATCAGCTGCAGAGAGGAGCTACTCTCTCTGTTGAGAGCTTCAGGGACCTGCAGATATGTCGGGACTACCAGCTGCAGAGAGGAGTGACCCTCTCCAGGGCACCCTCTCTGCTGAGAGCTGGACACTCCATGGGATGACCTCCCTACAGAGAGGAGCTATCCCCTGCTGGTCTCCTCTGAGCTCTTCTAACAGTTGATAAAGCTCATCTTCATCTTGTTTACCCTTCACTTACCTGCATACCTCATTCCTCCCGGATGTAGGACAAGAACTTGGACAAGAACTTGGGCAAAGGTGCCACTGGCCACAGAGGTTTCTGGCCAGGCAGTTGACACCCCAAAGATCCCATAACACCAGCATCATGCTTCCTGTACAGCCTGTGGAACCATGAGCCAATTAAACCTCTGTTCTTTATAAATTATCCAGTCTCAGGTATTTCTTTATAGCAGTGCAAGAGAACAGACTAATACACCTTCATTCTGATTAGGCTACATAACTACCTCTGGGTTAATCAGTGTCCCAGAGGAAAGCATGATTTGATTTGGAGGGAGTAGGTCTGATGCTCCACACAAATCATGTGCACTGGTTGGGGCAAGGGAGTTCTCTCCAGAGAAACTGGAACAGTATTGAGAGCAAGGGAAATGGATTCTGAGTAGCTAAAAACACTAACTGTTCATACACTAGCTCTGAGGGCGATGTCTAGTAAGAAATCAGCATTAGCTGACTCTCTGCAGTGTCTTCCACCCCAAACCCTTAACTCCAGCTTCCCTTTTGGCTTTAGTGAGAGCACTGCCTTTGTTAGGGCAGATGCTCCTGGCATTCCCCCAACTCTGCTATTCCTTTTGGTTTTATTTTATTTTATTTTATTATTTTATTTTATTTGAGACGGAGTCTTGCTCTGTTGCAAAGGCTGGAATGCAGTGGCACGATCTCGGCTCACTGCAACCTCTGCCTCCCAGGTTCAAGCAATTCTCCTGCCTCAGCCTCCCGAGTAGCTGGGGTTACAGGCACCCGCCATCACACCAGGCTAATTTTTGTATTTTTAGTAGAGATGTGGTTTCACCATGTTGGCCAGGCTGGTTTCAAACTCCTGACCTCAGGTGATCTGCCCGCCTTGGCCTCCCAAAGTGCTAGGATTACAGGCATGAGCCACTGCACCCGGCCCCCTTTGGCTTTAAATACTCAGCTGTGAACCCAGCTCATCTGCCAGGCCAGAATGTGGCGAATCTCCCCGCATCCAGTCCTGCTCTTCCAACTGCCTGGCAATGTCCTTGGCTATTAGGGCCATTATCAGCCCATCCCTCCCACCCACCACTCCAGTTCAGTCCAATGCCTCCTTCAAGTTTCAAAGTTGCCTCTCAGTTTCAGGACATCAAGATGTGGTAAAGTATCAACTACTTCATGAATCTATACATTTAATGCTTATCCTTGATTTTTTTGTCTTTTCGAACTTAAATTTTAATTTTTGTCTAAACTACATATGGAAACTTAGCCATCTCCTATTATTTGGATTGGAAAACTCGACTTTGTCCACTTCTTTAAGTGTTTGTAGTGTAGTAGTTGTCCACCCAGTGAAGTTGGCTGTTTAATACAATACTGCCGTAAAAACAAGGAATCAACCTCAATATCTATTCTCCTGCTTTCGGTTCCCCAAATGTTGGCTGGACACATGCTGCCCAGAATAGACCATGTTACATAGCCTCCTTTGCAGCAAAATATGGTTATGAGATTAAGTTCTAATTGGAAGTATGCAAATTGATGTGACTTGTACAATTTCTAAGGCATTCCCTTAAAAGACAAGAGTGTTCCCTCAACTGCTCACGTTTCCATCCATTTTGGCTGGAATGTAGATCCAGTGGACATGGTGGCATGCTCTTTTGCCTTTGTGGAAGAGGGTGACACCCTAGAACAGGGAATGGCACATTTCTTCTGTAAAGGGCCAGATGGTAAATATTTTCAGCTTTATGGGACACCTAGGCTCTGTCACAGCTGCTAACTCTGCTGTTGTAGGGGAAAGCAACCACAGACAATATGTAAACAATGGGCATGGCTGTGTTCTAGGAAAACTTTATTTACCGAAACAGGGAGTGGCTGAATTTTCTCTGCAGGCTACAGTTGACTGACCCCAAATCTAGAACACAATAAGGCAACAATATAAAAAAAAAGTGGGGCCAGGTGCAGCGGCTCACGCCTGTAATCCCAGCGATTTGGGAGGCTGAGGTGGGCCGATCACTTGAGACCAGGAGTTGGAGACCAGCCTGGGCAACGTAGCGAAACCCTGTCTCTACAAAAAAAAATATAAACATTAGCCGGGTGTGGTGGTGCATGCCTCTAGTCCCATCCACTCGGGAGACTGAGGCCAGAGGATCACTTGGGCCTGGGAGGTTGAGGTTGTAGTGAGCTGAGATCGTTCCACTGCACTCCAGCCTGGGCAACAGAGTGAGATCCTGTCTCAAAAAAGAAAAAAAGATAATAAAAAGCTTCTGTCCCCAACACTATCAAGGTATGAGGGGTAGGGGAGAGTTAACTGGTCTTCTATAGAGAGATCTCTTTTGTTTAAGCCACTGTATTTTGGGGAATCATTGTTTCAGCAGCTGTATCTTAATAATGTTTTTTTTTTTTTTTGATACCATCAAGCCAGAATCTTCTTTTTTTTTTTTCTTGAGACAGAGTCTCACTCTGTTGCCCAGGCTGGAGTGCAGTGGCGCAATCTCGGCTCACCACAACCTCCACCTCCCGGTTCAAGTGATTCTCCTGCCTCAACCTCCCGAGTAGCTGGGATTACAGGTGCCCACCAACACGTCTGGCTAATTTTTGTATTTTTAGTAGAGACAAGGTTTCACCATGTTGGCCAGGCTGGTCTCAAACTCCTGACCTCAGGTGATCCACCTGCCTTGGCCTCCCAAAGTGCTGGGATTACAGGCATGAGCCACAACACCCAGACTCTTCTTAACTTTTTGGACCACAAAGCTCAGTCCTTCTCGCTCATTCTCTCTGACTCTGTCCTCACAGGACCCTGTGAGGTTATAAACTGGCTTGACTCCTAGAAATTCTCATGGAATCTACATAGCTCTCAGGCCACTCTCCATGTTTTTTTTCTTTTACCAACAGACTTTCCTGTGTTTCTCAGTGTATTGAAGTCTGGCTTCTACCTCTGTCCTCCACCATAACTGAAGATCCCTACTGCCAGTGTGGGCTTCCCAGGTGTCACCCTACTTAGCCTCTCCATTGCATCTGCCATGGTGACCCCCTTCTGCAGCCCCTTCTCCCCATGGCCCCCTTCCTTCCTGCTTTCATGAAGCTCTCCCCCGTTGCGTTATGCAGCACTAACCTATCCTTCCATGTTTCTTCCTCATACATCTCTGCCTAATTCAGCTTAGCCACTTTCACTAGTTATTCTTCCTCTGCCTGGCCCTCCGTGTTGACAATATGGCCAGTTGCACCCTTGGTTCTCATTCAGTCCCCTCCTGGATTCCCACAAATTCCTCAGGCTTTCATGATGCATCATATTCTAATGACTTCTGAATATGTACCTTCAGGCTAGATTGCTCTCTGAAGCTCAAACTTGTATGCCCAACTGCCTATTTTGTTCCAGGTGATCTTCTAAATCTGTCATTCTTGGGCTTGGCACAGTGGCTCACACCTGTAGTCCCAGCATGTTGGGAGGCCAAGGTGGGCTGATCACTTGGGGTCAGGAGTTGGAGACCAGCCTGGCCAACATGGTGAAACCCTATCTCTACTAAAAATACAAAATGAGCCAGGTGTGGTGGCGCATGCCTGTAATCCCAGCTAGTCAGGAGGCTGAAGCAGGAGAATCACTTGAACCCTGGCAATGGAGGTTGGAGTGAGCCAAGATGGCGCCGCTGTACTCCAGCCTGGGCAACAGAGTGAGACTGCTTCAAAAAAATAGAATAAAATAAAATAAATCTGTCATTCTCCTTTTGTTTATTAGTTGGAATTCTTCTATTCAGAAGAATTTTCCCTCATCAGCTATTTGGTTACCCTGAAATATAATATATATAGAAAATGCAGATGAATGCTTACTTGTTTTTCCTTACTTACCTATATTCAGAACACTGTTGGTGTTCTAACAACCACCAAAAAGAATCAGGAAAGTAGTTTCTGTAGTTAACACTATGAACTTATAGGTTTTCATATAGATTTAATGAATTTTGATTCAAGATAGTCATTATTTATTTTGATGCTCAAATTTGCCGCATATTTGGCTGGGTCCAGTTGATGTCTGCATTCTTTTAACGTGATTCCAGTAGACTTTGATAGCTTTCCTCCTTTCAGATATAACAAGATATTTCAGGTTCATTTTTCATATTTCCCGTTCCATATCTGGAGATGATAATTTCTTCAAAGAGCCCTGGTTTCTCTTGGAGAGGAATGGTATTAAAGACCACAATCCGGACCGGGCGCGGTGGCTCATGCCTGTAATCCCAGCACTTTGCGAGGCCGAGGCGGGCGGATCACGAGGTCAGGAGATCGAGACCATCCTGCCTAACACAGTGAAACCCCGTCTCTATTAAAAATACAAAAAATTAGCCGGGTGTGGTGGTGGGCGCCTGTAGTCCCAGCTACTCAGGAGGCTGAGGCAGGAGAATCGCGTGAACCCGGGAGGCGGAGCTTGCAGTGAGCCGAGATCGTGCCACTGCACTCCAGCCTGGGCGACAGAATGAGACTCCGTCTCAAAAAAAAAAAAAAAAAAAAAAGACCACAATCCGACCACTAGGGATATTCGTTGCTAATGGGTTATCATTATTTGTAGGACTTTTTAGTAAATACGGCTAGGATATTATTTGTTTATTTGTTTGTTTGTTTGAGACAGGGTCTTATTCTGTTGTCCAAGCTAGAGTGCAATGCTGTGGCCATAGCTCGCTATAACCTCCAACTGCTGGGCTCAAGCAATCCTCCCACCTCTACCTCCCAAAGTGCTGGGATTACAGGCATGAGCCATCATGCCTGGCCTGGAAATATTTATTTCTTTGGGAGAGAAAAATAAGTTAATTCTATACTTATTACCAATACTTTTAATTCAAAATAAAGACTACTAGGTTTTTATTCTTTGATTTTGTATTTGCATCCCATTTTCTTGTTGTGAAAATGTTGGTTCCCAGCAACACTTATATAATTATTTATTGTCTTTTATCCTAATACACACATATACATTAAATATATAAACTATTATAACATCAAAATGATAATATTACTCCAAATAGAAATGTACTGAATTCAATTTATAATTTCTTTGCAGATATTTTTGTCATGAGATGTATAGTTAAAATACAGTGCTTTAAAGTCATGATAATCATGGCTGGGCGTAGTAGCTCATGCCACCTGTAATCCCAGCACTTTGGGAGGCCAAGGCAGGTGTATCACTTGAGGTCAGGAGTTTGAGACCAGCCTGGTCAACATGGAGAAACACTGTCTCTACTAAAAATAAAAAATTAGCTGGGCGTGGTGGCACTTGGCCTGTAATCCCAGCTACTTGGGAGGCTGAGGCACGAGAATTGCTTGAACCCGGGAGGTGGAGGTTGCAGTGAGCCAAGACTGAGCCACTCCATTCCCAGCCTGGGCGACAGAGTGAGACTGTGTCTCAAAAGAAAAAAAAAAAAAAAGGCGGGCATGGTGGCTCACACCTGTAATCCTAGCACTTTGGGAGGCCAAGGTGGGTAGATTGCCTGAGCTCAGGAGTTTGAGACCACCCTGGGCAACATGGTGAAACCCCGTCTCTACTAAAATTAAAAAAAAAAAATTAGCCAGGCATGGTGGTGGGCGCCTGTAGTCTCAGCTACTCGGGAGGCTGAGGCAGGAGAATTGCTTGAACATGGGAGGCGGAAGTTGCAGCGAGCCGAGCTTGAAACATTGCACTCTAGCCTAGGTGACAGAGTGAGACTGTCTCAAAAAAAAAAAAAAAAGAAAAGGAAAAAAAACCCATAAATACATGATAATCTTTCTCCAAGTGTTTATACCACTACCTTTTCTTTTTTGCTTTTTTTTTTTGAGACAGAGTCTCACTCTGTAACACAGGCAGGAGTGCAGTGGCATGATCTCGGCTCACTGCAACCTCCGCCTCCCAGATTCCAGTAATCCTCCTGCCTCAGCCTTCTGAGTAGCTGGGAATGCAGGTGCGCACCACCACACTGGGCTAATTTTTGTATTTTTAGTAGTGACGGGGTTTCACCATGTTTCCCAGGCTTGTCTCGAACTCCTGAACTCAAGCAATCCGCTTACCTTGGCTTCCCAGGTGCTGGGATTACAGGTGTTAGCCAGTGCACCTGGTCCTAACTTTATGTAGAATTAGTCTCATTTGTTTCATTTTTCCTTTGTTTTTAGAGTTTGATGTTTAAATGTATTTTTAATTTAAATTTTTGTTTTAAATTATGTATAACATATATTTGGTTCCAAAATAAAAGCCATAAAACTTGGTATTTTCAGAGGATTACTTTCCATCTCTGTTTCCTTTTCTCTGTTCTTCCCCTATTTCCTATAAAATGGGAATTTAGGTTATTTCCAATGCTATGCATTAAAAACAATGCTCATGGATGTATATTTTCATATTTCATAATATACAGCTTAAAGTTGCATATTCACAGTAGATTCCCAGAAGTAGGATGGCTGTGCCAAAAAGTACCTATTAGCTTTGTTAGACATGGCCAAAATTCCCTTTCAGAAGAGTTGCACAAATTTGAAAATCCACCAGCAATGAGGTTTATTTCCCTACAGCCTCACCAACAGGATGTATTGTCATACTTTAACATTTTTGCCTAAGTGTAAAGTATTATGTCAGTTGTATTTTTCTATAGTGAATGAGTTTACACTTTTTTTCATATTTTTCATGGCCTTTATATTGTGAATTGTCAGTTCATGTCTTTTTCCAAGTTTGTATTGGATTTTTGGCTCTTTGTCCCTCAACTGACAAGATTTCTTTATAAATTAGGGATATTAGTCATTTTTACATGATATATTTATTTTTATTTTTGGAGACAGGGTCTTACTTTGTCACCCAGACTGGAGTGCAGTGATGTGATCATAGCTTACTGCAGCCTTGAATTCCTGGGCTCAAGTGATCCTCCTGCCTTGGCCTCCTTGGGACTACAGGTGCATGTCACCATGCCTGGCTAATTTTTAATTCTTTTTTTTTATAGAGAAGGGGTCACACTATGTTGCCTAGGCTGATCTTGGATTCCTGGCCTTAAATGATCCTCCCCCTTGAACCTCCCAAAGTGCCCTACAATACGTCATGTGGCTGCACCTACATCATATATTGCACCCAGCCACATAATATATTGTGCACCCAGCCAGAAGATATATTGCAAATTGAATATTTTCTTACATTTAATAGTTGTCTTTAGATTTTGTTTATGGTGCTTTTGTCATGCAAAATTTTAAAATTTAATTTTCTGTCAAATTTATCTTTTTTGTTGTTGTTGTTTGTTTTTGAGATGGAGTCTTGCTCTGTTGCCTAGGCTGGAGTGCAGTGGCATGGTCTCAGCTCACTACAACCTCTGCTTCCCAGGTTCAAGCGATTCTCCTGCCTCAGCCTCCCGAGAAGCTGGGATTACAGGTGCCTGGCACCATGCCTGGCTAATTTTTTGTATTTTTAGTAGAGATGGGGTTTGACCATGTTGGCCAGGCTGGTCTCCAACTCCTGACCTCATGATCTGCCCACCTTAGCCTCCCAAAGTGCTGGGATTACAGGCATGAGCCACTGCACCTGGCCAAATTTATCCATCTTTTAATGCCTCTAGATTTGAAGTCATAGTTTTAAAAACCTTTTCCTACCCCAAAGTGTAATAGGAATTCACCTATGGTCTTTTTTTCCCCTCTTACTTGTATAGTTTTATTTTTTACATATAGATTCTTAATCCATTTGGAGTTTCTTCTCGTTTATTGTGTGAAGTATGAATATGATTTTATCATTTTTCCAAGTGACTACCTAGTTTTCTCAGAACCATTTATTAAAATGTCTACCTCAGTGATTTGAGAGATGGCTTCTATCTAAATTTCCATATGTACAGTACTTGGGTCTATTTCTAGGCTTTCCATAATATTCCACTTATCTACTTATCTATTCATGTGCCTGTATCACTGTTTTAATTATGGCAGCTTTATAGTATGTTTTAATATCTAATAAGGCTACCCTCACAATTTTTCTTTTTCATTGTTTTCCTGGCAACTCTGGAATCTCTGCTTTTCCATATAAACTTAAGTATTGACTTGTCTAATGCTCTAAAATAGCTTGTTGGTAATTTCTTTGAGATTGCGTTGAATTTATAAATTAACTTAGGGAATTTATAAATTAACTCATTATAAATCTTTATAATGAGGTTTTTTTTTTTAATGGTGGTGTTCTAGTCTGTATTTGTATCTTTCAAGGGTGTTTTAAAATCTTTCTCATGTAGGTTTTGCATATTTCTTGATAAAT
Organism: Homo sapiens; assembly: GCF_000001405.40. Classification (NCBI taxonomy): domain Eukaryota; kingdom Metazoa; phylum Chordata; class Mammalia; order Primates; family Hominidae; genus Homo; species Homo sapiens. The sequence continues at coordinate 43,741,117 of NC_000007.14, read as the reverse complement.
TCAATCCAAGTATTTAATATTTTTTGTTGCTATCATAAATAGGGTTTTCTCTACCTTTTAGTCCTCTGTTTAATGTCTGTGTCTATGAAGGCATATATGATATGATCATCATATATTAACTTTATGGCCTGCATTTTTAATAAGTCATGTCACTACTTGAGTTATTTTTATCATTGTTTCTCTGAGGGTTTTCAGGTTTTACTATCATATCATCTACAAACAAAAATAGTTACGATTGAGCACAGTGGCTCACATCTGTAATCCCAGCACTTTGGGAGGCCGAGACTGGCAGATCACTTGGGGCCAGGAGTTCAAGACCAGCCTGGCCAACACGGTGAAACCCCATCTCTACCGAAAAATACAAAAATTAGTCAGGCGTGGTGGCATGTGCCTATAGTTCCAGCTACTTGGGAGGCTGAGGCACGAGAATCGCTTGAACCTGGGAGGCGACGGTTGCAGTGAGCCGAGATTGTGCCATTGTACTCCAGCCTGGGTGACAGAGTGAGAGCCTGCCTAAAAAAAAAAAAAAAAAAAGAAAAAGAAAAAAGAAAAAGAAAAAGAAAAAGAAATAGGGTTACTTATACATTATTCATTCTTCTGACTGATTGGATTTCTCTCTGTGGTGAAAAGTTACTTTGTTTCTGATCCTAATGGAAATACTTCTAGTGTTTCCCATTAAGTAAGATATTGACTTTAAAACTAAAATGTGTGTGTATATGTACGTATGTGTGTAAACATTGTCATATTAGGAAAGTCTCCTTCAATTCCTTTTTTCTTAAGAGGTTTTTTTTTTTTAAAAATAATGAAAAGGTATGAAAATTTATCAAAGGCTTTTTCATCATTTATGGAAAGAACCATGTGAATTTTTCTTGATATTGGACCAATGTTGCATCCTGGAATAAATCCACTAATTCATGGTGTGCATTGTTTTCTTAATGTGTTGTTAGATTCCATTTGCTAATATTTATGTTTCTGCATCAATATTCATGATATTGACCTGTAGTTTTCTTTCTTAGCACTGACTTTATCTGGTTTGGTATCAGTGTTATACTTGCTTTATAAAAGGAGTTAAGAAGATTTTCTTCCTTTTCAATGTTCTAGAATAATGTAGAAAACATTGGGACTATTTGGTCTTCGAAAGTTCAGCAGAATTTTTCTATGAAACTATTTAGGCCTGGTGCTTTTGGGGAGTAGTTTCTTAATAACATTCTCTACTTCTTTTATGGAAATGTTTTCTTATAACAAAGAATGTGATCAATTTTGGTAATCTTTTGTGCTTCAAAGAACACCATCAAGAAAGTGAAAAGACAACTCATAGAATAAGTTAATTTTTTTTGCAAATTATGTATCTGATAAGGGACTTGTATCTAGAATATATAAAGAAGTATTGCAACTCATTTTTAAAAAAAGACCAAGAGACCAATTTAAAAAGGGGTAAAGGATCTACACAGGCATTTCTCCAAAGGAGATATATATATAAGCACTTGAAAAGATGCTCAACACCAGTACTCATCAAGGAAATGCAAATATAAAACACAATGAAATACCACTTTGCTTCCAGTAGAATGGTGATATAGTTTGTATATCATCTCATGTTGAATTGTAATCCTCAGTATTGGATGTGAGGTCTGGTGGGAGGTGATTGGATCATGGGGGTGGATTCCTCATGAATGGTTTAGCACCATTCTCTTGGTGCTGTCCTCGTGATAGTTCTCAAGAGATCTGGTAGTTTAAAAGTGTGTAGCACCTCCCTCCAACTGTCTCTCTTACTCCTGCTCCTGCCATGTAAGACTCTAGCTTCCTCCTTTGCCTTCTGCCATGATTGAAAGCTCCCTGAAGCCTCCCCAGAAGCAGGTGCACTATGCTTCCTGTATAGCTTGCAGAACTGTGAGCCATTTTCTTATAAATTACCCAGTCTTGTGCGGTGGCTCACACCTGTAATCTCAGCACTTTGGGAGGCCGAGGCGCGTGGATCACCTGAGGTCAGGAGTTCGAGACCAGCCTGGACAACATGGGAAAATGCTGTCTGTACTAAAAATACAAAAATTAGCCTGTCGTGGTCGTGGGCACCTGTAATCCCAGCTACTCGGGAGGCTGAGGCAGGAGAATAGCTTGAACTCGGAAGGTGCAGATTCCAGTGAGCCAAGATCTTGCCACTGCACTCCAGCCTGGGTGACAAAGTGAGACCCTGTCTCAAAAAAAAAAAAAAAAAAAAAAACCAAAGAAAAAGAAAAAAAGTAGGTAAAATCACTCACATCTGCTCATCATAGTTGTTTTGTAAAGCATTGGAAAAAATCATCTTTCAGAGTAAGAGGAAGAACTGGAGAACAGAAATTTAGTGACAGTAGGTTTGCAATAACCTTGGTAAAAGTGTCTTGGATAATCTGACTACTAAATGAAGGAATTTATTAGAAGCTTTAAAAATCCAAGATGAAGATGCTACTAAGTTTCTCACAAAGTAACATTGGCTGTAATGAAAGCTATATCGTAACTGAAAAGACGGCATACTTGCCATAAAGTTACAGAGATGAACAGATTAGTGGTTGCTAAGGCTTACAGAGAGGGTCTGGCAGGAAAGACAGGAATTGACTGTGGCTATGAAAGGGAAGTAGCAGGGATCCTTGTGATGAAATTGTTTGGAATCTTAACTGGGGTGATGGTTAGATGAATAGAAATGTGATAAAATTGCATAGAACTACACACACACACACACACACACACACACACACACACACACACACAGATGTGCATATAAAACTGGTGAAATCTGAATAAATTCTGTGGATTGTACCAATGTCAACTTCCTGGTGTTACAGGATCTCTGGGGTGTCAACTTTTCTGGTCAGAAACCTCTGTGGCCGAGGCGCCTTTGCCTGAGTTCTTGTCCTGTGTCCAGGAAGAATGAGGTATGCAGGCAAGTGAAGGGTGAAGAAGAAGAGTTTTATTTAGTGTTAGAATAGTTCAGAGGAGTGGGTAGCTCCTCTCTGTAGGCAGGTCTTCTCATTGAGTGTTCGGCTCTCAGCAGAGAGAAGGCCCTGGAGATGGTGGCTTCCCTCCGTAGGCAAGTCATTTGAATGTCTCTGCAGGTCTCTGAAGCTCTTCCAGAGAGGGTGGCTCCTCTCTGCCAGCAGATCATCTCTGCAGCTCTCAGTGGAGAGGGTACTCCTCTCTGCAGCTGGTCCTCCCACCCTCTCTCTGTCCTCTTCCTCCTCTGGCCATCCTCTACCCTGCTCTGGCTGAGCCCAGGGCTTTATGGACCTCAGAGGGGAGGAAGGGCCGGCTGATTGGTCCATGGGCAGCCATGGGCACCCGGAAGAGGCACCATGAGTCCCCACTCCAGTGGTGGGACTGGCAGCCTGGCCCCCAGTCTTTAGGCCCTCCCTGGCCTGAAGGTGGGGCCTTACTGGGGACCTGTCCTTTTCTGCCCAAGAATCAATCTGCCTCCTGCTGCCATTCATGGCCCTAGGGCTCGGCCTCAATCCCTAGTCAGAGATCAGAGCAGGTGCTAGGAGTGGAGAGAGGCCAGGCAGCAGGATAAGACACCCCCAAGGCTGCAGGAATGTTGGGGGTTGGGGGAGGAAAGGGGGCAGCCACAGCTGCACCTGGGAGTTCCCACCCTGCCATCTTGGACGGAGCAGGGCTCCTGCATATCCTCAGCTCCTGCCTGCTTCCTGGAGCCAGGAGGCCCACGTCTGCAGCCGTGGGCATGGGCAGCTGCAGCTGCACCTGGGAGGGCAGATCCTTCCTGTTCCTGGCTCCCCCAAGAGCACAGGGAAGCTCGGATCCACAGCTGCAGTTTGGGTGGCTGTAGCTCTGCCCAGGAGGGCAGGTTTCCTGCCTGCTCCATAGAGGAGGAGACCTGGGTCTGCAGCTGAGGTTTCAGAGCTGTCCCAACTCAGAAGGGGCAGGGGTCCCACTGGCTCCATGGCATGTGCAGTCCCAGCCATACTTCCCGGCTGCAGTCGCCATGATGGCAGCAGTCACTGCCATCACTGGTTTCAACACTGTTGTATAGCTATGTTACCACTGCAGAATACTGGGTGAAGGGTACACAGGACTGCTCTTTACATTTTTTCTCCTAAATTTCCTGTGAATCTATAATTATTTCAAAATAAATTTTTTTAAAAAAACAAGATTCTTGGAAATCCACATAAAGTTTCAATAATTTTAGAAATTAGCTCCTCCTTTTTGTAACTCTGTGCTTTGTCTCAATATTTCCTTGGCTGGAAATGCTCTTCTTTTCCATTGCCTAAATCCTATTTTTTTAGGACATCTTCCAGGATGCTTTCCCTAATTAATTTTTTTCTTGTTCTTTTGTTGAGCTACTGATACATCTTAGATCTAATCAGACTCTCTCCAAATATTTCCCTCCCTTCCTCTCATAGGTGGATGGTGGTTGCTGCGGTGCACAGCCTAGGAATGAAATGCTCATTACCCCACTGGCTTAGGCGCTTCCTTCAGGAACTGCCTCGGTGAAAAAGAACTGTTTCATTCTTGGTCGTGGTTCCCTCCTGGAGTGGCTGATATACAATGTGGGGGTGTTAAAGTTTAACCTTTTGCTTCATTTCAGGACATCTGTGAAGGTCATACCATCTTCAGAACTTTTAATGTTTGCAGGACCTGTAATAACTCCTCCTCTTTCATATCTGATATTGTTAATTTGCCCTCCCTCCCTCCCTCCTTCCTTCCTTCCTTATCTCACGCTGTTGCTCTAGCTGGAATGCAATGATGCAATCATAGCTCACTATAACCTCAAAGTCCTGGGCTCAAGCAATCCTCTCACCTCAGCCTCACATCTGTAGCTGGGACTATGGGCATGTGCCACCATGCTTGGCTATAAAAAAAATTTTTTTTTTTTAGAGATGAGGTCCTGCTATCTTGCCTAGGCTGATCTTGAACTCCTGGCTCCAAGCAATCCTCCTGCCTTGGCCTACCAAAGTGCTAGGTTTATAGGAGTGAGTCACTGTGCCTGGCCGGCCTTCAGTTTTTGAGTCTTAGATGGCTCAAAAGGTTTGACACATGTATGTTTCAGATGTCAGCCAGAAATGTGGGCAGCTCATACATACAAATAGTTTGGTTTGCCTTCTCTCTGACTTCTTTCCTTTATGGGGGATTTCCTTTCTTGGATTTCCCCCCACTTTCCAGATGCACTATGTATCAAAAACTCTGGTTTTTGAAGCCAGTAAGATTGAGAGTAACAACTGGGGCCTGTCCTCAAGCAGAAAGCCCATGACAATGGGAAACCCCCTGGGTCCCATTCCTTTCTTCCCAGCATCAACTTCCCTCTGGTATCTACCTTCTTAGGGTGTTCTCCAGTACCTTTAGGTAGTTATTTTTTGTACTTGGTCCAGAGCTTTTAGTTTTTATCTATGGGAAGATTGGTCCAATAGGAGGTACTCAGCTCTAACTAGAAACAGAACTCCTTATTTTTCTTCTAATGTCTCTACTGATCTCTACTGATTTCTCTTCTTTCATTCCTGATATTGGTAATTTGTGTTCTCTCTCTCTTTCTTTTGACTGATCAGTTTAGCTACAGGTTTACCAATTTTATTGGTCTTGTGGGCGGAGGATCACCTAGGTGACAAGGCAAGAGACTAAAGGCACAAACTGTTTCAGTATAATAAAGAAAACAGTTAGAATAAGAATAGTCATAATACAAATTAGATATAGAGATGATCATGGACAATTATCAATCATTATTATAAACATTATTAATCATTAGCTTTTAATATTATTCTTTGTTGCATTACTAATATAACCTAGGAATAACCAGCGGGTATACGCTCAGGTGCTGAAGGGACATTGTGAGAAGTGACCTAGAAGGCAAGAGGTGAGCCCTCTGTCACGCCTGCATAATGGCCGCTTGAGGGTTCCTTGGTCAAGCGGTAATGCCAGTGTCTGGGAAGGCACCTGTTACTTAGCAGACTGTGAAAGGGAGTCTCCTTTCCTTGGAGGAGTCAGGGAACACTCTGCTCCACCAGCTTCTTGTGGAAGGCTGGATATTATCCAGGCCTGCCCGCAGTCATCCGGAGGCCTAAACCCCTCCCTGTGGTGCTGTGTTTCAACGGTCATGCTCCTTGTCTACTTTGATGTTCCTCCCATACTCCTGGTTCCTCTTTGAAGTTCGTAGTAGATAGCAGTAGAAGAAATAGTGAAAGTCTTAAAGTCTTTGATCTTTCTTATAAGTGCATAGAAGAAAACGCTGACGTATGCTGCCTTCTCTCTCTCTCTGCTTTGGCTACCTAAGAGGGAAGGGCCCCCTGTCCTATGATCATGTGACTTGCTTCACGTTGTCAACCACTTAGAAGATTCACCCTCCTTACCCTGCCCCCTTGTCTTGTATGCAATAAATATCAGCGAGCCCAGCCGTTCAGGGCCACTACCGGTCTCCGCATCTTGATGGTAGTGGTCCCCCGGGCCCAGCTGCTTTCTCTTTATCTCTTTGTCTTGTGTCTTTATTTATTACAATCTCTTGTCTCCGCACATGGGGAGAACACCCGCTAAGCCCCGTAGGGCTAGACCCTACAGGTCTTTTAAAAAAACCAGCTTTTTTAGCTGGGTGCAGTGTTGAGTGCCTGTAATCCCCAGCTACTCCAAAGACTGAGGTGGGAGGATTGCTTGAGCCCAGAAGTTTGTGACCAGCCTAGGAAACATAGCAAGACTTCATCTCAAAAATAAATAAACTGAAAAAAGAACTAGCTCTTTTACTTAATTGATTTCCAAAATTATCTTTATTATTTCATTTTCTATTATTTTTAATTTTCCCCCCAATTTCTTAAAGTGGAAGCTAAAATAATTTAACTTATACTTTTTCTTTTCTTATATTTTTATTCCTTATATTAAGAATGCAATGCTATAATTTTCCTCTCTAAAGCACTACTTTAACTGCATTCAATGCCTTTTGATATATATTTTTATTTTTATTCACTTCAAAATACGCCTGTTTCCTTTACCATTACTTCTTTGACCCATGAGTCAAAATGTATACTTAATTTCAAAAGAAGTGTGTTACTTAATTTCAAAATATTTGTGTTTTCCAGATATCTGTTACTAATTTATAATTATGGTAAGACAAAAAACTTTATACAATTTCAATGTATTTAAGTTTATCAATGTTTATGAACTGGCATAAAAATATTCTACACACTTAAAAGGTGCATTTAGCTATTTATGGAGTGTTCTATAAATATTAAACAGGTCAAGTTGGTTAATAGTGTTGCTCCAGTTTTTTATGCACTTACTGATTTTTTGGTCTAGTTTTTCTATTAATTGCTGAGAGATGAATGTTAAAATCTCCACTACAATTTTCAATTTTTCTTTTCTTTTTTCTTCTTTTTTTTAGATGGAGTCTCACTCTGTCACCCAGGCTGGAGTGCAGTGCTGCAATCTCGGCTCACTGCAACCTCTACCTCCTGGGTTCAAGCAATTCTCCTGCCTCAGCCTCCTGAGTAGCTGGGATTACAGGTGCACGCCATCATGCCAGGCCGATTTTTGTATTTTTAGAAGAGACAGGGTTTCACCCTGTTGGTCAGGCTGGTCTTGAACTCCTGACCTCGCGATCCGTCCACCTTGGCCTCTCAAAGTGCTGGGACTACAGGTGTGAACCACCGCACCCAGCCTACAATTTCCAATTTTTTGAATTGTCCTGTCAGTCTTTGCTTCACATTTATTGAAGCTCTGCTATTAGTTCCAAACAATTTTTTTTATTTTGAGACGGAGTCTCGCTCTGTTGCCCAGGCTGGAGTGCAGTGGCACGATCTCGGCTCACTGCAACCTCTGCCTCCCAGGTTCAAGCGATTCTACTGCCTCAGCCTCCTGAGTAGATGGGATTACAGATGCGCACCACGACGCCTGGCCAATTTTTGTATTTTTAGTAGAGATGGGGTTTCACTATGTTGGTCACACTGGTCTCGAACTCCTGACCTCGTGATCCGCCTGCCTTAGCCTCCCACAGTGCTGGGATTACAGGCGTGAGCCACTGCGCCTGGCCAGATTCATACAAATTTAAGACTGTTATATCTTCTTGATGATCTAACCCAATTATTATAAAATGTCCTTTATTTTTTGCAATCAGCATATTTGAACAGCTACAATTTCCTATAACAAAATTATAGGAGGTGCACATTATTTCCTATAACAAACATGTAGAGCATGTGCTTGGAGTACATGTAAAAGCAAACACAAAAGCAAAAAACAAAAAACATGTAGAGCAAGCATTAACTTTACATTAAACAGGACATATTGTAAGAGATAAATAACTTTTTCAGGGTTAAAAATCAGGATATCACAGGTGAATTTCTTGTAAACAAACTAGGCAGGACTGAATTTCATGCTGGTAGTAAGATAAGCAAGAAAGGACATTCATACCAACCTAGCTAATGTTAATTTTCTCAGTGTCTTTGAGGTAAATACTGTCTAACTTTTACTTATTTTTATGACAGGACATTATGGCACGCTCAATGCTTTGTTTTCTCAAAGCTCTTATGCCAAAATTTTCTTCTTTCTCTCAATAGGTGGATAGTTCCTTAACATGATAAAAGATGTCTACTTCAGTCCTTAAAACCAGCATCATGCTTAATGGGAAAATTCTAAAGATATCTCATTAAAGATAGGAATAAGACATAAAAGTCTACTGTCATTATTATTATTAAATATTTTACTGGAGATACTAGCCAAAACAATTAGATATGAGAAAGTAGAGGTATAAAACTTGGAAAGAAGTAGGTAAAACTATTTCAATGATAAGATTGCAATCTTAGAAATTCTACCAGAATGAACTCCAAACAATAAAGCAACTTAGTAAGGCAGTGGATCACAATATTAATATGCAGGAAATGATACTTTCATGTATACATACAACTACGATGTGTAGTAACCTCATTCAGATTTGATAGTTATAGGATCCTGCTGCTCTTGAGTGAATCTCAAAGCAGCCATTTAACCACTTAACAGTAGCCCTCATACAGCATTATAGTCAGCCCCTCCTCTCTTCACCTCCTACCCCTTCCCTGGCTCCTTAGTTTAAAAGTATCAAAACAGACCCTTTCTTTAAATATATAGAAAAAGAGAGGTAGAATGTGTATTTTGATGGGTAATTTTGGCTATAAGAAACAGAATCCCTGACTTAAGGTGAGTTAATAATAACTAAAATTTATTAAGCACTTAAAATACTTACAATATGACCAGCACTATTTTAACCCATTTAATCTTTATGGCATCTCTATCAGAAAACAGTAAGGATCCCAGCACTCTGGGAGGCCAAGGTGGGTGGATCACTGAGGTCAGGAGTTCAAGAGAAGCCTGGCCAACATGGTGAAACCCCTTCTCTACTAAAAATACAAAAATTAGCCAGGCGTGGCAGTGCATGCCTGTAGTTACAGCTACTTGGGAGGCTGAAGCAGGAGAATTGCTTGAACCCGGGAGGCAGAGGTTGCAGTGAGCTGAGATCATGCCACTGCATTCCTGCCTGGGCGACAGAGTGAGACTCAGTCTCAGAAAAACAGAAAACAAAAACAATAAGGAAACTTATTAGACATTCCTACAAGGCATTCAGATACAGGGTGAGCTCCAGGTTTGGAATGATGTCACCAAGGACATTGTTTTATAACTTGTTCAGTTGTCCTCAGCATTGGTCCATCAGTTTTATTCCTTGTGATGGGCAAGATGGCTACTAATGACAGTGTGGGATAGATGTTTCGACGTCAAGAGGACAGTATATCAGAAACTTTCTCCTGAGCATGAAATAGAGGTCCTTTCCTTCAGTCAGATTGCGCCAACCTGGGTCATATACTCGTTCCTTGATTAGCAACTATTTCCAAAAAAATTCTGTGTGAAGACTGGTTTAATCAGTATCATTTTGATTCTGGGAACAGGGCAGCTATCTGAATAAAATAAGGATTTTGGTACAAAGGAGTTAGAGGAAAATGAATATTGGATAGGTAACATTATTCACTATAGAGTTTTGTTTTTAATGTAAAATTTAGACGACAAAAAAATTCTGTGTGATGACTGGTTTAATCAGTATCATTTTGATTCTGGGAACAGGGCAGCTATCTGAATAAAATAAGGATTTTGGTACAAAGGAGTTAGAGGAAAATGAATATTGGATAGGTAACATTATTCACTATAGAGTTTTGTTTTTAATGTAAAATTTAGACGAAAACTTTAGCAGATTTAAGTCCAGTGATAGAAATGTTAAGTTCTGAGTTTTCAAGCAAATGGTCAGAAAAGCCTATTTAATGTTTTATTACTTACAAAGTAAACATATTTCTCTTTCTGGTACAGAACGGGAGCTAATTGATCTCGGGTTCATTTTCATGAACGTTGTATGAAATGCACATATACCAAACCTCATAAGCTTTTTATTAGTTGATTTATTCTTTGAAATATTAAGCTTGGTGTAAGGTATTATAACCTCAATCTCTTTGAAAATGTAATAAGTCAATAATCAATGTTGCATCAATGAATATTACTCAGTGGATGCCTATTTTATTTCTTCTTTTTCTCTAAGAACCATTTAAATAGTCCTTATGGCCGAGCACTTCACAATCTGATTAGTTTCTATTAATTCTTTGGAAAAGAAACATTCTGGGAAGTCAGAATTCAGCGGTAGGTTGCTTTGATAATGTGCTCATTTAGCTAGTGGATTCCAGAGTGATAGAATGTATGTTTGGCAACCTAATTGTTGTGGAGGAAGAAAAGAACTTCTGTTAGAAGTTTTTAAAAAAGTTTAAAAATTGTTTTTACCTCATCAAAAGTTTGATGTCTTGTGAGTTTTATAGCATGCATAATATATTAATGCCATACATGACACATGTAAATATATATATATTTTTTCTGATAGGGATGTGTGAGCAAGAGTTTAAAGAAGAATGCCCCAGTCTAAAGTTAATTAGTCTTGGAGTGATGGCTTCGCAGAGGAAAGATACTGGATTTCAAGCTTGACATTAAGGTGATAATAGTGGTGACTATGGAATAATCAATATAAAAATAATAACAGCTAACAGTTACTGAGCGCCTACAAACTGCCAGACACTACTCTAAGTGCTTCACATCCTCATAACAAATTTATGAGGTAAATGCTATTATTATCCACCAGCCTTCTGAAATTTTCTTACCCCGTTACTCCCTGGTGTTAACTGGGTACTTAATTTGTCGAATAAAATAAAATTTAGTGCTGCCAAATTTGTCAGCTGAACGGGGCGGCAGGAATTTCAGTGCTAGAGTGGGGGGCCAGACGGCCCGGGGCTTCGTGTCCTTGGAGGCCAGCGGAAGCGCCGCATACCTGTGAGGAGCAACGTGAGCCGGTGGCTTATATTTCCTGGGCTAGTGCTACTGGACTGAATGCATTTGCAATAACCGGACGCAGAAAAAAAAAAAAAAAGCGGGGACCAGGGGAGGCGAAACCCTTCCCGGCGCGAGTCCGAGCGTCTGAGAAGCAGAAGCCACACGTCCCGGCGACCTAAGTTCTGGATCAGCCGGCCGGAGGACCCGTGTTAGCATTTACAATCCGAGGTGAGCTGAAGCCTCCGGTTGTCCCGGTTCGACGCTCTAGCCCTGCGAGCAGCCGACGCCGGAAGTCTCTACTGCTCCCCGCTGGCGCGCAGGACCGCGGGCATTTACCCGTGCTTTCCCAAGCCTGGAAGAACTCGTCATGCTCTTTGTAGCGTGGTGCTTCTGTTGCTCACAGGTTAGTCTCCCGCGGTATAAGAGTCTCCGTCTTCCCCCCAGCAAGAAGCGTTTGTTCCTGCAATTCGGGGGGCCGCCTTTGCGCGCGGGGTGCGCTGCTTCTTGGAGAGTTCCCTCACGGGTCACATCGCGGAGGTTCGCGCCGGCGCCGGGTCGCGGCCTCCCTGCGCAGCTTCTTTGGCACCTGGTAACCTTCAGTGGCTCCGTCCGCTCGGAGTTAGGAGGCTGTGTCGAGCTAACCTTGACCTTGTCCTGCAGTTTTTGCTGACCATCCCCAACAGCACACTGTAAAGAGTTAGGGTCCTCTCGAAGAGTTGGGACTGGGCACTTTTGTTGGTAGTGCTAAATTTCAACACCCTGAGGAGTACGCTGCCCAAATTATTGTAGGAAAGAATTACCTGGTTTAGTGGTTATAATACTTTTTGTCCCCACCACACTTGAATAACAGAAAAACCCTCCCAACAGGGGCTGACTGCAAAAGTGATTTTCTGTGTAGGGGACATTGGATGTATTTATGTATATATCAGTGCCTATCAGTCTGTATGTGTGTTTGGGGGTGGATGCTGTGTAATTTAAAAAAATCTATGGAGATTCTGATAATTTGATAACCTGTTTCTCCGGTCTTCCCCTGATTCCTCCCCATTCTCCCCGGAGGGCTATTGCTTTATTTCTGAGGTGGCTCACGTTTGGATAGAAGTAGCAACTCTCCGCTTACACCTGCACGTTTAAAACGCATATCAGATTGTGTTATTTCTGTCCTCAGAATCTTCCTGGCCTTCCCGTTGCTTTCAGGATAATACACATTTCTTAGCCTAACTTCAAGGGCCTACAGGGTCTTGATTCTGCTGAGTTTTTCAGTCTTTGCTACTTTCATGGAAAACACACCTGCAGGTACACTCATATTATGCTCCCACCATGCCAGTCTACGGTAATTTAATAACTTTAGATATGGCAAAGTTTTATATGGTTTACTCAAGTTTTAATTTTTGTTCTAGCATTTAGCCAAAATCGATTGAATTCATAATATTGCTAGGCACTGTTTTAAAAACGGGATAAAATGAAAACAAAACAAAACACAAAACAAAAGTCTTCAGTCCTTTAAAAAAATAAAACAGCTTCCTGACACATAGTTCACCTACCGTAGAGTTCACCATTTAAAACGTAGCGGTGCCTCACGCCTGTAATCCCAGCACTTTGGGAGGCCGAGGCGGGTGGATCACGAGGTCAGGAGATCAAGACCGTCCTGGCTAACACGGTGAAACCCCGTCTCCACTAAAAATACAAAAAATTAGCCGGGCGTGGTGGCGGGAGCCTGTAGTCCCAGCTACTTGGGAGGCTGAGGCAGGAGGATGGTGTGAACCCGGGAGGTGGAGCTTGCAGTGAGCCGAGATTGCGCCACTGCACTCCAGCCTGGGCGAGAGAGCTAGACTCCATCTCAAAAAAAAAAAAAAAGAAAGAAAACCTAAAAGTAATTAGTACATTAGTACATTCACAAAGTTGTACAACCATCATCATAAAATATGCTGTAATCTTCTTCACCTTCATTAGTTGGTTTAATTTTCTATTTCAGACAGACTCCAATAAGTTATTCTTGTATTCTTTTGTTCATGTTTAATATGCTGCATTCAGTTTGTGAGAGCCATATTGGAACAATTGAACATTTTCATCACTCCAAAAGGAAACCCTGTACTTATTCAGCAGGCTCACCTGACTTCCCCATCCCCACTCCCCATTCTAAGCCCTAAGCAACTATGAATTGACTGACTGTATATTTGACTATTCTGGATTATTCATGTGAGTGAAATCATACAGCATGTGGTCTTTTTCAACTGGCTTCTTTTACTTAACATTCATGTTCATCTGTGTTGTATTTAATAGCATGTGTCAGTACTTTTTTTTATTGCTGGTTAATCTTTTATGGGTATTACCACGATTTATTTTCCATTAGTTAGTGGACGTTTGGATTGTTTCCACCTTTTGGCCATTATGTGTAATGCTGCTGTGAACATTCACCTACAAGTTTTTGTGTGGACATCATGTTTTCATTTCTCTTGCGTATGTGCCTAGGAGTGAAATGGCTGGGTCATATGGTAGCTCTGTTTAACATTTTAAGAAATGGTCAGACTGTTTTCCAAAGCATCAGTGTGCATCTTTTTAACATTCGCACCAGTAGTGTATTAGGGTTTTGATTTCTCACTCCTTGCCAACACTTGTCATTATCTGTCTTTCTGATTCTAGCCATTCCAGTGGGTGTGAAGTGTGTGTCATTGTGTTTTCATTCTTTTTCGTTGACATGTAATAATTGTACATATTTAGGGACTACAGAGTGATATTTTGATAAATGTATACAATGTGTAGTGATCAAATCAGGTAATTAGTATGTCCACCACCTGAAACGTTCATCTTTTCTTTGTGTTGCGACCATTAAAAATCTCCTAACTTTTTGAAAATATTATGGTTTCAAATCGTATTTCCCTGATGGCTAATGATGTTGAGCATCTTTTCAAGTGCTTATTGCCCATTTATTTATCTTCTTTGGAGAAATGTGTACTCAGATCCTCTGCCCATTTTTAAATTAGGTTCTTTTTTGTAATTGAGTTGCAAGAGTTCTTTATATATTCTAGATACAAGTCATTTATCAGATATGTGATAGTCTTTTAGATTATGCTACCGTTCTTTTAAATGAAAAGCACATGAGATTAATTTTTTGTAGCCCTGGAGACCTCCTTATGGGTATGTGGCTGTGGTTTAGAGAGTGATGGTTTTCCAACAACTACGTGGGAGGCCAGGCCCAGGAAAAATGCTGTGAAAGAACCCGTGAGGAGCATTTTAAGACTTGAAAAATGAAGCAAGGAAAAACTTTATAATTTGCCATTCCGTATGGAGTTTTGTCTTTATTGATTTTTAGGAGTTCTTTGTGTAGGGATTTAAGCCATTGACTGTTAGATATGTGGCAGATATTTTCAATCTATTTAGTTAACTTTGTTTTATATTTTTTACTATATTGTTTTACATTTTTGTGTAGTCAGGACTTTGCCTCTAAAAGCCTTCTGGCTAATAGTTTAGGATATTGTTCTTTAATTATAGGAGTTATAGAAACTGACATAGTAGTTCCCAGTTAGTGTGACATCTGAGTCCCTGGTGGTATATTTAGCCTAAGAGTGTTCATTGTTTCAGACATTGTTGCCTCCCTGTCTCTCTGCCTTGAAAAATGTGCCATGATCTGCTTCAACTTTGTTCATTTAACTCTCTATTTTAAACAGACTCCAAGAAGTTATTCTTTTATCCTCTTGTTCATGTTTCATATGCTGCATTAGATTTGTGAGAGCCATATTGGACAGTTGGTCACCAAATAGTAGGTACTTTTTTCATACTAGCAGGCATTTATTTGAAGATTATTTAATGTATGCAGAGGTTGAGTGTAGCTATTGTGTTCTGTATTGTTTGGGGCATGTTGGAAAAAGTAGTTTTATAAAATCCTATTAACATTGTTTTGTATTTTTTTAATTTTGTTGGTTAAAAGGCAGTAGTAGTAATATATATAGTATATATATAATATATATATTTTTTGAGATGGAGTTTCGCTCTTGGTACCCAGGCTGGAGTGCAATGGTGCGATCTCGGCTTACTGCAACCTCCGCCTCCTGGGTTCAAGTGATTCTCCTGCCCCAGCCTCCTGAGTAGCTGAGATTACAGGTGACTGCCACCATGCCCAGCTAATTTTTTTGTTTTATAGTAGAGACGGGGTTTCACCATGCTGGCTAGGTTGGTCTGGAACTCCTGACCTCAGGTGATCCACCGCCTCGGCCTCCTAAAGTGCTGGGGTTATAGGCATGAGCCATTGCGCCCAGCCAGTAGTAAAAGTATTTTTAGAAACTGAGCATTTTGAGAATCTAAGGAAAGTGATATACAATAGCTTCCAGAAAAAAATTGCATCTCTCTGTTTACATATAATGGCCAAGATTTCATTCTTTCCCCTTGGCTTGATTCCAGTTAGAACTGTGTGTTTCTTGTTTCAGTGTTTTGTCTTTTCTTTTTTAAAATTGTGATAGAATATACATAACATAAAATTGGCCATTTTAACTATTTGTAAAGATACAGTTCAGTGCCATTAAGTACTTTAACATTGTTGTGTAACCATAACCACCATCTATCTCCAGAACACTTTTTTCTTTTTCTTTTTTTTTTTTTGAGATGGAGTTTCGTTCATGTTGCCCTGGCTGGAGTGCAGTGGCGTGTTCTCAGCTTACCGCAACCCCCACCTCCCGGGTTCAAGTGATTCTCCTGCCTCAGCCTCCCGAGTAGCTGGGATTACAGGCATGCGCCACCACACCTAGCTAATTTTGTATTTTTAGTACAGACGGGGTTTCTCCATGTTGGTCATGCTGGTCTTGAACTCTCGACCTCAGGTGATCTGCCCACCTCAGCCTCCCAAAGTGCTGGGATTGCAGGCGTGCGCCACTGCGCCCGACCCAGAGCACTTTTATCTCCACACACTGCACCCATTAAATGATAAATCTCCGTTCCTCCCTCTTTCCAGTCCCTGGCAACTACCATTATATTTTCTGTCTATGAATGTGACTATTCTAGGGTCCTCATAAAAGTGGAATCATAAAATATTTGTCCTTTTGAGTCTGGTTTATTTCATTTAGCATGTCTTCAAGGTTAATTCATGTTGTGGCATGTGTTGGAATTTTCATTTTTTTAAAGACTGAATAGTATTACATTGTATTCCATAGAACACATTTTGTTTATCCATTCATTAGTCGATAGATATTTGGGTTGTTGCCACCTTTTGGCTATTGTGAATAGTGCTGCTGTGAACATTGGTATACAAATGTCTGAGTTCCTGCTTTCAATTCTTTTTTTTTTTTTCTTTGAGATGGAGTCTTGCTCTGTCTCCCAGGCTGGAGTGCAGTGGTGTGATCTTGGCTCACTGCAACCTCTGCCTCCTGGTTCAAGTGATTCTCCTGCCTCAGCCTCTCGAGTAGCTGGGACTACAGGCGTGCACCACCACGCAGGCTAATTTTTATATTTTTAGTAGAGACAGGGTTTTGCTATGTTGGCCAGGCTGGTCTTGAACTCCTGACCTCAAGGGATCCGCCCACCTCAGTGTCCCAAAGTGCTGGGATAACAGGTGTGAGCCACCGCGCCTGGCTGTGCTTTCAGTTCTTTTAGGTATACGTATCCAGAAGTGGAATTGCTGGATTGTAGGGTAATTCTGTTGATTTTTTTGAGGAACTGCCCGTATGCTTTAGTGTTTTTGTTATTTGCATAAAAGATGAGATTTAAAGGAATTGTGTAATTTAGGCATGGATTATCACGTTTACCTTTCCAAAGGACTATTTCCTACTTGAAGGGGTGTAGGTGTTTTTGTATTAGGACTTGGAGATCTTTGAGTTTTAAAATTATTGCAATTCAGACTAAATAAAAAGTTTATCATGGATAGTTTTCCAAATTGTAAACATCTCTATGATCCAAGATTTTTTGGTTTTTGTTTTTTGAGACAGGGTCTCACTTTGTCACCCAGGCTGGAGTGCAGTGCCATGAACATGGCTCAGTGCAGCCTTGACCTCATGGGCTCAAGTGATCCTCCTGCTTTAGCCCCTCAAGTAGTTGGGACTACAGGCACATGCCACCACGCCGGGCTAATTTTTATATTTTT
Source organism: Homo sapiens (assembly GCF_000001405.40). Taxonomy (NCBI): domain Eukaryota; kingdom Metazoa; phylum Chordata; class Mammalia; order Primates; family Hominidae; genus Homo; species Homo sapiens. The sequence continues at coordinate 43,723,764 of NC_000007.14, read as the reverse complement.
TGTTGAGATGGGATTTTGCCATGTTGCCCAGGCTGGGCTCAAACTCCTGAGCTCAAGCGATCCGCCCACCTCAGCCTCCCAAAGTGCTGGGATTACAGGTGTGAGCCACCTTGCCTGGCCTTTTTTTTTTCTTAATGCTTTCTGTGTTTTTAGTCTTTTTGGGGAAATTACCCATCATGACAGACTCTAAAATGGAGGTGAGTTTGCAAACTTGTATAGTTCCAAAAGTCTGTGAATTATTCCGGTATCATACTACTGCTCCATTTGGATGCTTTGGCAATTACCCTGGTGTGCTGTGACTATTGCTGCTTCTGACAGGCAAGTTTACCTCCCTCAATGCAAATATAACCATGTCATTAGTTGAAGATTAGGAGATGACCAGCATTATTCTCTTTTACGACTGTATCATTCTTTTTTCAACTATTCTCCTGTTGTTGGAACTGCAAATTATTGTGGGTACTGCAATCCATTTGAATAGCTGTGACCTCCCAGGGATCACTGGGAAAATGTAGAAAAACAGACAACAGTGTGGCTCAACCAAAACTTAGAAAACTAAGATTGCATGTAGCTGCCAGATCCTGGGAACAGGATGGCTTAAGGGCAGCCCTAAGGGATAAAGGGTAGAGGATTATATGTGTTACACCCTTTCTACCAACCTCTCCCTCCCATTGCAACAGCTTTCATAAGGTCTCAGTTTAATATTTCATTATTACTTTACAACCCATATCATTTTATTAACAGCAAGTATATTATCAGGAGAGATGGGAGGAACTGGTATCTTAATGTGACTTTTGCTCTTAGTTTGGGTCTCTGTCATTTGGACTCTGGTGATCTTTTATCTTGTGGGCTCTTGGTGCCTTAAGACATTTGGCATTTGCAAATGTACTGGAAAGGTCCCCAGATGGACTTAGATGTTCCAGATCTCGTGGAACTTTGATGTCACTTGCATTCATAAGTGATCTAGCAAATACCAAGATTACATAGATGCCAAGCACCCAACTTTCCCTGTTTATGCACCAGCTTTTTGAGGGAGATGAAATGCAATCACATAAAGAATGTACTAGCTGGGCGTGGTGGCTCATGCCTGTAATCCCAGCACTTTGGGAGGCCAAGGCAGTCGGATCACTTGAGATCAGGAGTTCCAGACCAGCCTGGCCAACATGGTGAAACCCCGTCTCTACTAAAAATACAAAAATTAGCTGGGCGTGATGGCATGTGCCTGTAGTCCTAGCTACTCGCAGCTGGTACGAGGCACAAGAATCTCTTGAACCTGGGAGGCAGAGGTTGCAGGGAGCTGAGATTGTGCCATTGCACTCTAGCCTGGGCGATAGAACGAGACTCTCGTTTTGTCGTAGGGAAAAGCATTTCCTAGCCAGGCGTGGTGGCTCATGCCTGTAATCCCAGCACTTTGGGGGGCCAAGGTGGGCAGATCACTTGAGTCCAGGAGTTTGAGACCAGCTTGGGCAAAGTGGCGAAACCCCATCTCTCTACTAAAAATACAAAAGAACTAGCTGGGCATGGTGGTGCACACCTTTGGTTCCAGCTGCTCAGGAGGCTGAGGTGGGAAGATCACCTGAGTCTGGGAGGTCGAGGCTGTAGTGAGTTGCAGTGGCGCCACTGCACTCCAGCCTGAGTGACAGAGTGAGACCCTGTCTCAAAAAAAAAAAAAAAAAGTTACCAGAATCAACGGTGAATGTCCTAACTTTTGGTTATAGATTGTTCCTCTCATTGAAATGTTCTGTGCTAGGGGCAAAGATTGACTTCTGGTGTGCAATGGTAGTCTTTAGAAACACTTCTACATCCATATTTAAGTATGTCAGCATGCAGTATTACATTAGAATCTTTCTAATGTTTTTTGGGCTTCAAGCCTTTGAGCTATAAGTAGCAAAACTTTGAAATTTATGTGAATACTTTCACATTATAACTTACGACTTTTCCCATGGTACTGAGTATTTGTATTCTCTTACCTTGTTTTTTTTTTAAATTACCGTACAGTAAAATAAACTTTTTATATTATAAATTTTAACCCATGTACTGATTTCTATAACCAACACCATAGTCAGGATGCAGAATAGTTGCCTCACCTCAAAAACTCCCTAGTGCTATCTCTTCATGGTTAAATCTTCCCCTTACCCAAATAACCAAAACCAAAAAGTAAATGCCATTTTGTGTTTTTATTGTGGGAAGCAGTTACATTACATCCTTGCTTTTCCTCTTTATTAGGGATTTAATCTAAGCATGTTGGGCTAGAAAGGATAAAGTCAACAGTCTCTTCATTTTTTTTTGAGAAATTCATAAACTTTCTCATGCATTTAGTGTTTAGGAATAAAAACATTTGGCTAGTTATCTCTTCCAACAGGTGGCAGTGTTGTGCTATATAATAGGATTTACTAATAAAGATTGTGGCTTTTTGTCAGCTGGACGATAATTGCTGTACATTTTTTACATCAGAAAATCAAGATGGTTAATTAAGAACTGACATTTAACTATTGAAATTATTTTTTAAAGTCTATTTCAAAATTCATCTTATTCTTGTAATGTTACTAGTAAAGCAGTCTATGGATAAAAGTATTCCTTAATACATTTGTATTTGTTTTCAGTGTTTGCAGAATTATGAATTAACTCTTTCCTTAAGGTTAACCTTTGTAGCGGGAATAACTCCAGTGTTGTGGATGAATCTGTGAGTAATAGAGGCTTATCAGTGTGACTTCAGATGTTTTATGTTTCAGCCTTCTCTATCACATGTAGGAATCCCTTTATAACATCTCTGGTAGTTGGTGGCATTGATCAGTAAATGGAGCAGCCATGGAAGAAAGATACAGGTTCTAATTGCCAGCATCCTGATTGTGAAGCCTTAATGGAGATGTTCAGTGAGAAATGATGAAGAGGAAGCTTGTGAGACATTTGCACTTAGGTGACTCATAGGTTTTCGAAGCTAACCCATCCAAAAAATGGATTCTCTTTTTCTTTATACTTCCAGCAACTTAATGTCTGGCAGTATATACTTCCCTAGGGACTGGGGCTGCCATTCATCCAGAGGCTCCTGAGTAATATCCAGGGTCACTTTAAGACCTCTCAGTGTTCTCTAAATTCTACCTCCTAAATATTTTCAAATATGGCCACTTCATCTTTACCTCTCTCGTTGCACAGAACAATGATTTTTCACCTAGATATACTGCTTCCTAATTGATCTGCCAGGATATATTATTACCCCTATTTTTCACACAGCAGCCATTTTTAAAAAATGTAAAATCTGATCATGTCACTCCCCATATTTTTATTCTTAAACAAGTTTGTGAGAAAGTTTGTAAGTTTCTGAAAAAAAAAGAAAAAGGAAGGGGACCATGTTGATTTTATCCTTTCTAGTCCATCATACTTAGATAAAACGCTTAATAAAGAGGAAAGGCAGGGATGCAACATTACTGCTTCCCACAATAAAAACACAAAATTATACTGAGCATTGGAACTCTTTTTTTCCTTTTTTTTTTTGACAGAGTTTTGCTTTGTTGCCCAGGCTGGAGTGCAGTGGTGCGATCTTGGCTCACTGCAATCTTTCCTCCCGGTTTCAAGCAATTCTCCTGCCTCAGCCTCCCGAGTAGCTGGGATTACAGGTGCCCGCCACCATGCCTGGCTAATTTTTATGATTTTAGTAGAGATGGGGTTTCACCATGTTGGCCAGGCTGGTCTTGAACTCCTGACCTCAAGTGACCCGCCCACCTTGGCCTCCCAAAGTGCTGGGATTACAGGTGTGAGCCACCATGCCTGGCCTTTTACTTTTTATTTTACGTAGAATAAACCCCAAATATTTAACTTGACCCACAACATTCCTCCCTCCTCCCTGTTCTGTGATGTGGCCTCTCTTCTTTCTGTTATAGTCTCATCTCATGCCAGTTTCCCCTTGTTCACTGTGCTCCAGCTTCTCTGGTGTTCTCTTTGCTCCTTGATTGGAGGAGGTGGGGAGAATAGATTCAAGGAAACCTGTTTGTAAGCAAACATACATTTCAGGTAATGAAAACAAGGCTTAATACTATATTGAAATATGTGGGTCAGGGGACATTTTCATAGTAGTCAGGAAGCCATCCATCCCTTTGTCACTTTTCAACTCCTCAGACTGAATCTAGGGATAAATGCACACCTGAGTACAGATTCGGTGTGTGGGGAAAGTTATGTTCTAATAGAAAAGGAAATTTAGAACTCGACAGTGATTACCTGTAATACTGTTAGTTGTGGATAATCCTTTATATTTGGTAGCTCTCACTTAGTTTGACTTTATTTTTGTAATTTCATTCTTCTAGCATTTCATTATTTATTAACTTTGATTTTTCTGTATGACAGCCTTGCCTCACTAACCACTTGGACTATACAGCCATCTGGGGCTTAGAGGCTATTAGTGGCATCCCTAATAAGTAATAGTTGTGCAGTCTGTGCTTGAGTTTCTTGTTTCCAAGGCAGTTCATTCCTGCTGGAGATAGTTTTATTTATTAAGAAGCTCTTCTTGGCCAGGTGTGGTGGCTCATGCCTATAATCCCAGCACTTTGGGTGGCTGAGCTGGGCAGATCACTTGAGGTCAGGAGTTCGAGACCAACCTGGCCAACATGGTGAAACCTCGTCTCTACTAAAAATACAAAAATTAGCTGGGTGTGGTGGCGCATGTAATCCCAGCTACTTGGGAGGCTGAGGCAGGAGAATTGCTTGAACCTGGGAGGTGGAGCTTGCGGTGAGCTGAGATTACGCCACTGCACTCCAGCCTGGGTGACAGAGTGAGACTCCATCTCAAAAAAAAAAAAAAAATGTAGATTCCTGGTAGATTGAATCTACTTCTAATCTTGCTCCCTGTTGAAACCCCATTAAAACTGCAGTAAAAACCCAATGGACATGGAAAATAGACAACATCAACATAGTGTAGAGTACTGAAAAGCCTAAGAATGAGTCGAAATTAACTGACACCCAAGACTTATGAATCCTGAGTTGGCAGAGGGAAAAACTATGAACCAATCAGATTTATCCTCTAAATCCTCATAAAGCTCAAGAAGTAGCAAAGCCAAGTATCTCTGAAAATTGAGGTGCAAAAGACATGAAATAAGGAAGATTGGATAATTGTTGCTAAGAAACAACTCTCCCAATGCATACTATTCACCTTGGGACAGATTCTGGAGGTTCAGAGCAGATGATCTCTGGATAAAGTTATGTTTCTGTATGGGAAGTCACTCCCAGAATTTCTCAGGAAATTTGTATGTTATTTTAAATCCCAAACCCTGAGGAAAGTTACTGGTAATTCCAAATTGGGAAAACAGAATCATTTTCATGAGAATTAAAGATCTGTGGTCAATAGTATTAGATGTGATTGGTTCTTAGAGCTCCACTGATGTCAAGTGGAAAGCAAGAGCAGGACATGCTGACACCGACTAAAACCTTAAGTTGTACATCTCTGGGAGCTGAGACAAGAGCATCTAGGAGATAAGCTTGTGATCTAGACAGCCAGTCTCATAGCTGTTGCCATCTTATAAATAAATGTGTTTTTATACTCTATCTGCTGCTAACAGTTATTCTTACAAATAAATAATAATACATTTGTATGCATAGTCCACTTCATATAAACGCTATTAGTGGTGTTTCAAGAAATAAAAAATTTGAAAGCAAAATAAGTCCTAAAGTTGGCAGTACAATATATTATTCTGTATGGTAGTATATTAGTCCGTTTTCACACTGCTGATAAAGACATACCTGAGACTGGGCAATTTACAAAAGAAAGAGGTTTAACTGGACTTACTGTCTCATGTGGCTGGGGAATCCTCACAGTCATGGTGGAAGGCAAAGAGGAGCAAGTCCTGTCTTACATAGATGGCAGCAGGCAAAGAGAGAATGAGAAAGATGCAAAGTGGAAACCCTTGATAAAACCATCAGATCTTGTGAGACTTATTCACTACCACAAGAAAAGTATGGGGGAAACCGCCCCCATGATTCAGTTATCTCCCATTGGGTCCCTCCCACAACACATGGGAATTATAGGAGTACAATTCAAGATGAGATTTGAATAGGGACATAGAGCCAAACCATATTGTTCCCCCCCCGGCCCCTGCCAAATCTCATGTCCTCACATTTCAAAACCAATCATGCCTTCCCGACAGTCCCCCAAAATCTTAACTCATTTCAGCATTAACCCAAAAGTTCACAGTTCAAAGTTTCATCTGAGACAAGGCAAGTCCCTTCTGCCTATAAGCCCGTAAAATCAAATGCAACCTAATTACTCCCTAGATAGAATGGGTTTACAGGTATTGGGTAAATATAGTCATTCCAAATAGGAGAAATTGGCCAAAACAAAGGGGTTTCAGGGCCCATGCAAGTCTGAAATCCAGCGGGGCAGTCAAATTTTAAAGCTCCAAAATGATCTCCTTTGACTCCAGGTCTCACATCTGGGTCATGCTGTTGGAGCTGCCTATGGTCTTGGGTAGCTCCACCCCTGTGGCTTTGCAGGGCATAGCCTCCCTCCAGGCTGCTTTCATAGGCTGGCATTGAGTGTCTGTGACTTTTCCAGGTGGATGGTGCAAGCTGTCAGTGGATCTACCATTCTGGGGTCTGGAGGATGGTGGCCCTCTTCTCACAGCTTCACTAGGTAGTGCCCCAGTAGGGACTCTGTGTGGGGGCTCCAACCCCACATTTTCCTTCTGCACTGCCCTAGCAGAGGTTCTCCATGAGGGCCCCACCCCGCAGCAGACTTTTGCCTGGGCTTCCATACATTTCCATACATCTTCTGAAATCTAGGTGGAGGTTCCCAAACCTCAGTTCTTAGCTTCTGTGTGCCTGTAGACTCACCACCATGTGGAAGCTGCCAAGGTTGAGGCTTCCACTCTCTGAAGCCACAACCCAAGCTCTGCATTGGCCCCTTTCAGCCACAGCTGGAGTAGCTGGGACACAGGGCACCAAGTTCCTAGGCTGCACACAGCATGGGGACCTTGGGCCTGGACCACAAAACCACTTTTTCCTCCTGGGCCTCTCGTCCTGTGATGGGAGGGGCTGCCGTGAAAGTCTCTGACATGGCCTGGATACATTTTCCCCATGGTCTTGGTGATTAACATTGGGCTCCCTGCTACTTTTGCAAATTTCTGCAGCCAGCTTGAATTTCTCCTCATAAAATGGGCTTTTCTTTCCTATCACATTGTCAGGCTGTAAATTTTCTGAACTTTTATGCCCTGTTTCCCTTTTAAAATGGAATGCTTTTAACAGCACCCAAGTTACCTTTTGAATGCTTTGCTGCTTAGAAATTTCTTCTGCTAGATACCCTAAAAATCATCTCTCTCAAGTTCTAAGTTCCACAAATCTCTAGGGTGGGGCAAAATGCTGCCAGTCTCTTGCTAAAACATAACAGGAGTCACCTTTGCTCCAGTTCCCAACAAGTTCCTCATCTCCATCTGAGACCACCTCAGCTTGGAACCTTACTCTTCATATCACTATCAGCATTTTTGTCAAATCCATTCAACAAGTCTCTAGGAAGTTCCAAACCTTCCCACATTTTCGTGTCTTCTTTTGAGCCCTCCAAACTGTTCCAACCTCTGCTTGTTACTCACTTCCAAAGTCACTTCCACATTTTTGGGTATCTTCAACAACACCCCACTGCTGGTACCAATTTACTTTATTAGTCCGTTTTCATGCTGTTGATAAAGACATACCTGAGACTGGGCAATTTACAAAAGAAAGAGGTTTAATTGGACTTACAGTTCCATGTGGCTGGGGAAGCCTCACAATCATGGCAGAAGGCAAGGAGGAGCAAGTCCTATCTTACATGGATGGCAGCAGGCAAAGAGAGAATGAGGAGGATGCAAAAGCGGAAACCCCTGATAAAACCATCAGATCTCTTGAGGCTATTCACTATCGGAAAACTGCCCCCATGATTCGATTATCTCCCACTGGGTCCCTCCCACAACACGTGGGAATTATGGGAGTACGATTCAGGATGAGATTTGAGTGGGGACACAGAGCCAAGTCATATCAGGTAGTGTTATTCTTGCTATATTGTGTCTCTAAATACTACCCGTGTTTGTTGGTGTTTTTGAGTTTAAATATTCACTATAGACTGTCATCCTTTGTAAATACTTTAGGAGAGGAATTACAAGAGAAAAAGATATAGTGTTTTTGTGGGATACTTCAACATGAAATGAGAACTTGATCTAAAATTAGTGAAAGCAATATTCAAAGGCAAAACAAAAATGAGAGGAGGCAGCCAAAATAGTTAATCATTAAGAAGGTAAACAAGCTTATATGAAGCAACATACTCTTTTTTTTTTTTTTTGAGATAGAGTCTTGCTCTGTTGCCCAGGCTGGAGTGCAGTGGCACGATCTCCGCTCACTGCAACGTCTGCCTCCCGGGTTCACGCCATTCTCCTGCCTCAGCCTTCCGAGTAGCTGGGACTACAGGTGCTTGCCACCACGCCTGGCATTTTTTTTTGTATTTTTAGTAGAGACGGAGTTTCACCAAGCAACATACCCTTAACATTCAATTTAAAGATGCTGTTTGATGCACTCAGATTAATTTGATCAATGTCAATGTTAAATGTATGAATTTTTTCCTGTATCAGGAATATTATGAAACAAAGTTCAAGACTATTGGAAAAGGCAAGTAATACTTGGTGTGTTTCAAGCTTTCATATTAAGAATGATAACTTCTAAATACAGTATTATCTTTCAGTTTTTAGAATGATTTTTATTTGGCATTTATTTTTGTATTAAATGTTTCCTTTTTTTTTTTTTTTTTTTTTTTTTTAGACAAGAGGCTCACTCTTTTGCCCAGGCTGGAGTGCAGTGGTGCAGTCTTGGCTTACTGCAACTGCTACCTCCCGGGCTCAAGTGATCTTGTGCCTCAGCCACCTGAGTAGCTGGGATTATAGGTGTGCACCACCATGTCCAGCTAAATTTTTTGTAGTTTTAGTAGACGAGATTTCACCATGTTGGCCAGGCTGGTCTCGAACTCCTGGCTGCAAGTGATCCATCTGCATTGGTTTCCCAAAGTGCTGGGATTACAGATGTGAGCCACTGTGCCCACCCTATTGTTTCTTTTTTAATTTCTTCTAGTATCCCGTGTCTGTGTCAGATACAAATCATTTTTATACATTTTCTCAATATATAATTTTTTTTTTTTTTGAGATGGAGTTTCGCTCTTGTAGCCCAGGCTGGAGTGCAATGGCACTATCTCAGCTCACTGCAACCTCTGCCTCCCGGGTTCAAGCAATTCTCCTGCCTCAGCCTCCCGAGTAGCTGGGATTACAGGCTTGCACCACCATACCCGGCTAATTTTTGTATTTCTTAGTAGAGATGGGGTTTCACCATGTTGGCCAGGCTAGCGTTGAACTCCTGACCTCAGGCAATCCACCCTCCTCGGCCTCCCAAAGTGCTGGGATTACAGGTATGAGCCACCACACCCAGCCTCAATATATAATTTTTATACTGTATTGGTTCATACTAGTAATAAGCCATAGGTTTATAATTGTATCTTTATTTTTTAAACAGAAAATCTTTTAAAGTTTTAGTATAACTCTATTACAAAAAGATGATTCACTATTTATTTTTATTTTTAATTTTTTTAGAGACATGGTTTTGCTCTGTCACCCAGGCTGGAGTGCAGTGGCATGATCCTACCTCATTGCAACCTGGAAGTCCCGGACTCAAGTGATCCTCCCTCCTGAGTAGCTGGGACTATTGGTGCATACCACCGTGCCTGGCTAATTTTTTTTTCCTGCCATCTGTGTTTTAATATATTTTTTAAACAGAGTGCAGTGGTGTGATCTCGGCTCACTGCAACCTTTGTCTCTTTGGTTCAAGGAATTCTGCCTCAGCCTCTTGAGTAGCTGGGATTATGGGTGTGCGCCACCATGCCTGGCTAATTTTTGTATTTTTAGTAGAGACAGGCTTTCACCATGTTGGTCAGGCTGGTCTCGAACTCCTGATGTCAAATGATCTGCCCACCTTGGCCTCCCAAAGTGCTGGAATTACAGGCCTGAGCCAGTGCACCTAGCTCTAGACCCCCAGTCTTAATCATAAGCAAATACCCAAGGATTACCAGTTATTTGAGGAAAGCATCCAGCATCAAAGGTGGGTGGTGGGAATTAAGCAAAACAAAAAAGCAACTTGGAAGAAATACAGACTTTGCAGGGGAAAAAAACAGTTACCAACAATCTCCTACCCCAATTACAGATATATTCAGAGAGATGAGATGAAGATGAATAAAAACAGGATGCTCTATAAAGGACTAGCCATAAAACTTACCAGAGACTTGGGCAGGGAGAGGGGAAGGTAGGTAGGGAGAGGTCGTTCAAATGAGTACAAAGTTATAGTTAGGAGGAATAAGTTCTGGTATTCTATTCCACAGAAGGGTGATTATGGTTAATAGTAAGGTATTGTAGCAAAATTGCTAGAAGAGAGGCTTTTGAGTGTTCTTACCAGAAGGAAGTGATAAGTGCGTGAGATGATGGACATGCTAAATACTCTGATTTGATCATTATATAACATATATATGTATTGAGGCTGGGCATGGTGGCTCATGCCTGTATCCCCAGCACTTTGGGAGGCCAAGGTGGGCAGATTACTTGAGGTCAGGAGTTCAAGATCAGCCTGGGCAACATGGCAAAACCCCATTTCCACTAAAAATACAAAAATTAGCCAGGCATGGTGGTGCATCCTGTCATCCCAGCTATTTGGGAGGCTGAGGCAGGAGAATTGCTTGAGCCAGGAGGCAAAGTTTGCAGTGAGCTGAGATCACGCCACTGCACTCCAGCTTGGGTGACAGAACGAGACTCTGTCTCAAATAGCAAAAGAAAACAAGACAAAAAAACCATATATATGTATTTAAACCTCAAATTGTACCCCTCAAATATATGTAATGACAATGTGTCAATAAAAAAAAAAGTCCAGCTAGAAAATGAAAAAAGTTTAAAACATGATAGTGGAAATGAAAATCTTTGGAAGGTTGTAAGATAATGGTCAGGAAATCTCCTAAGAAGTAGGCAAAAAGACAGAGGACACTTAGCTGACTGTTCCTGAGGTTCAATGTTTATACAGTTGAGTTGCAGATAAAATAGGGGAAATGAAAAGGTGAAAATAATTCAAGAAAACGACCAACAGTAGAAGATTGAAGTTTGCAGATTGAATGTGCCTGCCATGTGTTCAGTCTAATAAATATACCCACACTGGGGCCCATCATTAGGAAATTTCAGGACACCGTGTGGTAAAGAGATGATTCTGGAGTGAAAAAAACCCAGATCACATATACAGGATCAGGAATCAGAATGACTTTGGATTTCTATGTAGCACCCTGGAAGTGTGAAAGCAGTGAAGCAATGCCGCCTTCAAAATTCTGGAGGAATATGAGTGTAGTGGCTCACACCTGTAATCCCAGCACTTTGTGGGGCCGAGGCAGGTGGGTTACCTGAGGTCAGGAGTTGGAGACCAGCCTGGCCAACATGGTAAAACCCCGTCTATACCAAAAATACAAAAATTAGCTGGGCATGGTGGTGGGCGCCTGTAGTCCCAGGTACTCTGGAGGCTGAGGCAGGAGAATCACTTGAACCCGGGAGGTGGAGGTTGCAGTGAGCCGAGATTGTGCCATTGTACTCCAGCCTGGGCGACAGAGTGAGACTCTGTCTCAAAAAAAAAAGTTTCTTTTTCCCTGGAGGGATAGAAGAAAAACAAAAGAAGAAAAGAAAAGCAAGGGAATGATTAAATCAGGATAATAGCTACCTCGGTGGAGGGAAGGGGATGGGATCAGGGTGTCTTAATGTCTTGGTAAAAGTCCGTGTTTTAATAGGGGTAGTGGACACTTGGGAGTTTATTGTTATTAGTTTCTCTTCGTATTCACACATATATTTTATATATTATATGTTCAGTCATGTGCCACTTAGTGACATTTCAGTCAGCAGTGAACTGCATAGATGACACTGGTTCCATAAGATTATAGTACTATATTTGTACTGCACCTTTTCTGTGTTTAGATACACAAATGCTTATCATTGTGTTATAATTGCCTACAGTATTCAGTACAGTGACATGCTGTACCTGTTTATAGCCTAGGAGCAGTAGGCCATACCATACAGCTTAGGTGTGTTGTAGGCTGTACCATCTAGGTTTGTGTAAGTACACGCTATGATGTTCACACAATGATGAAATTGCCTAACTATACATTTCTTAGAATGTATCCTGATTGTTAGGTGACACATGACTATTTGATACATGTGAAAATACAAACTTTTTAAAAAGCAGATTCCCACCTTTTGACTCAATGGATCAGAGATTCTCTTTCTCTCTCTCTCTTTTTCTTTCTTTTGACAGAGTCTCGCTCTGGCCAGAGATTTTCTAAATAATGGTCAGGAATCTGCATTGTAAGTCTTACTCTTTGGTAAGAATATTACTGTAGTTGATCTGTTGTTCTTATTGTGTTATCTAGTATTACTGATGTGGTATGATGAGCACATAATAAAGTGGGTACATTATTTCCCTACATTGAGTTAACCATGCTCTCTTATATATGTATATATGGAAATTGTTGGTCTCTGATTAGTTACACCCAGGTGTATGCTAGTGACCCTTATTTTTTCATGAGCCTTTAATACCCTCATTTTAATTTCTCTCAGAATATGTTAAGAACCAAACCACAAGATTTCTGCTGTCACTGCACTGAAATTGTAAAAAATGTGGGATGGGATATTACATGTGCTCTAACATGTATTAAGGATCCAACATCTTTTTACAAAAATGAAAAAAAAAAACCATCAACAAATACAGTATTGTTCTTAAAGATTGCTGGTTGGAGCAGTTATCTCAAAAGGCTTCCATGTGACTTGCTACATTTAATGACAATGAAACCCTGGCAGCTGCTTATTGTTTTAGTGTCACTTGTATATTCCCTGGTGGAAAATCTAGTTTTTCAGCTCAGTTGTGAAACAAATATCACAGATACCAGCACTGTGGTGTTTTGGAAAGGGCTTAGCACCTGAGGTTTCAGTTAAGATCTGATATCCAGTAATTTATTTTTCACTTTGGACAAGTTTACCTAACCTTTCTGAATCCTATTGTTTGTTTGTAATTTGGTTCACCAGTAATACCTATTGGAGTTGGGAGAATAAAATGAGATAGTTTATGTCAAGCACCTGCTGCACTGCCTAGTTGTTAAAGAAATATTATTTTCCTTCTGTAAACATCCTTTACTCAAGCCAGACATCTGGGAATCATCCATAAATCTTTTCTATTCTTCACCTACCAAAGAGCTATCCATTTCATCTTCTTAGTAGCTCTAGAAAGGGAATGAGACATGACCCATATTTTATAACATTGGGCTTTAGGCAGTAACTATTAATAAATCAACTGTTTAGGACATATCTTAAAAATATATATATATATATATATTTTTTTTTTTTTTTTTTTTTTTTTTTTGAGACAGAGTCTTGCTCTTTCACCCAAGCTGGAATGCAGTGGTGTGATCTCAGCTCATGGCAACCTCCTCCTCCCAGGTTCAAGTGATTCTCCTGCCTCAGCCTCCCAAGTAGCTGGGATTAAGGCATGTGCCACAATGCCTGGCTGATTTTTGTATTTTTAGTAGAGGCAGGGTTTCACCATGTTGGCCAGGCTGGTCTCAAACTCCTGACCTCTAGTGATCCGCCTGCCTCAGCCTCCCAAAGTGCTGGGATTACAGGTGTGCGCCACCGCATCTGGCAACTCATAATAATTTGAGTTGGTGTTGGAATAATGCTCATTGTTATTTTTACTTTCATTTATTTTTATTTTTAGGCTTAACATTTTCATGTGTGAGTTTAGCCTTGCAGGATGTTAATAGTGAAAAAGTGTGCACTTTGCACAGAGACATTTCTAGGTTCAAATCTAAGTTTTGCAGTCTTAGGCCCTCAGGCAAGTTAGGTACCCCTTCTAGGCTGGCTTTATGATATTTTTTAAGTGTGTTAATAAGATTTAGTTACGGGCTATCACATCATTAAAAGATAAATTTATATGACAGTGCAGAAGGCCAAGAAGAGCCAAGATACTCTTCAAGAATAAAGTGGGACAATTTGTTTTATCAGATATGAAATTAAAAAAAATAAAACTGGATTAACAAAGACAGTGTTATATTGGTGCAGGGATACACAACAGTCTTGGTTAGTATAGTAGATTGGTGGGACAGAATAAGTAATACAGAAATAGACATGTGAATATGTAGATACTTAATTTGTTATAAAGATAACGTGCAGAACGGTGACAATATATTTCAGTAAATAGTGCTGAAGCATTTTATATATATGCATGTTCATGCGTATACACACACACACACACACACACACACACACACACACACAATAAAACAAAGTGAATCAAGACCTGTATCTCATATTACACCCCAAATGAATTCTCAGTGGATTGTAGATCTACCTGTGAAAGGCAAAACAGTAAAGATTATAGGAGATAGGCCGGGCATGGTGGCTCACACCTGTAATCCCAGCACTTTGGGAGGCCGAGGCAGGTGGATAACGAGGTCAGGAGATTGAGACCATCCTGGCTAACATGGTGAAACCCCGTCTCTATTAAAAAAAATACAAAAAATTAGCCAGGTGTGGTGGCAGGCGCCTGTAGTCCCAGCTACTCGGTAGGCTGAGGCAGGAGAATGGTGTGAACCTGGGAGGCGGAGCTTGCACTGAGCTGAGATCGTGCCACTGCACTCCAGACTGGGAGAGAGAATGAGACTCTGTCTCAAAAAAAAAAAAAAGATTATAGGAGATAATATAGGAAAATATCTATGTGACCTTACAGTATGAAGAGTTTTCTTAAATGGACACAAAAAAGCATTAACCATAAAAAATGATATATTGGAATTTATTAAAACCAAGAATTTCTGCTTATCAAAAATCATGTTTAAGAGAGTGAAAGGCAAGCCAAAGAGTAGGAAAAGATGGTTGCAACTCTGTGACAAAGGGATTATGTATAGGATATGGGAAGGACTACAAATCAGTGAGAAAAAGGCCAGTAGAATAATGGTAATAAAAGATAAGAGAGAAAAAGACAAGCCAATAGAATAATGGGTAAGAGAGAAAAAGACAAGCCAGTAGAATAATGGGTAAGAGACTTGAACAGGCACTTCACCAAAAAGAATATCCAAGTGGCCAGTAAAAATAAGAAAAGGTGCCAAAGAGCACAAATCATTAGAGAAATGCAGATTAAAATCATAATGGCATATAACTGTTACACACCTGCCAGAATACTAAATAGAAGGATTAATAATGCAGAGGGATTGTGGGAATATGGAGCAATGGAGCAAGGAATTTTTTTTTTTTTTTAGAAAAGGTCTTGCTTTGTTACCCAGACTGGAGTGCAGTGGTACGATCTCGGCTCACTGCAGTCTTGACCTCCCAGGCTCAAGCAATCCTCTCACTTTAGCCTCCTGAGCAGTTGGGCCTACAGACATGTGCCACCACACCCAGCTAACTTTATTTATTTTTTGTAGAGATGAGTTCTCACTATGTTGCCCAGATTTGTCTTGAATTCAAGTGATCCCTCCGCCTCAGCGTTCCAAAGTGTTAGGACTTTTTTTTTGAGACGGAGTGTTGCTCTGTTGCCCAGGCTGAAGTGCAGTGGTGTGATCTTGGCTCACCGCAACCTCCGCCTCCGGGGTTCAAGCAATTCTCCTGCCTCAGGCTCCTGAGTAGCTGGGATTACAGGCGCATGCCACCATGCCTGGCTAATTTTTGTATTTTTAGTAGAGACGGGGTTTCACCATGTTGGTCAGGCTGGAAGTGTTAGGATTATAGGCATGAGCCACCATGCCCAAGGAAATTTTTTTACACTGTTGGATATAACCACTTTGGTAACCTGGCAGTGTAGAAGCAGAATGTATGCATGCTCTGTGACTTTGTAATTTTACTTCCACAGAAATGGTGGGCATGTGTGCGTTGAAGTAGTGTGTATAAGAATGTTTATAGCACCACTATTTGTACTAGCTCAAAATAGTTGTGTGGGGAGATTTCCATCAACAGTATAGTAAGTAAATTATTATACATTTCAAACGTGGACTACTGTACTGTAATGAAAATGAACAAACTCAATTTACACAATATGGATGAACCTTAAAAACATGATGTTGAACAAAACCCACACACAAAAGAATCCATACTACTGTATATGATTCCACTTAAATAGATTTTAAAATCAGACAGTACAGAACTAGAATGTTAGAAGTCAAGATGATAGTTACCTTTGGAGAGGAGGGAGGGGTTAATGATTGGAAAGAAGTGGGAAGGAACCAATGGGCTACTGGCAGTCCTCAATTTCTAGGACTCTGGTGGTTACATGGGTGCTTGGTTTGTTTTAATTCATGGGGCTGAACATTTATGTTTTGTGCACTTTTCTTTGTGTGATAGACTTTTAAAAAAAAGAACCACTCAGTTTTTAATACCCAGTAAATATTCAATATGAGATCTTCCTCCTCCTCCATCTAATTTGTAAGTATTTGCATATGCCTTTTGCCCATTAATTTGTTTCAGTCTTGATGTTGTATTTATTAATTTGACTGAACTCTTTAAAGATTACTAGAGACAGTTTTAGCCAGCAAGGCTTTGCCCTTGAAAATTCACTCAGGCTGGAGTGCAGTGGCGTGATCTTGGCTCACTGCAACTTCAGCCTCCTGCAACCTCAGCCTCCTGGGTTCAAGAAATTCTCCTGCCTCAGCCTCCTGAGTAGCTAGCTGGGATTACAGGCACCTGCCACCATGCCCGGCTAATTTTTGTATTTTTAGAAAAGATAGGCATCTCCATGTTGGCCAGGCTGGTCTTGAACTCCTGATCTCAAGTGATCTGCCCACCTCAGCCTCCCAAAGTGCTGGGATTACAGGTGTGAGCCACCATGTCTGGCTTTTTCTTTTTCTTTTTTTTGAGACAAGGTCTTTCTCTGTTGCCCAGGCTGGAGTGCAGTGGTCCTATCACAGCTCACTGCAGCCTCAGCCTCCCAGACTCAAGCAATCCTCCCATCTCAGCCTCTCAAGTAGCTGGGACCTCAGGCATGCACCACCATGCCCAGCTAATTTTTCTATTTTTTTGTGGAGACAGTCTTTCACTATGTTGTCCAGGCTGATTTTAAACTCCTGGGCTCAAGTGACCTGCTGACCTTGCCCTCCTAAAGTTCTGGGATTATAGGTGTGAGCCACTGCACCTGGCTGGGTTTTTTTATTTTTTTATTTTTTTATTTTTTATTTTTTAAGATGTGTTCTTGCTTTGTTACCCAGGCTGGAGTACAGTGCCATGATCTCGGCTCACTGCAGCCTCCGCCTCCTGGCTCAAGTGATTCTCCCACCTCAGCCTCCTGAGTAGCTGGGACCACAGGTGTGTGCCACCATGTCTGGTTAATTTTTGTATTTATTTATTTATTTTTTTGTAGAGATGGGGTTTTGCCATGTTCCTCAGGCTAGTGTTGAATTGAGCTCAAGTGATCTGCCTGCCTCAGCCTCCCAAAGTACTGGGATTACAGGCGTGAGCCACTGCGCCTGGCTTGGATTCTAATATTAATATATACTTTTTTAGCTTTTGAATCAAAATGCTCTAAGTATTTGTGTAAAAGAGATTTTTTTTTTCCAGTAGTGTAGGAGATGAAAACTTTACTTTTATTCAAGTTATGAAAATTGCTTTCATGCTTTATTCTTTAACAATAATTTTGGACAAATAGCAAGATGGCTATCTAGAGGCAGCTAGGAAGAGCCTCTCCCACTGAGACCAGGCCATCAAGTAGGCCAGCACACTCTGAACAGATCTTTGGAAAGAAGGCATTGAGAGTGGACAGAGGGAGGATGCAGATACCAGGCTGAAAGGGGAGGAAGCTGGAAACCCTGCACAGGGTTGCCAAGCACCACGGTTTGTCGGTTTGTCGCTGGCCCTGAGTCGCTCCTAGGGATGGGGTGAGTGAAATTGATGTGGAGTGGCCCACTCTTGCCGCGGACCTCTGGGAGCCTACCTGTGGGAGACCCCATGATTCTCATGAACATCTGAGCTGGCAGGAAGAACTTCCTGGAGAGTTGACAGAGATGGAACTCTAGCCTGCATGGAGCCCAGAGGGTTTGTTGTGGGAACAGTTGCAGTGGAGCATGGCTGTGGATATCCATAACACCATACTCCTCTAGGCAGCTCTAGCCTTTGTTGGCTGCCAGACCTGGACAATAGAGGGCTGGCTTGCTTGTGGAATGGGACCAGTCTGATCTGAGGACCTCCCCCAACTGCCCGTTGCTGGCCTCTGTTAGGGTCCCTCCCTGCCTGGCTGTACCTGCTTGCAGCACAGCCTCAGCTTGCCAGCAGCCATCACTATAGCTTTTTGCCATAAGACCGTATCTGTCCATTGGAGTGCTTTTGCAAATGGACCCAGACCCCTGCCAATGTGCACCTGCCGGTAGCCTTCCCCTGCTGGCACGTGCCCACCTGCAGCCTTCTCCTGCCAGTGTGCATTTGCCCACAGCTTCCCCGTGCCACTCTGCAGGCATGCATGTGCGTGGGAGCCTATTGCTGCCCCACCAGAGTTCTTTTGCTGGCAGCTGCCATCGGAGTGTTGTTGCCAGTGGACCGGGAACATCTCAGCTCCTTCAGAGCAGTAGGTACTTAACCTCAAGGAGCCAGAAAATAAAGCCACAGGCCTGGTCCCAGCACCACAAGGATTAGAGCATGTAGCCCAGGAGTGCTCTGTTGAGCCTTGGCCTCCTGAAAGCATCCACAATGAAGCCAGTTGACTAAACCAAACAAATATTAGTCAAACTTTCAGGAGCATCAAAGAATATAAAAAGCAAGAAGTCCCATGCAAAAAGTAACAACTTCAAAGATTACAGGATATCAGCCCACACAGGTAAGAAAGAACCAGTGCAAGAACTCTGGCAACTCTAAAAGCCAGAGTGTTTTTTTAACCTCCAAACGACTGCACTAGCTCCCCAGCAATGGTTCTTAACCGGGCTGAAAAGACTGAAATGACAGACATAGAATTCAGAATCTGGATAGCAAGGAAGCTAGTCGACATAGAGGAGAAGGTTGAAACCCAATCCAGGGAACACAGTAAGAGTGCAAGAGTTGAAAGACCACAAAGCCATTTTAAGAAAGAACCAAACTGAACTTCCAGAAATGAAAATTTACTACAGGAATTTCAGAATGCAATTGGAAGTGTTAATAACAGAATAGATCAAGCTGAGGAAGGAATCTCAGAACTTGAAGACTGCTCCTTTGAATCAATGCAGGTAGACAAAAATGAAAAAAGAGTTAAAAAATGAACAAAACCTCCAAAAAATATGGGATTATGTAAAGAGACCAAACCTGTGACTCATTGGCATTCCTGAAAGAGATGGGGGGAGAGCAGTGACTTGGAAAACATAATTGAGGATATCTTCCGTGAAAATTTCCCCAACCTTGCTATAGAGGGACATGCAAATTTAGGAAGTTCAGAGAAGCCCTGTACCATACCCACATACTATACAAGATGACCTTCCCCAAGACACATAGTCACCAGGTTGTCCAAAGTCATCATGAGAGAAAATATCTTCAAGGCAGCTATATAGAAGGTGCAGGCCACATACTAAGGTAGCCCCATCCAGCTAATAGGAGGCCTTTCAGCAGAAACCTTACATGCCAGAAGGGATTATATTCAGCATCCTTAAAGAAAAGAAATTCCAAGCAAGAATTTTATGTCTGGCCAAACTAAGCTTTATAAGCGAAAGAAAAATAAAATCCTTTTCAGGCAAGCAAATGCTAAGAGAATTTGTTACCAGCAGACTTACAAGAGGTCCTTAAGGGAGTGCTAAACATGGAAATTAAATACTGGTACCTGCCACCACAAAAACACACTTAAGTACATAGCCCACTGACACAATAAAGCAAGTATATTATCTACATAACAACTAGCTAATAACATGACAGGATGAAATTCTCACATAGCAATATTAACCTTGAATGTAAATGACCTACTTAAAAGAGTGGCTAATTGGATAAAGAAGCAAGACCCAACTATATGCTGTTTTCAAGAGACTCATCTTGCATGCAGTGACATCCATAGGCTCAAAGTGAAGGGATGGAGAAAGACCTGTCAAGTAAGCAAACAGAAAACAAACAAAACAGAGCAGGGATTGCTATTTTTATTTCAGACAAAACCGACTTTAAACCAACAATAATAATAAAAAAGGACAAAGAAGGGCATTACATAGTGGATGATAAAAGATTCAATTCAACTAGAAGATTTAATGATCCTAAATATATATGCACCCAACACTAGAGCACCCAGATTCATAAAACAAATTCTTAGAGACCTGCAAAGAAACTTAGATGACCACACAACAATAGTGGGAGACTTCAATACCCTGCTGACAGTGTTAGAGCATCAATGCAGAAAACTAATAAAGATATTTGGGACCAAAACTTGACACTTGACCAAATGGACCTAACAGACATCTACAGAATACTTCACCCAACAAAAACAGAATATACATTCTTCTAATTTATACATGGTACCTATGCTAATATTGACCACATGCTTGGCCATAAAGCAATTCTAAAACAGACAAAAACCGAAATCATGCTAACCACACTGTCAGACCACAGTGCAATAAAAATAGAACTCAATACCAAGAAGATCCCCAAACCATACAATTACATGGAAATTAAACAGCCTGTTCCTGAATGACTTTTGGGTAAAGAATGAAATTAAGGCAGAAAAATATTTGAAACTAATGAAAACAAAGACACAACATACTAGAATCCTTGGGACACAACTAAAGGTTAAGAGGAAAGTTTATAGTGCTAAATGCCTACATCAAGAACTTAGAAAGATCTAAAATTAATGACCCAACACCACACCTAGAGGAACTCTAGAAAAACAAGAGCAAACCAACCTCAAAACTAGCAGAAGAAAAGCGATAACCAAAATCAGAGCTGAACTGATTGAGACATGAAAATCCATACAAAAGACCAACGAAACCAAAAGTTGGTTCTTTGAAAGAATAAATAAGATTGATAGATTGCTAGCTAGTTTGATAAAGAGAAAATCCAAATAAACACAATCAGATACGACAAAGGTGACGTTACCACCAACCCCACAGAAACACAAAAACCCTCAGAGACTATTATGAACACCCCTATGTAGAGAAACTAGAAAACCTAGAATAAATGGATAAATTTCTGGAAACATACAACCCCCCAAGATTGAACCCAAAAATGGCTAAAGCAATCCTAAGCAGAAAGAACAAAGTTGGAGGCATCATATTATCCGACTTCAAACTATGCTACAAGGCTACAGTAACCAAAACAGCATAGTACCAGTAGAAAGACAGACACATAGACCAATGGAACAGAATAGAGAGCCTGGAAATAAAGCTGCATACCTACAATCATCTGATCTTCAACAACGTTGACAACAGTAAGCAATGGGGAAAAGAGTCCCCTATTCAATAGATAGTGCTGGAATAACTGGCTCGCCATATACAGAGCAATGAAACTGGACCCCTGCCTTTCATCATATACAAAAATTAAGATGGATTAAAGACTTAAATGTAAAATCTAAAACTATAAAAACTTTAGAAGAATACCTAGGACAGTTATGTCGTAGGTTTTGTCATAGGTCCAACATTCTGGACATAGGCCTTGGCAAAGATTTCTTGACAGTTTTCCAAAGCAATTGCAACAAAACAAAAATAGATAAGCGAGACCTAAAAGTAAGGAGCTTCTGCACAGTGAAAGAAACTATCAACAGAGTAAACAGATACCCTACAGAGTGGGAGAAAATATTTGCAAACTATTCATCTGACAATGATCTAATATCCAGAATCTATAAGGAACTTAAGCAAACTTACAAGCAGAAAACAACCCCATTAAAGAGTGGGCAGGGGACATGAACAGACACTTTAAAAGAAGACATATATATGGCCAACAAACATGAAAAAATGCTCACTATCACTAATTATTAGAGAAATGCAAATGAAAACTACAATGAGATACTATCTCACACCAGTCAGAGTGGCTATTAACAACTCAATAACAGATGCTGGCAAGGTTGCAGAGAAAAGGGAATGCATATACACTGCTGGTGGGAGTTAAATTTGTTCAACCATTATGGAAAGCAGTTGTGACTATTCCTCAACTAAAAACAGAACTACCAATCTCATTACTGAACCCCAAAGGAATGTAAATTGTTCTACCAAGAAGACACATACATTTGTACATTTATTGCAGCACTATTCACAATAGCAAAGATATGGGCACCCAGGTGCCCATCAGTGGTGGACTGGATAAATAAAATTTGGTACATACACACCATGGAATACTGTGTGGCCATAAAAAAGAGCAGAATCATGTCCTTTACAGCAACATGAATGCAGCTGGAGGCCATTATCCTAAGCAAATTAACACAGGAATAGAAAACCAAATACCACACATTCTCACTTATAAGTGAGAGCTAAACAGTGAATGCATGAAGACACGAAGGGGAACAACAGACACTGGGGCTGTTGATGGAGGATTTGAGGATGGAGAGTGGGAGGAGGGTGAGGGTTGAAAAAACTACCTATTGGGTACTATGCTTACTACCTGGGAAATGAAATCATTTGTTCACCAAACCCCAGTGACATGCAGTATACCCATGTAAAAAATCTGCACATATACCACAGACCTAAAAAGTTCAAAAAGATTTTAAAAAGTAAAAAAGATAATTTTGTGACAAGGAGGTATTTCAACTTTGTTATGAAAAAGAATCTTCAAAATATATTGCTGTAAGTTTTAACAAAAACTTTTTGGTTTTGTTTATAGCTTGCTTGCTTTTGTAGGAGGGAAAGCAGGTGAGATAGGCAGGATTTACCAGCATAAGCTTATTACTACTGTTGGCAAAATGCTTTGTTTATGGCATCATTGCTGTGAGTCGAGGGAAGTCTTCTGTGCTTCCAGTAACAGCCTGAGATGTACCTACTTCTTTACAGAGCACCTAGTAGGGAGGTGTTTGTTTTGGGTGCTGTGGCCAGTGTTGCTATGGCTTCATTTTCTTAACTCACTACACTTGTAAACTATAAACAACATTTGCCAGTTTGTTTTTTCTTTAAAATAGGACTATTGTAAGAAAATGCAGAAAGGTTAGTGTGAGCATTGAATATTAAAGTAGCTATTTAGGTACCTTACTCTAACACACACACACACACACACACACACACGTATATATACACGTATATATGTGTACATATATATACGTGTATGTATATATATATATATATATCTGCCTACATTTTTATAAAAGCTGATTAGGGCATCTTTGTCAGTTTTTTTCTGTGATGGTAACGTATTTG
Source organism: Homo sapiens (assembly GCF_000001405.40). NCBI lineage: Eukaryota > Metazoa > Chordata > Mammalia > Primates > Hominidae > Homo > Homo sapiens. The sequence continues at coordinate 43,700,459 of NC_000007.14, read as the reverse complement.
AAATCTCAGGCCGGAATGAGTCAGAATATGGGTCTAGAAGAATTTTCTATGAGACAAATCAGACTACTTTCAGAGGCTTTCTTTTTTTGTTCTTTTGTTATAGAAAATTTTATGTATATACAGATTTAAAGAGCCTGTTAGATAGGTAGTGGATACCCATGTTAGCTATCATCTGTATTCAACAGCTATCAAAAGCATTAATTTGTACCGATGTTGAAATATTATTACTGATCGAGGTTTTTCCATACGTATGATTGTGGTCCATATTTTTTCTCCAACTTAAAAAATAGATTTGCCACTAGATGGTGCTAAATATTAAGAGGCCAATTTGGACAAGCTCCATTAAAGCCATTGAGCATCCTGGATTTGCTGGTACAGTCTTGATTTTTGTTTTTTTGCCGTATGAATACTTGGACTTCATGTTTTTATTTTTTAACGAGGACACTAAAGAGGTTGAAGTTAAGTCTTCACTTGTCCTTAGAGTGCTTACAAAGCGATGATAAAGATATATGTATACTTAATAGCTACTAGATGAAAAGTCAAAGGACAAACCAAAATCATACCTAAAATAATCCCAAGCCCTTGCATTTGTGTATCTGACTTTTTTTGTAAGACTGACTCTAATCATGCCTCAAGAATTCCGCACCTCCTGCTTAATTTCTCTTTCAACATATTTCTCAAGTGCCTTTGGCCATAACTTCTAAGATAGCTCTAGTTCTGAAATGATACTGTTGATGATATGCTAATTAGGTATTGGGATGTTGACAGCATTCTAAATATGCTTAGTGTCACTTTGAAGCCATCAAATAAGCTTCTGTGTAGGACATATTGAAACAAAACATTCTCTATCACAATTGTTTTACATTTGCTTCTCATGTCTGCGTGACAGTTTTGCTGTCTGTGTTAGAGAGTCAAGTGGAAATCTAATCTTTCAAGACTGGAAACTGTACTAGGAGCAAATATAAAACATACCTTTGCTAATTAGTACTTAAAACATCTTCACTTTTTAAAAAAAACAAATAGTAGGTTGGCTCTGCAAATCCCACAGTTCACTTTAAACAGACATAATTAACTCTGTAATTAATAAAGTGAATAAGAACTTCTAATTAAATCATAATAACTACCTTGGTTACAGCCAGAAAGATGCATGAATTTCTCCTCTCAAGGAGTTATGAACTAGGTACTTCTTGTTGCTGTGCTCTCTGTAAAATTCACTAACTGAGGGGTATATGTGTTTTTTTTCTGGATTTAATCCAGAAAAAGTGTATTGGAGTGCAGGGTTCATTTTTAAGGGTGTGTTCTTTTACGAGTGTCTCAATTAATGTCTTTACCTCCCACTCCTGTAATTTGGTGAAGGCAGTCAAGATATAATTGTAGCTTTCCTAACCCACGCTGTTCTGAGTTTTCCCAAGCCCTAGATGTCACTTCAGTGCTAAAATAAAGTACTGAGAAATGTAAAACTTTCTGGTTGACAATTGCAAGAATATTTATGCTAATATAAGATGGTGGCAGTGAGGGCTTGTGATTTTCAAATGTTCACTTTTCAGAATGGATTTATCAGCCTTTATGCAGATGGATAATTTGTGTGGTGGAAAAATGTGTGCTTGATGGTGTAACCTTCAAGCCGTATCTAATTGTTAAATGATTTAATCAGTGAGAACTGATAATGGACTTTTAAAACATATTCTAGCTTAGCTTAGTGTCCTTTAAAACTGGGAACCAAAGATCATGTGTAAGTATGGTATGCTATTTATGATTCACATCTCACAGCCACTAACAATTTATACAAATGATTAGCATAATAAGGTTGTCAGAGCTAGTTGGCTGGCGTCACTGTTGGCTCATGGCAGCCTACTGCATCAACTCTAAACCTTTACTATGGTTATGTATAGGAGGCTTTGCATTGCCTTTTGTCCTATGAGTCTCAAAGGTATTATATAAATATTAGTGGATGACAAGTTTTCAATATCTGTGTTGAATTATAACGAGGAAACCTTGAATTACAACAAGGAAACCATGGCATTGAGAGGTTTGTCATTTATACCAATGAGCTGGTCTTATACCTCTGCATCTGTAAATTGTGTATCAGTTTTCACATTTGAGATTTAAAAAAGGTAGACTTGCCTGTAAGAACAAGTTGGTTAGCAAGCAGTGAGTTCCTGGAAAAAAAAGCGTTTTAAGTTGGTTGTATTGACACCACTGAAATTAATTATCACTGAAATTAACCTTTCTGATTTACCTACTGGCTAAACGTTTGTTTTTCATATTGTCTATGATGCCATAAATGTGTTTTGACTTTGCAAAGTCAGTTTTTCTATAGGTTATGCTTTAATGTTTCTGGACTTTCATCCTGTATTAATCTAATTAATAAGTGATCTTGGTAATTTTTCTACTGATTTGAGCTAACATAGGCGCTTTCTGGTTTTGGTAAAATGTCTGAGAATGCAGAAGAGATTATCCTTCTCTTGCTGTGATTCGGAAACTCATGTCCCTAAATGAAAGAGCTGCTATCTACCTTTATATTAGTCATCCGTGGCAACTGGTGATTTTAGATGCTCACATGAGTCTTGGTGCCTTTTGCTGTGGTGTGTCTGCTTCAGATTGCATTTCCATTTCACAGCCCTTGCGTAGGGCAGTGCATTTATGTGGGAATGTTTACAGATGATTAATATTTAAATAGAAATGTGCCATGGAAGGACTTTTTAAGGAAAAGAAGCTGAGATGGAATACTGAGTGTGAGGGCAGCCAAATCTTTTCTTGTGGAATTCCAGAATTTTCAGGAAAGCCCTGACAGCTTTACCATTCATTTCAATTAGAAGAAGCTGGCAATTGTCATTTATGAAGTTTGGAAAGAAATTTTAATCAAATAAGTTTCCAGCTGGGTGCGGTGGCTCATACCTTAATCCAGCACTTTGGGAAGCCGAGGCAGGCGGATCACTTGAGGTCAGGAGTTTGAGACCAGCCTGGCCAACATGATGAAACCCTGTCTAATACAAAAATTAGCTGGGAATGGTGACACATGCCCCTGTAGTCCCAGCTACTCGGGAGGCTGAGACAGGAGAATCACTTGAACCAGGGAGGCAGAGGTTGCAGTGAGTCGAGATCATGCCACTGCACTCCAGCCTGGGCCACACAGTGAGATTCTGTCTCAAAAATAAATAAGTTTCCATGTGATATAATATGCTTAATTAAAATTATGAATATGTTAAGCATACAGAAGAATTTAGAGAATAACATAACAAATACCCATGTACCTATCATTTACTGATATCAGATTCTTATATTTTTACATATTTGCCAGGCTTTTCTTTTTTTTATTTGTTTTTTGTTTTTTGTTTTTTGAGATGGAGTCTCTGTCGCCAGGCTGGAGTGCAGTGGCATGATCTCGATTCACTGCAGCCTCTGTCTCCTGGGTTCAAGCGATTCTCCTGCCTCAGCCTCCCGAGTAGCTGGGACTACAGGCGTGTGTCACCATGCCGAGTTAATTTTTTGTATTTTTAGTAGATATGGGGTTTCACCATTTTGGCCAGGATGGTCTTGATCTCTTGACCTTGTGATCCGCCTGCCTTGGCTTCCCAAAGTGCTGGGATTACAGGTATGAGCCACTGTGCCCAGCCAGGCTTTTCTTTTTTGTAAAGAAAGAAAACAAAATGGATACAGTTGAAGCACCCTGTGTAATCTTCCCTGATTCTCTTTTTCTGTCTTCCTTCCTGCTCAGAAATAACCACTGTCTATATATATACATATATATACACACACATATGTATATATCAACATTTTTATTTTTATTTTATTATATATGGATGTAGCCTACACACACACCATCATACCTTACATATCATTCTGCAGTTTGCTTTTTATTAGTTCAGCCTTGTGATTTTGAACTACAGTCATGTTGATATTTGTAGTTTGGTCATTCATTTTAGGTGCTGTGTAGTATTCCATTGTATGCTTCTATTATAGTTTATACATTTCCTGATGATAGTCAAGTTTCTGGTTAATTTGCTTTTATAGACAATGGCAGTGAATATCTGATATGGTTTGGTTCTGTGTCCCTACCCAAATCTCACCTTGAATTATAATATTCCGCATATGTCAATGGCGGGGCCAGGTGGAGATAATTGAATCATTGGGGGCGGTTCCCCCCATACTGTTCTCGTGATAGTGTGAATTCTCACAAGATCTGATGGTTTTATAAGCATCTGGCATTTCCCCTGCTGGTTCATTTTCTCTTTGCCTCTTTACCGTTCATTTCAATTAGAAGAAACTGGCGATTGTTATTTATGAAGTTTGGAAAGAAATTTTAATCAAGTAAGTTTCTGGCCGGGTGCGGTGGCTCATACCTTAATCCCAGCACTCTGGGAAGCCAAGGCAGGCTTCCATGTGAGATGTGACTTGCTCTTCCTTGTCTTCCGCCGTGATTGTGAGGCCTCCCCAGTCCTGTGGAACTGTATGTCGATTAAACCTCTTTCTTTTGTAAATTTGCCCATTCCTCGGGTATGTCTTTATCAGCAGTGTGAAAATGGACTAATACAATATTCTTGCACAAGTTTCCTTTCGTATTTGTAAGGGAGTTGCTGTAGGCCCTGGGGTCTAGGATATATATGCAGAACTGCAATTGCTAGGCTGAAGGGTATATGCATTTTCAGTTTTACTAGTATTGCCAAATTGTTCTGTAAAGTATTTGGATTAATTTACATTCCCAGCAGTGGTATATAAAACTGTGTTCCAGATGTTGGTCACTCTTGGTTTTACCAGACTTAAATTTTTGGCATATGATTGGTATGTAATGACTTTTCATATTTCTCTAATTTGTATTTGCCGTAGTATTAATGAGTGTAAGCACTATTCATTCATTCATTCAACACATGAATTGAGGACTGCTCAGTGACAGGCCAAGTCCCATTTGCATACATTCTAGTGAAGGGAAATGGAAAATGAGTAGATGTGAAAATGCATAGTATCTTAGATGGTAATAAATGCTGTGGATAGAGAGAGAGAGAAGAGAGCATGTGCCATGTGGATAACTGGAGGAAGAAGATTCCTGGCAGAGAGAATACCAAATAAGACCCTCATGTCTGACATGCTCATAGAACTGCAAGGAGATCAGTGTGACTGGATTAGAGGGAGTAAGGAGGTAAAAAGAAGGAGATGAGGGGAGACAATAGAGAGGCCATAGTAAAGACTTCGTCTTTTACCTTGAATGTGATTCCATCTGAAATTTGAGGGTTTTGAGCAGAGGAAACAGTCTTATTTAGGCTTTAAAAGGATCACACTAGTTGCTCTGTTGAGAGGGGACTGTAAGGGAGGAAGCAGGAGGTTTGTCAGGACGCTGCTGTTATGATCCAGGGAAGAGATGATGGTAACTTAGTCTAAGAGTGTGGACAATGAAGGTGGCGAAAAGTGGTCAGTCTAGATCTAGATATATTTTGAAAGTAGAATCAACAAAATAAGCTGGGAAGTGTGAGAGAAAAAGTACAAAGTTTTTGGCCTGGCAGATAGAAGGCTGGAGTTGCCATTCATTGAAAGGGATCTGTGGCAGAAGCAGGTTTGAGGAAGAGGGAGAAGCCTGGAGTTTAATCTTGAACAACCAAGTTCCAGGTGCCTGCTCAGCATTCAGGTTGAGATGTGGACTACGCAGGTGATAACATGAGCCTGGAATACAAAGAGGCCTCAGAGGAATAAATGTCAGTATAGAGGAGTGGCTTAAAGCCATGAGATGGGATGAATGAGTGAGTGTAGAGAGAGAAGAGAAAGTCCAGAGTGAGCCCTGGGCTATTCCAGTGTTTAGAGTTGGGAGGATAAGGCTTACCAATAACAGAGATGGAAAAGAATTGCTCAATAAGGAGGAGAACCAAGAGTGAGTGGTGTGTCTTGGAAACCTAGTATAGATGCTGTTTCAAAGAAAGGACTGCTCAGCTGTATGGAATGCTCTAATAGATTGAGTAAAATGAGCGCTGAGAATTGACCTTTGGTTTTAACAATACGGAGGACATTAAAGACTTTCACAGGAGTTGTTTTGGTGGAGTGGTGAGGAGCTAAAAGTTAAGTTGGTGTGTTTTCAAGAGAAAATGGGAAAACAGGAATTGGAGATGGCAAAAATAGACATTATTTTTGAAGAGTTTCTTTCCAAAGAGGAGTAGAGAAATGGGACCATTGCTGAAGGAAGATATGGGATTAAGAGTGCTTTTTTTTTTTTTTAAAGATGGGAGCTATTATAGTGTTTTTGATGCTGATGTGACTAATATAGAGAGGGGGAAATTGATGATTCATGAGATGGGAGAATTGCTGGAATGTGGCTGAGGAGATGAAAGGAACTGGGATCTAGTGTGCAGTGGCGGGGTTGGTCTTAGGAGCACAGAGCATGCATCCATAGAGGCAAAGGGAAAGAGTACTTTGGCAGGTGAACTGGTAGATCCTTGTTGCTGTGGTTTTCTTAGTGAATTAGGAAGCAAGATCATCTGCTGAGCCTGAGGAAAGCAGAGGAGCTGTAGAGGTAAGAAGAGGAAAAGTTGTGACCTAGTCAACCAGGAGACTAAAATGGTGTGTGATTACAAGGCTGTACCAAGGTCCACTTGGAGTCAGCTGTCATAAGTGTATAGCAAGGTCAGTCAGTAGAGTTATGTTTATTTTTTTCCTCCAGCCAAATTCACTTGTTCGGATTAGGTAGAGAGTAGGATTTATCCAGGATTGGGGTTCCTGGTGATAATGATAGGGTAAGATGAGGTACGATAGTTGAGGGTATATTCGAAGGAGGGAAACTTTGAGTCTTAACGGTGGATCTAGACTCTAAGCTGGGTGAAGGATGGTGAAAAGATGGTAGGATCAGTGGATTATGGAACTTTAAAAATTATGGACTTTAAAAATGTTGGAGTGATGATATTTGAGGAGGGGAATTGAAAAGATAAGGGATGGCAGGAGAGTGGGATGCTAGAAATTGAGATTGTGGAGGGTGTCAGCTATTGGTAATGACAAGTTCTGGGGTATGATTGTGGGAATGAACCGCCGAGGTCAAGTGGAGTACTGGATTATGGGAGGAGAGGATGAGGTCAAGGATGATCTCTACAGATATTAAAATCAGTATGCATTTGACAAGAACAATGTTGGAGAGAGTGTCATAGCCAGGAGCTAAAATCTTTAAGGATTAAGGTTGGGGGTATCCTAATCCTGCCACAAGGTGGATTAGGGATGGGTGCAGTGATGATATAAGACTTGAAGCTGGGATCTTAGGGAGGTAGATGAGATAGTGATTTGGAAATGGCAGTGAGAAACGAGAACACCTGCCCTGTCTCCAGGCCTGCTGGGAAGAGGGATGTAAGAGAGAAGACAGCTGTGGCTGAATAAGGCTGCAGTGGAGAGCCAGGTTTCAGTTGGAAGTGGCTCTCAGCCCTGGTTGTACATTAAAATTGCAGGGGAGGGCTTGTAAACGTACCATTTCCCAGTCCTAGCCCCTGGACATTCTGACTCAGTCTGAGGTGGAGCTTGGACATAGATAATTTATTTTTAAAAAACTCCCAGGTGATTATAATATGCCATTACATTTAAGTCAGGGTTGTATCCCAAGCAGGAACCTTCAGAAAAGAGGTTGAGTAGTTGGGAATGATGGACATGCATTTCTGAGGATATAGGGAAAGGGGTTTGGGAGGGGTGGGGCATCTTTACAAAGTTTATTGGTCCTTTGGATCTTTGGATTTCCTATCTTGTGAATTGCCTAGTCATACTCATGACTCTTTTTTCTGTTGGTAAATGTTTGATTTGTTGTTTATTTTGGTTTGAGCTTTTTATTGAAGTATTACATGAATACTGAAAAATACACATCTGTACATCATGAAATGAGAACATTTCTAATAGCCAGAAGTTGCACTTGTGCCCCTTTCTGTCCACTGTCCTTTCTGCTGGGGAAGGTGGTTTTTTTTTTGTTGTTGTTGTTGTTTTGTTTTTTAAGACAGGGTCTTGCTGTGTTGCCTAGGCTGTAGTGCAGTGACGAGATCATGGCTTGCTGTAGCCTTGACCTCCTGGGCTCAATCGATCTTCCCAGCTCAGCCTCCCAAGTAGCTGAGACCACAGGCGCTGCCATCGTGCCCGGCTAAGATTTGTATTTTTTGTAGATACATGGCTTCACCATGTTGCGTAGGCTGGTCTTGAACTCCTGGTCTTAAGTGATCTGCCTGCCTCGGCCTCTTAGAGTGTTGGGATTACAGGCATGAGCCACTGCGCCTGGCCCAGGAAAGTTTGATTTTTAAAAGGAACTTTTATTAACTTGGTGATTATAAATTTCTCTCAGGATCAAATGTGGGACAGAGGCTAGCAGGCCCATCACAGAGGATCAGATGGTTGGATAATTCCCAGGCTGTGAGATATGGGGGTTATCTCTCTCTGGGTCTTTGTGTGAACCATACTAAGCTGGGGGCCACAGCTGAGGGGAGCTTGAACCAAGTTACAGGGTAACTTCCAGGTCCACTGCTGAGACTGATGTTGGTATGCAGATGAGCCTTTGCTGAGGCACAAGTGGGTGCGATTCCTCCTGGACACCTGGGCAGATGATTTTGGTTGCAGGCTCTGGGCCAAACGGCTGTAGCCAAACCCTTTGGGAATGGGGCTGTTTCTGAGTTTGAACCCGGGAGCACAGTCAGCAGGTCTGCTACCTGAGTGCTGACCTACACTTTCAGAATAGCCTTCCTAGGTCTTGGGCTCTACCTTGGTTTCATAACTGCCTACCTGAATCCTGAGGTTCTCACAGAGAGACTTTTTTCTGTGGATGGATGCAGAATTCTTGTCAGAGGATAGAGCAGGTGTCCTCTTATTCTGCCATCTTGCTGAGGTCTAGTGTAATTTTTTATGTGACTGGGAGGCTTAAATTCACCCAGAGTTTGTCTCCTCAGCAGACTATATGTTAGAGCTACTAGAAGGGTAGAATTCATGATTCTGACTTTCTGCATTTGTTTACTTCTGGACAGGAAAATGTTATATTGATGATAATTTCTTTCTTTCTTTCTTTCTTTCTTTCTTTCTTTCTTTCTTTCTTTCTTTCTTTCTTTTTCTTTCTTCCTTCCTTCCTTCCTTCCTTCCTTCCTTCCTTCCTCCCTCCCTCCCTCCCTCCCTCCCTCCCTCCCTCCCTCTCTCTCTTTCTCTTTCTTTCTTTCTTTCTTTCTTTCTTTCTTTCTTTCTTTCTTTCTTTCTTTCTTTCTTTCTTTTCTTTCTTTCTTTTTTTGAGTCAAGGTCTTGCTTTGTCACCCAGGCTGGAATGCAGTGGCATGATTATCGCTCACTGCAGCCCCAAACTCCTGGCCTCAGGGAGCAATCCTTCCACTGCAGCCTCCAGAGTAGCTGGACTATATATAGGCATGTACTACTGCGCCTGGCCAATTTTCTTTTCTTTTTGTTTTTTTTTTTTTTTTTTTTTTTGTAGTGATGAGGTCTCGCTATATTGCCCAGGCTGGTCTTTAACTCCTGGCCTCAAGTGAGTCTCCTGCCTTAGCTTCCCAAAGAGCTGAGATTACAGGTGTGAGCCACCATCCCTGGCCTGATGATGAATTTCTTGATTCTCTTGTAGGGCCCTCCTTCTTGCACTGTCCATTAATTTTCCAGTTATAGGGAAGAGGATATTCCATATGTTTGTAGATCTGAGAGACATTAGTCTGTGTTAGACCAACTAATTCTTACAGGCAGTGTATCAATGAGTCTTGCTTTTTTCCCCCTTTATTCATTAGGACAATCTCTGCCTTTTAGTCATAGTGTTTAGACAATTTACATTATTTTTTTTTAATTTATTTTTCTATTTCAATAGGTTTTTGGGAACAGGTGCCTTTGCATCCTCATAACTTAGCTCCCACATATGAGTGAGAACATACAATGTTTGGTTTTCCGTTCCTGAGTTACTTCACTTAGAATAATAGTCTTCAGTTCCATCCAGGTTGCTGCGAATGCAATTATTTCATTCATTTTTATGGCTGAGTAGTATTCCATGGTGTATATATGTATGTGTGTATATACATATATGTGTGTGTGTGTATATATGTGTGTGTGTGTATATATATGTGTGTCTGTACATACATATATATGTATATACCACATTTTCTTTATCCACTCGTTGATCGGCATTTGGGCTGGTTCCATAGTTTTGCAATTGCAAATTGTGCTGTTATAATATAAACTATGTTTGTGCAAGTATCTTTTTTGTATAAGGACCTCTTTTCCTCTGGGTAGATACCTAGTAGTGGGATTGTGGATCAAATGGTAGGTTGCTTTTAGTTCTTTAAGGAATCTTCACACTGTTTTTCATAGTGGTTGTACTAATTTACATTCCCACCAACAGTGTAAAAGTGTTCCCTTTTCACTGCATCCACACCAACATCTATTATTATTATTTTATTTTTTGATTATGGCCATTCTTGCAGACAATTTACATTTAATTATCAATATGTTCAGGTTTAAGTCTACCATCTTCATCTTTGTTTTCTATGTGTCCCATCTGTCTTTGTTTCTCTTTTCAGTTTTTAAAAACCTTTTGAATTAGTATTTTTAGTGATTTCATTTTATCTCCATTATTGGTTTATAAGCTGTGCCTTTTGTTTTATTTTTAGTGATTACTCTAGGGTTATATGTCTCTAAGCTTATCATAGTCTACATTTAAGTAATATGCCATTACATTTAAGTAATACACTATTTCATACAAGAACCTTACAACAACATACTTCCATTCTAACCCCCTGTCCCTTGTGCTATTTGTCACATATTTTATTACTATGTGTTATAAACCCCATAATACATTACCAGGTTTGCTTTAGTCATTAACTTTTAAAGAGCTTAAAAATGAGAAAATATGCCTTTTAACATTTATCCACATTTCTCATAGTACAAGTCTGCTTTCAGTGAATTCTCTGAGCTTTTGTTTGTCTGGAAAGTATTTATTTTGCCTTCATTTTTTGAAGGTATTTGTGGCTGGGCGTAGACTTCTGGGTTGACAGTTAAAAAAAAAATTCTAGCCAAACATTCTGCCTGCTGAGAAGTGTTTTTTTGACACAGGGACTGATTTCCTGCCCTGTGAGACCCCTCATTTCTGACCACTGAATGCCAGCAAGATTCTCCACAAACACACACATACCAGATTACAGTCAGTCTCTGCCTTGCCTTAATACATTTACATGGTTGAATGGAGAGTTCCTCCTTTGCTAATACAGCCTATATGAGCCTGAAGGAGAAGGCATGGTGCTTCCCACTCACATGACTCTTTCCATGCTTAAGGCAGTTTGTATTGTTCCTGAGTTTCTGTGCTCAAATGGAATCACTCATTTCTATCTGGGTCAAGGAGCTCAGTTAGGATGCTATTATCCAGGCAAAGGTGATGGTTGTGTGAATATAACTTCTTATTGGGTTGGTTTAGTTAAATTATGATGAACTGAGAAGATTTAAATACGTGGGGTTAGAGAGAAATAACACAGACTGTGAGCCAATCTCAGCTTCCCTTTTCTTCTTTTTTGTGTGATAGAATCGTAATTTGTAGCTGGGCACATTGTTGCTCTGTGAAAAAAAAGATTACATTTTTAAGTTCTTTTTGTAGCAAGATGTAGCCATATCACTATATTAAGATTAGTGAAAGTTGAAGCATTGTGAAAATTCTAGAAAGTATTATTGAAAGGACTGAGCCCTGCTTTACCTCTTTCCTACTGGCTATTATGTACATTTGATGGCAGGAGCTCAAACAGCCATTTTGGGCCTGGAAGTGGAAGGTGCATTTTGAGAATGACAGGTCATTAAGATGGAAAGAGCCCCTGACGTTATGAAACTATACACTGGACTGACTATATCTGGACTATTTTTTTTTTATGAGGATACATTCACTTTCTATCTTGTATAAGCCATTGCTTTTGTCTGTTTTTGTTCTTGTCTTATGTGGCTGCATGCAGCTGAACCTGATCCTGACTAATGAAGAAAGTGTGATAAAGAGGTTTTTAATCCTGGAAGACTGAGCAAATAGTGATACATTTGATAAAGTTATGGAATACAGAAGAAACAAACAGGGGCTTCTGAGGGTACATAATACTTAACTATAAAACAACTATATACTATTAATAATATGGAAAAAATCTCTTCAATGAAAGTTTTTTTATCATAAAAATATTCAAGTTGTATTTGAATCTTTTGTTTTCTGAGGCATAAGCATTAATTGCATACATTAATTACTTTAGGAATTTGATGACTTAGTCTTATGTCATAGTGGAGCTCTGATATATCAAGGCTCCTTCTGCTTCATACTCCTGTCCGTATTAGTTTGTTTTCATGCTGCTGATAAAGACATACCCAAAACTTGGAACAAAAAGAGGTTTAATTGGACTTACAGTTCCACATGGCTGGGGAGACCTCAGAATCATGGCGGGAGGTGAAAGGCACTTCTTACATGGTGATGGCAAGAGAAAAATGAGGAAGAAGCAAAAGCGGAAACCCCTGATAAACCCATCAGAGCTCGTGAGACTTATTCACTATCAAGAGAATAGCACAGCAAAGACTGGCCCCCATGATTCAGTTACCTCCCTCTGGGTCCCTCCCACAACACATGGCAATTCTGGGAGATAGAATTCAAGATGAGATTTGGGTGGGGACACAGCCAAACCATATCACTGCCTGTTAATGGAAGTACAGGTTTCAGCCACCTTCTTGAATTACAAAGAATTTTTTTTTTTTTTAGGTTTTGGGATGCTCAAAAGATATGTTGAAATAAAACATGGAAGAATGCATGATATGTTGGAACTATTTATAAAACACTATTTTCTTTTTGGATTAGGTCTTTTGCCTCAATCACTAACTATTGAATAACTTTTATCATGTGTTTTGAACTTTAATGTCAATTTTTGTCAAATACATGTAGGGAAAATTAATTCCATTTACTTTTTTTGCTTTATTTATCATCATAAAACTTTCAAATGCCAGTAATTTGGGAGTGTAGATTTCACAGTCCTTTTTTATTCTTTAAGCTATTCAGAGAATTTTTAGGATGCAGGTATATGTTTATATATATTTACTCTCTCCCTCTGATCTTTCTCTCTCAGGACAAATATGGTGGATTTGTAATGGTAGTTTTAAGCTTGAAGCTATCGAGGAAGCACTTTAAAATGTCTTAGGCAAGCTTGTTTTTCCTATTTTCTTGTCTGATAGTAATGAAAGCTGAGTGTCTCTTTTTATGCCTTTTAAAAAATGTCTTCTCTAGATGTTGGCAAACAAGTTGGAATATGAATGAACCATGAAATCGTTCATGGCAATTACTGTGGGAGGGAATAGGAAACTTCAGGGCAGATTCTGAGCTAGAGCTGATTTAATGCATCCTGGGGAAGCATTGGTCACTACTCAGGTAGCTTTGATGAGGTAAGTTAATAGCAGAGGATACTGCCAGAAACAAGCATGGATAAAGGAAGAAAAGAAATGAAAACAGTAAGACTATTGATTATAAAGTATAGGAGGGAATAGGATTTGGGGCCTCAGTGGAAATCCTTAGAGGCCAGAGGCTCTAAAAGCTGGGACTGCTTCATTTTTCCTTTGATATAATAGTCATTAAAAAACAATAGTAAGGCACAGCTAGTATCAACATGGGAACTCACTATATCAATTTTTTAAATACTTGTATTATAGGGTAGTACCATATACAGAGCCTTTTTCTCGTTGAAAACAAAGGCAAGCATGCTTTGAACTGAATTGACAGCTTTGTGCCTGTACAGATAAATATAACACTTTTCAGGTATTAATTCATGAATAGTCAATGAACCAGTAAAGGACAAAAAGTGACATATGGCAGCCTGGTGTGGATTAAGTGTGACTGTCACATTCCGCTCCCCACCTTTTTCCTTTCTCTAATTTATTAAAAGAAACAAAGCCGGCCGGGCGCGGTGGCTCACGCCTGTAATCCCAGCACTTTGGGAGGCCGAGGCGGGCGGATCACGAGGTCAGGAGATCGAGACCACGGTGAAACCCCGTCTCTACTAAAAATACAAAAAATTAGCCGGGCGCAGTGGCGGGCGCCTGTAGTCCCAGCTACTCGGGAGGCTGAGGCAGGAGAATGGCGTGAACCCGGAAGGCGGAGCTTGCAGTGAGCGGAGATCGCGCCACAGCACTCCCGCCTGGGCGACAGAACGAGACTCCGTCTCAAAAAAAAAAAAAAAAAAAGAAACAAAGCCAGAACACATAGCCAGAACACAGTACCTCCAGAAAAATTTACTTAAGGGAAGTCTTAACAGAAGAGAGTTTATTCATTAAATGTCTCATCTACTGTTTGGTTGTTTATGTTAATTGAAATTTTATTCAAAATGAAAATTTGACTGGAAGTCTTCAAATAAAGTTAAGCTGGTAAAGCAGTTTTTGTTTTTTAAAATTATTACTAAACCAGTATTTCCAAATAAGTAATATTTAGCCAGTTGTGTTAATTTTGCCAGAATGTTTCTCTGTAAATAAACTACAGGTGTAGCCTGTTTCTGTGCATTTTAGTACATAAACCAAAATAGAAAGCATTCTTGATTTTTTTGTATCAACCAGGATTTGTTAAAGATAGTGATTTATTATTTTTAGCAAATAATCAGATTTTATAGAAATTTCTTGGTGACTTTGAGGTGTTTACAGTAGTGTTTGGAGGAACTCTTAATGGGGAGGTATTTGTTCACAACCCAATTAATAACCCTACCACTTAAAAAACATCAGTCTTCTTGGCTGCTAATGAAGGTTGTGGTGTTAATTTGGTGAGACAGTTTGTACCTTGCTTTTGTCTGGGTTTGTTCCAGGACTCTGATTCTGACAGATTTAACACTGGAGAGGGTCTTCATAGCCTGATTCTCCAGCTCTCTCAATTCTACTCTAGTCTTTCCAAATCATTTGAAATCAGCAGAAGAATTAGCAGTAAGTTTTGATTAAGTACTTGTGATATAATCAATTAATATTTGTTTGGAATAGCTCCCCAACTTTCCCTACCCACCCCACCGCAAACCAAAAGATTCTGGAAACTTGCTCCTAGAATTGCAGCTTTCCTTCTGATATGAGAAAATTGTTGATATATATGTAAAGCATGTAGATCTTGTGTTGTAGATGTTTTAATGACACGTCAGAAATTAAAATCTCATTTGGGTTGGATCTGTAATGTTGGACACCAGATGATGGTGAGAAGTCAAGTTTGAGAGTAGGATGTCTATAGGGCACCCCTTTGCCTCTTCCAGAGCATTTACAATGATTTTTGTGATGGAATTTGCCACTACTGGAAATGACCATGGTGGAGAGGTTATAAGAGACACACATTTTATTTATTCTTTTCCTTTTTTTTTTTTTTTTTTAAGAGATGGGAGTCTTGTTCTGTTGCCCAGGCTGCTGGATTATAATGGTGCAATTATGAATCACTGCAGCCTCAAACTCCTGGGCTCAAGTGATCCTTCTGCCTCGGTTTCCCAAAGTATTGGCATTACAGGTGTGAGCCACTGCTCACTAACTAGTGAGCTAGTTTTCACTGCTAGAAAAACTAGCCTTGTTTTTCTTGGTAGAGAATCTCTCACTCTCTTCACTGATGGCTTCAGAGGGAGATGAATGTGAAGATAATAAAGTCTAAAGTTTCTTCAGAGCTCAGTCTGTCTCTCTGGGGTCCCATTGCCTATTTCAGATTCTGAATGGTATTTCAGGCTACCCCAAAAGTGTCAGATCTGGTCAAGAGTGTTGTTCTTATGTACTATAGAGTGTGCCACTTTTTGAGCAAGCAGTCAAGTATGGTAGTTAAGAGCATGCACTGTGAATCTTTGCTATAAGATGGTGGCGTCTTGTACTTTCCAGACATGTTATTTTCCACTTTCAACCCCTTGCTCTTTATAGCCTTCATTGAGAAGAGGGGTCTCTATCCTTTCCTCTTGAATTTGCACTGGCTCACGACTAGCCACAACTAGATTATGACCAATAGAATATGGTGAAAGTAATGCACGATGACTGAGGCTAAGTCAGAAAAGGCAGTGCAGCCTTCACCTTGTTTTCTGGGACACTTGCTTTTGGATCTCTGTGCTGCCATGTATGATGCTTGGCTATTCTGAAGCTGCAATGCTGTGAAGAAAGCTCAGGCTACAGAGAAAGGCTATATGTAGGACCCTAGTTCAGGGGTCCCCAATCCCATTCACCCACTCCCGGCCGCACAGCAGGAGGTGAGCTCTGCCTCCTGTTAGATCAGCAGCTATATTGAATTCTTATAGGAGTGCGAACCCTGTTGTGAGCTGTGCATATGAGGGATGTAGTTTGAGTGCTCCTTATGAGAATCTAATGCCTGATGATCTGAGGTGGAAGGTTTTATCCCAAAACCATCCCCCTGCCTCCTCTGTGGAAAAAAAATTACCTTTCTTGAAACTGGTCCCAGTGTCAAAATGGATGGAGACTGCTGCCCTAGTTGACAGCTCCAGTTTAGATTCTAGCCGACAGTAGCATCAACAATCGCACATGTAAGTGATTTCCTCAAATGATTCCGGTCCCATTGAGTCATCCCTAATTGTTGTGTCTTTTCAGTTGTGACCTCAAACATTGTTCCTTACCTTTGTGTTTGCTCTAAATTACTGACCCACAGAATTCATGCGTATGATAAAACTGTTTTTTCAAGTTGCATTTTGGTGACTTTCTTATGCAGCAAGAATAAAAACTTTGGCAAATTCTTGACTTTTGTGTCCCCTAGTTTCCAATCTTTAAAATGGTGATAATAATAGTACTTCTTCAGAGAAATGAGTTAGTATGTGTAAAGCACTTAAAACAGTACCTGGCACATAGTAAAGGTACTAAATTTGAACTACTTACTGAGAGAAATTCATTAGACTATTAAATGTTTTTTTTTTGAGACAGAGTCTCGCTCTGTCGCCCAGGCTGGAGTGCAGTGGCGCAATCTTGACTCACTGCAAACTTCACCTCCCAGGTTCATGCCATTCTCCTGCCTCAGACTCCCGAGTAGCTGGGACTACAGGTGCCTGCCACCATGCCTGGCTAACTTTTTGTATTTTTTTAGTAGAGATGAGGTTTCACCGTGTTAGCCAGGATGGTCTTGATCTCCTGACCTCGTGATCCACCTGCCTCGGCCACCCAAAGTGCTGCGATTACAGGCGTGAGCCACTGTGCCTGGCCAACTACTAAATGTTTTTGGGAGCATAGTTATGTTAAAAATAGTGAGCTCAGGGTTACTTTACTAATGAAATGATCATTATGATATGTAAAAAGGAAAAAAAACACAACTATATGACTTTTCTTAATTTGAAGTTATTTTCCACATTTGAGGAGTTAACGATTCTGATAATTGTTCTCAAGAGTATCAGTTGGTGGCTGGGCATGGTGGTTCATGCCTGTAATCCTAGCACTTTGGGAGGCCGAAGCTGGCAGATCACTTGAGGTCAGGAATTTGAGACCAGCCTGGCCAACATGGTGAAACCCCATCTCTACTAAAAACCCCATCTCTACAAAAATTAGCCAGGCGTGGCGGTGGGCACCTGTAAACCCAGCTATTCAGGAGGCTGAGGCACAAGATCACTAGAATTTGGGAGGCAGAGGTTGCAGTGAGCCAAGATCGTGCCATTGCACTCCAGCCTGGGCGACAGAGCAAGACTGTGTCTCAAAAACAAACAAACAAAAAACCCCAAAAAACAAACTATCAGCTTGTATAGGTAGGCTGTCTCCTCAAAATAACCTTGGCTTTCCTTGCTTGCCTGTTTATAGCTACCTATGAATTAAATGCTTTTGAAATGCATTTGTCATTTCCTTGATTATCTAGAATGACAAATTCTGTGTTTACTCGATAGAGTAGAACTTTAAAAAAAATCATCCTAAAATGTCATGTTCAAACTTTAAGTGATGTGGAGAAGAAATCAGTGTTTATATCATTATGTATAAAATCATTATAGACATTTATACTTTTCAGATGTTTACAATAATTATGTCTCAATTTTCATCTTTCTGTTGTGAAAGAATTCGGATTACTTCACTTTCTGTAATAGTACCTGTCACCGTGACATTTTAGTTGACCATGTTCAAACAGAGATCAATATCAACTTCTTTGTTTAAAAAATGTACCTATTGAAAAATATTTACTTTAGGCTAGCCATGTATGATATGCTTTCTTCCAGTTTCTCATTAAAATATGCGTATAGTTCCATAATGGCATTGAGAAAAGTAGTGATCAATAATTTCTCAGTTTTAAAGTTGTTTCTACTAACTACTTACTACATTGGAGTAGACTAAGAAAGTCTTAGTGGTCTGTTTATGGTTTGACTTCTAAAACAGGAGATTAACGTGGGAAGTGGGTAGGAAGAGGCTTTGATCTATTCCTGTTGTTCATACCTTGGAGACATGGGTTACCATGAATGACTATGGGAACTTGCACTATTTCGTTCATATTATGTATTTTATTACATATTAAAAGCCCATTAACCTCCTTAGAGATTTTTCTCTCTCCCAACTCTTCCAAACCCGCACGTTCCACACTATTTTTTATACATCTATTCAGAGACTAAATTTCCAATGTGCAATATGGAAGAGAATGAAAAGAAGGTGTTAGGATATTACATTCCAGGGATGTGATGTAGCAGTAGATGTGGTGTTAAGAAGAACCTTAAAAGGAGTGTGCTTTTGGGTTTTCAGGTTATCATTTATTTTCTGTTAAAAGACAAACTACAGAATGTTCCTGTTGATGTAGGAATGAATTCTCATAATATGAGAAGAAAGGAATAATAGATTTTAAATCAGCCCAACTTGGTTGTACTGCCTGCTTAGTACTATAAATTCAGCCATGGACTGTGTGTGTCAGCCTGTACACTTAAAACCTAACCAAATTAAGTGTGAGCAAATTTTCACCATCCACATTGATAGTGATGGGAATCAAGGGCAGTCTACAATACCCTGCCATTAAAAATTGTACCTTATTTTTGCAAGGATGATTTTCATGGGGACTATGAAAGAAATCTGTGTGAAAGATATCTCCGTAAAAGAAGGGAACCATTTCCCCAAAGATGCGGAAGAAAATCTTAAAAATAATATTGAATATGATTTATTACGATGTACAAAAGATATTTGTGAGAAGTGTCAGATTTTATTCTTAGTAACAGAGCAAAAAATATGACCTCTAGGAAACCAAAACAAAGTTATAACAAAAAATCAGAATGAGATTTTAAAAGGAGCTGGAATAAAGATGACCAAAAGAAAACAGTGACAACAATCTAAAAATGCAATAGCCAAAATCTGTAATGGCAGTTGCACATAGCAGAGCTGATCCTGCAGAAAATGGAGTCAATCCTATATACGATGAATGGGTCAATCCTATAGTATTTATTTGAGATTTTTTTAGGAGGAGAAAAAAATGACAGAAATGATGAGGGTAAAAATGACAGATACTGAAGACAGAGAAGTGCCATACTGATGAATAAGTTCCTAATGGAGAAACCAGAATAAATGGAACAGAAGCAAAATATAAAAGCAGAAGGAAACTTTCTTGAGCTGAAAAGTACCCCCCTCCCCAGAGACAGGGTCTCACTATATTGCCCAGGCTGGAGTGTAATGGGGCAATCTTTGCTCACTGCAACCTCTGCTTCCTGGGCTTAAACCATCTTCCCATCTCAGCCTCCCGAGTAGCTGCAACTACAGGCACACGCCACCATACTTGGCTAATTCTTTTGTATTTTTTGTAGAGATGGGGTTTTGCCATGTTGCCCAGGCTGGTCTCGAACTCCTGGGCTCAAGTGATTCTCCTGCCTCTGCCCCTCACAGTGCTGGGATTACAGGTGTGAGCCACCATGGCCCAGCCACTTCAGCTGAAAAGTTCTGAAGCTGTAGTTCCACAGCGTAGGCTTATTGTAGGCAAAATTAATGAAAATAAATCTCTGTCTGTCTCAATTCTGGTAGCATTTATAATTTTTGGAGATAAAGGGAAAAACTCATAGATTTAAAAACACATAGGCTACTCTAATGATATAGAAGTCAGTCTTACTTCATTGCAGATTTCTTTTTATTTATCCTGCAATGCATTCATTTGGCTTCTTAAATCTATGATTTGGTAATTAGTTCTGGAAAAAGCCACTAACTGATAAAGTGTTTCTTTTCTCTATTCAGTTTTTGAAACTTTAATTAAAGACGTTTTGGGCCCTCTTTTATACCCTTTACATTTCTTATGCTCTCCTCCCTACTTACTTTTTTTTTTTTTTTTTTTGTCTCCCTGTCCCAAATTCTGTATGGTAACTTCCAAGTGTGTGCTGGTGAAATGGCTCTCCGGGGAAAAAGAAGCCCTGATTTGTAGCATTTGTTGATTTCCATAGTATAAATATCCTTATCAAGGGTAGTTTCAGGCAACCAATTTGACTTTACTGATGCAGAATTAGGAAGAGCTACACATAATTGGTTCTTGAAAGCTTATTCAAACTACTTCCAGCATATCTCTAGACTTGTCTTTTGTCTTTCCATTATTTATTATCTCTGAAGGTGAATCTAATCTGTTAAACCTTTCCATTCAGTTCTTAGTTGGAGTTATATTTTATTTTTAGTTCTAGAGTCTCTATTTTTTCTTTTAGAAATCTGTTACTATTTATAGTGTTTAGTTCTCTGCTAAATGTTTCCAACCTGTCATTTTATTTCTTCTGTCACAGAAAACACATAGAATCTGCATCTGATAATCCACTTTCTAAGGTTCTTTCCTGACCCCTTTTCCTTTCTGCTGCTTCTTATTCCTACATTTCTTGCATACTCCACTATCCTTGACTGGGGCCTGGATATTGCATTTGAAGAATTATTTATAAGACTGATTTTAAGTCCACAGCGTAGGTACTTAGACAGTGTGCACTTGTGTCTGACCGAAACTTGGGAGTATTCTAGTCCAGGGGATGATTACAGACCCAAGTTTGAAGTTTGAGAAAAGCAGTGTGATGTTAGACCATAATCTAGTTCATGTCATTCTCACTGTGAGGATGTGCCCCTTTAGGATTCCAGTTTATTGTGAGGAGAATCTCAGATTAGATGGCCCTTGTTGTGTGGCCCTCAGCTTTATTTCTATCTTGGTCACCCTGAGAATCTTTTAAAACATAGGTTCTAGTTTCCCATGACCAATAAAGATACTTTAGAGGAAATGTGGTTTCAGAACTTGCTTTTCATGCTGAGTTTTCATTCTCCTTGTACTTTTTTTTTTGTGGTAAAATATAACATAAAATTTAGCATTTTTTTTTTTTTTTTTTTTTTGCAATGGAGTTTAGCTCTTGCCCAGGCTGGAGCACAGTGCTGCGATCCCGGCTCACTGCAACCTCCGCCTCCCGAGTTCAAGTGATTCTCCTGCCTCAGCCTCCCCAGTAGCTGGGACTACAGGCGCACGCCACCATGCCCAGCTAATTTTTTGTATGGGGTTTCACCATGTTGGCCAGGCTGGTCTCGACCTCCTGACCTCAAGTAATCAACCCGCCTTGGCCTTCAGAAGTGTTGGGATTACAGGCGTGAGCCACCACGCCTGGCCCTCAAGATACTTATAAATTTTCCTTTTGATTTTTCTTTGACTTAAAGGTGGAATTGGTGGATCATATGGTAATTCTGTGTTTAATTTTTTGAGGAACTGCCATATTTTCCACAGCAGCTGCACCATGTTATATTCTCACCAGTAATGCCATAATGGTTACAGTTTCTCCACATTCTAGCCAACATTTGTTATTTTCTATTTTTTTTTAAATAATTGCCATTCTAATGGGTGTGAAGTAGTGGTGTCTTATTGTGGTTTTGATTTGTGTTTTTCTGATGATGTTGAGCATCTTTTCATATGCCTATTGGCCATTTCATATCTTCTTTGAAAAAACATCTGTTCAAATCCTCTTCCCATTTTTGAATTTGCCTATTTTTTGTTGTTGAATTTTAGGAGTTCTTTATATATTCTATATAGTAGTCCATTATCAGATGTGTGAGTTGCAAATATTTTTTCCAGTACTGTGGGTTGCCTTTTAACTCTGTTGATAGTGTTTTCAGTTTCGATGTAGTCCAGTTTTGTCTATTTTGTTCTTTTGCTGCTTGTGCTTTTGATATCATATCCAAGTAATCATTGCCAAATCAAATGTGACAGAACTTTCCCCATATGTTTTCTTCTAAGAGTGTTATACTTTTAGCCCTAATGTTTATGTATTTGATCCATTTTGAGTTAATTTTTGTGTATGTTGTAAGCTAAGGGTCCAACTTCATACTTTTGCATGTGGATATTTATTTTCCCAGTGTTATTTGTTGAATTCTCTTTTTAGTTTTTACTTGGTAATTTCTTACTATCTTGTAATTTTTCAGTTCTTTTGAAAAGATGTTTTAAAATACTTTATACAAATTACTAAGTTGTTTTCAACAGGAAGGTTCATCTCTCAAACCCAACTCACTGTTATTAGTAATAGGAAAAATTTAGTGTTTCAAATCAACTTGATGAGAACACATGTGCTACCTGAATCCTCTAGGAGGGAAATTGCCTGTAGTCAGTGTTGTTAGTTTTTAAATACTGTTTGGTTGCAATTTTCATGGGAAAAAGGTACAGCTCATTAGCACATATCTGTATCTATATATGTATATATTTTGTATAACTAAATTCAGTAGGCTGAATTTCATCTTAGATTATAAACCTTTTTAAGTATTAAAAGACTTGTTAGAGGAGCAAATTACAATTTTTTTTTTTTTTTTTTTTTTTTTAAGACAGAGCCTCCCTTTCTCACCCAGGCTAGAGTGCAGTGGTATATGATCTTGGCTCACTGCAACCTCCTTCTCCTAGATTCAAGCGATTCTCTTGCCTCAGCCTCCTGAGTAGCTGAGATTACAGGCATGCACCACCACACCCAGCTAATTTTTGTATTTTTAGTAGAGGTGGGGTTTCACCATGTTGGCCAGGCTGATTTCGAACTCCTGACTTCAGGTGATCCACCCTTCTTGGCCTCCCAAAGTGCTGGGATTACAGGCGTGAGCCACTGAGCCCAGCTACAGAACAAAGATACAATTTTTTGTCAAGGATATGGGAATCATTAAAGCATTCCTGTTTCTCTCTTTTATTTGGCAAACCTCTGTTTTATTATCCCAAAACTTACTAAATAATAATTTTTCCTTTTTTGGTCATTAAATAAGTTCATACACCACATATATTAAATAAACGGTGTTAGAGTTTGTCCTTCCTTTTATGTTGTTAACTGAAATGGGTTTCTTTCCCAGATGTTTTAAAAGAGCATTTGTTGAGGAATAATGTAGTTTTTAAAGACTCCACAGTTTCTTTACCAATGCTGTAAAAGTTATGTTTAGAAAGAATTGAGTATTTTTCTCTATAGTATTTCCATGAACTTTCTTCTAATATTCAACATGAGAAATCTGAAAATGCTTACAAGAAAAACATATAGAAAGCAAAGAATTCTTAAGGCCAAGAAAGTGGAACATTAAGCATTTTGATCTGTTAGGCATCGTACAAAGGATGAAGAGACCCACCCCAAGGGGACTTAACAGTTGGCAAGGACAACCATAGTATCATAAATAAATTAAGCTAGAAAAAATACTAATGCATACTGTACCTCTATTATTTTAAGAGTGTAGAGCTTTCTTACACAATTCTTAGTGATAAATTCTCTTTGCTACCATTGACCATATAGTTTAAAATTTTCAGTTATTTTTTTCAGCCAACTTTGGATGTGTTCTGAAGTTTTTTTTTTTAAATTGACACATATTAATTGTACATATTTATGGGGTACAATGTGATATTTTGATACATGTGTACAATGTGTAATGATCAAGCCATGGTAATTAGCATATCCATCATCTAAAACACATCATTTCTTTTTGTTGGGAACATTCAGTATCCTCTTTTTTGCTGTTTGAAACTATATATTATGTTACCTATAATCATCCTACTGTGCTTTAGAACACTAGAACACTAGAATCTTCTGTTCTACTTTTTACTTATATGAGATCAACTTTTTTTAGCTTCTGCACATGAGTGAAGATGTGGTGGTGAACTTTCTGTCCTAGCCTATTGCACTTAATGTCTTCTAGTTCCATCTGTGTTGCTGTGAATGACAGGATTTCATTCTTTTTTTGTGGCTGAATAGTATTCTATTGCGTATATATACCACATTTTCTTTACCCATTATTCTGTTGTTGGACACTAGGTTGATTCCATATCTTGGCTATTGTGAATAGTGCTGCAGTAAACCTTATTTCTTTTTATTGTTTGTAAGTTTTTCACCCAGTAGGAAATCTGTAAGGCTTAGGTCTTCTATTTAAAATGTCACCTATTTAATCATGTTTAATTAGGTTGATGGAGGGGCAACTTTCCTATTTTTAAAATTTTGAAAACAAAGTGGATACTAATCGTACTTTCTTAAAATGGTATGCTGCTAACATTTTAAATTTAATGTTTTAAGTTGTATTTCTTTTACGAGATTTCTTTATTAGTAGCTACTTTGTTTATGAGGGAGCAGGGATAGGATTCCCATAAGTGAGAATAAGAAGCAGTTATCACCGATGGGTAGTAATTTTTAGGGGTCTGTTAAGGGTCTCTTAATATTAAAGGAATCAGAATAATACCATAATTCTTTTATTTAAATAGTACAAGTGAGCCATTGATTAACATCTGGCTTAGATGTTAATCTAGTGTTAGAATTAGATGTTAGATGTTAGAATTCAGTATAGGATCCCTTGATAAGATTTTTTAATGTAAGTTCTCTTGAACCAGTAGCACCTTTTTTCCCTTCAAAGTGTAATCTTGACATCTCTCTACAATTCAGAGTAGTGAATGGTCCTCAGGTGTTTAGCAGGTAATTTGTTACATGTAAAAATTAAAGTTTGTAATTAATATACCTCTATGCTACAAATTAGGGTGGATTTACACTTACTCTTTTTTTATTTTATTATTATTATACTTTAAGTTTTAGGGTACATGTGCACAATGTGCAGGTTTGTTACATATGTATACATGTGCCATGTTGGTGTGCTGCACCCATTAACTCGTCATTTAGCATTAGGTATATCTCCTAATGCTATCCCTCCCCCCTGCCCCCACCCCACAACAGTCCCTGGTGTGTGATGTTCCCCTTCCTGTGTGATGTTCCCCTTCCTGTGTCCATGTGTTCTCATTGTTCAATTCCCACCTATGAGTGAGAACACACGATGTTTGGTTTTTTGTTCTTGGGATAGTTTGCTGAGAATGATGGTTTCCAGTTTCATCCATGTCCCTACAAAGGACATGAAGTCTTCATTTTTTATGGCTGCATAGTATTCCATGGTGTATATGTGCCACATTTTCTTAATCCAGTCTATCGTTGTTGGACATTTGGGTTGGTTCCAAGTCTTTGCTATTGCTTGAAATAGTTTTGACATGTTTCCTTGAGCAGAGGAGAAAGTGATGGTGTTACAGTGAGTGCACTTATTTATTCTATAGCCTGACAGAGTATTTGTGATTGTAAATGTCATCTGTTTGTGTTGGGGAAGAACAAAAAATGAAGGGCTACTCCTGTGTTCAGGGTTTCTAAGAAAAACACAAAGTGTAATATCTGTTGAAAACAAACTTGGATGATGACTTTTAACCTTTAAAATTACCTTCAGCCAAGCACGTCTATCAACTTTACCAGCTGTTTTGAAAATACCTAATACCTGTGCCATGGTTCAGCTGTGAAGAGGACAGAGTTGGTTTGAATAAGAGTAGTTATAGGAAGTTTGTCCTTAAAAGTCCTGAAGATAAGTCTTGATGCTGAGTCATACATATTTACTCCCTCTGTGACTAACTGAATAAACTCAATTCATCAAGGAAATCGTGTCCTTGACTCAGGTCCATTTGTCACAAATCACACCCTCCAACTTTAGGATTACATCAGACTAAAATTATGGACAAAGCAAGTTGCTATGTTAATTCTTTTCTAACACAAGGAGTGGTTTATCATCACATTGCCCACAGTAATATCATTGCAGTTTTATATGTTTAGGGTGATTTCTCCAACTCTTCCTCAAAATTATAGAGTTTTATAAAGCCATTTTCATTTTTGGAGCAAGAAAGAAGTAAGCTTTGTTGTGTATTAGATGCTTACCACTTGCCAAACGTTGTATTATATGGAACATGAGACAAGTAACACACAGTTTCTACTTGCAGGCAAACAGGACAATATAACACATGAAACAGAATGAAAGTTTACTCAGAGTTGAATTTTAAGAATAGTTTTGATTTTTATCAAAGACCATCTTAGTTATTTATATGTGTTGAAGGTTTATAATCTGTAAATCTGAAGTGTTGGAGCTATTGGGTGGGGGAGAAAGAAGACTTAAAAATTCTACTTAGGAAGCTATTTGTAAACTCCCTTTTTTGTTTTTAACTTTTAGGTTGAGGGGTACATGTGCAGGTTTGTTATATAGGTAGATTTTGTGTCACAGGGGTTGGATGTACAGATTATTTTGCCACCTACGTAATAAGCATAGAACCTGATAGGTAGTTTTTCTGTCCTTACCTTCCTCCCTCCCTCCCTCCACCTTTAAGTAGGTCCTGGTGTCTGTTGTGCCTTTCTTTGTGTCTATACATATCCAATGTTTAGCTCCTACTTAGAAGAGAGAACCTGTGGTATTTGGTTTCCTGTTCCTGTGTTAATTCACTTAGGATAATGGCCTCCAGGTCCATCTGTGTTGCTGCAAAGGACATGATCTTGTTCTTTTTTATGGCTACATATTATTCCATGGTGTATATATACCACATTTTCTTTATCCATTCCACCATTGGTGGGCATTTAGGTTGATTCCATGTCTTTGCTATTGTGAATAGTGCAGTGATGAACATACGTGTGCATGTGTCTTTATGGAAGAGCAATTTTTATACCTTTGGGTATATACGCAATAATGAGATTGCTGGGTCAAATGGTAATTCTGCTTTGCGTTCTTTGAGAAATTGCCAAACTGCTTTCCACAATGGCTGAACTAATTTACATTCCTACTAGCAGTATGTAAGTGTTCCCTTTTCTCCGCAACCTTGCCAGCATCTGTTATTTTTTGACTTTTTAATAATAGCCATTTTCACTGCTGTGAGATGGTATCTCATTGTGGTTTTCATTTGCATTTATCTCATGATTAGTGATGTGGAACTTTTTTTCATATGCTTCTTGGCCACTTACATGTCTTCTTTTGAAAAGTGTCTGTTCATGTCCTTTGCCCACTTTTTAATGGGGTTGTTTATTGATTTAAGTTGCTTATAGATTCTGGATATTAGACCGTTGTTGGATGCATAATTTGCACATATTTTCTTCTGTAGGTTGTCTGTTTACTCTGTTGATAGTTTCTTTGCTGCACAGAAGCTCTGAAGCTTAATTAGATCTCACTTGTCAATTTTTGCTTTTGTTACAATTGCCTTTGGCATCTTCATGAAATCTTTGCCGTGTCCTATGTCCAGAATGTATTTCCTAGGTTATCTTCCAGAGTTTTTTTAGTTTTAGGTTTTACATCTAAGTCTTTAGTCCATCTTGAGTTGATTTTTGTATATGGTGTAAGGAAGGAGTCCAGTTTCAATCTTCTGTATATGGCTAGCCCATTATTTCAGCACCATTAATTGAACAGGGAGTCCTTTCCCCATTCTTTGTTTTTGTTAACTTTATCAAAGATTAGATGGTTGTAGGTGTGCGGCATTATTTCTGGGTTCCCTGTTCTGTTCCATTGGTATATGTGTCTGTTTCCTTCTTTCTGTCTCTCTCTCTTTTTTTTTTTTTTTTGGTTTGAGATGGAGCCTCGCTCTGTTGTCAGGCTGGAGTGCAGTGGCGTGATCTTGGCTCACTGCAACCTCTGCCTCCTGGGTTCAAGTGATTCTCCTGCCTCAGCTTCCTGAGTAGCTGGGACTACAGGTGTGCACCACCATGCCCAGCTAATTTTTGTATTTTTAGTAGAGATGGGGTTTCACCATGTTGGCCAGGATGGTCTCCATCTCTTGAACTCGTGATCTGCCCGCCTTGGCCTCCCAAAGTGTTGGGATTACAGGCGTGAGCCACTGTGCCTGGCCTGTTGAGGGTTTTTAATATGAAGGGATGTTGAATTTTATTGAAAGCCTTTGAGTTTGGGGATGATCATGTGGTTTTTGTTTTTATTTCTGTTTATGTGATGAATCACATTTATTGATTTGCATATATTGAACCAACCTTGCATCCCAGGAATAAAGCCTACTGATGGTGGTGGGTTAGCTTTGGATGTGCTGCTAGATTCGATTCGCTAGTATTTTATTGAGGATTTTTGCATCTGTGTTCATCAGGGATCTTGGCCTGCAGTTTTCTTACTGTGTCTCTGCCAGATTTTGGTATCAGAATGATGCTGGACTCAAATAATGAGTTAGGGAGGAGTCCATCCTTCAATTTTTTCAAACAATTTCGGTAGTATTGTTCCATACTAGCTCTTCTTTGTATGGGGTTGTTTTTGCATGTTGAATTGTTTCAATTTCTTACAGATTCTGGTTATTGGACCTTTGTTGGATGCATAGTGTATTAGTCTGTTCTCATGCTGCTATGAAGAAATACCCAAAACTGGGTAATTTATAAAGAAAAGAGGTTTCATTTACTCACAGTTCCACGTGGCTTGGGAGGCCTCAGGAAACTTAGAATCATGGCAGAAGGCACTTCTTCACAGGGCAGCAGGAGAGAGAATGAGTGCAAGCAGTGGAAATGGCAGACGCTTATAAAACCACCAGATCTCATGAGACTCACTATCACGAGAACAGCATGGGGGAAACTGCCCTGTGATCTGATTACCTCCACCTGGTCTTGCCCTTGACACATGTGTATTACAGTCCAAGATGAGGTTTTGGGTGGAGACACAGCCAAACCATATCACGTAGTTTGCAAATATTTTTTCTCGTTGTAGAAAAATATTTATCTCATGGCCTGCAGCCATGAGCATGGAGTGTTTTTCCATTTGTTTGTGTCATCTCTGATTTCTTTGAGCAGTATGTTTTGTAGTTCTCCTTGTAGAGACTTTAACCTCCTTCATTAGATATATTCCTAGATACCTTCTTTATTTTTTCGTGGCCATTATAAATGGGATTCTTTGTTCATTTTTAATTGGGTTGTCTTTTAATTATTGAGTTAACAATAGTTCTTTATATGTATTCTAGATACAAGTCCATTGCCAAATATATGATTTGCTTTTTTTTTTTCCGTTTCTGTGGGTTGTTTTCACTTTCTTCATGGTGTCACAAGTATTTTTAATGTTGTTAAAGTCCAATTTATCTATTTGTTTTTTGTCACTTGTGCTTTTGGTGTTATATCAAGGAACGATTGTCTAATCCAAGCTAATGAAGACTTATTCTCATGTTTCTTCTAGGAGTTTTAGAATTTAGTGCTTACATGTAGGTCTGTGATTCATTTTCAGTTGATTTTTGTGTATGGTGTTAGGAAGGGTTCCAACTTCATTTATTATTTTGCATGTGGATATCCAGTTGTCTCAGCATCATATGTTGAAAAGACTATTCATTCTTTCTCTATTTTATTGTCTTGGTACTCCTGTTGAAAATCAAATGACCTTGGATAAAAGGGTTTACTTCTGAACTCTCATCAGATGTTTTTAAATGGCAGTTTTAATTTTAATAAATTTACTGATAATTTATTGGAGAAATGATTATGAAACACATCCTGTGAGCCAGGCACTACCTTAGCTTGCAGAGTTATGGCAGTAAACAAGAGAGAGACTCCCTTGACCTTGCAGATTACATTTTAGTGGAGAATGAAAAGATATGTGAAGAATATAAAACACTTGGGAACATTAATTAGAGAAGGATAAAAGTATATGTTTGTGGGCATTACATTGTTTTCTTCACATAGCCCTCTATGTCTCTTTTAGTGCATTTAGCTCTTCCTGCCATGTCTATAGTTAATATTTTTATATGCATGTGTAATCTACCCGACTAGGCTAAACACTTCTTCAGGTCAAGGTCTGTCTTTGCCAGTCTCTCCCATCTAGATATAGTACGTGTTTAGTGGGTATGTGATGAATGAATAAATAGATTAATTACTTTTGGGGACTGAGTTTATGATGAAAATTTTTTTTTTTTTAGACCAAGTCTCACCCTGTTGCTCAGGCTGTAGTGCAGTGGTGCAGTCTCGGCTCACTGCAGCCTCTGCCTCCCAGGTTCAGGTGATTCTTCTGCCTTAGTCTCCCAAATAGCTGGGACTACAGGTACCCACCACCACACCCAGTTAATTTTTTTCTGTATTTTTAGTAGAGATCATGTTTCACCATGTTGGCCAGGCTGGTCTTGAACTCCTGATCTCAAGTGATCCTTCTGCCTCGGCCTCCCAAAGTGCTGGGATTACAGGCGTGAACCACTGTGCCTGGCCTGAATGTTTTATACACATCCATTAATATATGCATAAACCTTTAAAATATCCATGTTATTCAGAGCTGTTACAATAGTTTGGAAATAAGAGTGGAATCCTTTATATTTGTGTTACTCTAGGTTACACTTCTTTTTTTATCTAGAATCTCAAGCTAAGTCTCCCTGCTTCAGCCCAGATTTCTATTTGGTACTTAACCTCAGCCAGGGCCCCGCTTTCCTTTCCTTCCTCACTCAAGTAATTTCAGCCCTCATTCTGTCCATAATGAGTCACTGAGCACCTCTCTCATCTGTTTCCGTCAGGGAGTGAACCAATATTTTAAATTTTAACCCAAGAACAGAAACCTGGGCAAGTCCTGGGTAGGGTAAAGTTATTTGATGTGATGGTTTTTTTTTTTTAATTTTTTTTTGGTTTTAAGGAGTGAAAAGTTTAATAGGCAAGAAAGAAGGAAGGAAGAAGAAAACAGCTCCCCTGTACAAAGATAAAGGGAGGGGGCGATTCGAACAAAGAGAAAACCCTGTGTGCGTCAGAAAAGTGGCTGCTTATATGAGGAGGCTAGAGGAGGTGGTGCCTGATTTGCATAGCGCTCAGGGGATTGGTTTGACCAGGCATGTCACTCACGTAGCCCGCGGAAAAAACTGGCCCTCCCACCCTAGCTTTTTAATATGCAAATGCAGGGTGCCATGATGCTCTACACATATGGGGATATGTGGGGGCGGCCGTGTTGCCAGGCACCTGTGAGGCGAGGGGAAGAAGGTGGCAGGAATCACCATGTTTGGGTGGACCCAGTTTCTAATGGCCTGTATTTGCATATCAAAGGTTGCTGACTCGGCTCTAAGAGCTGGGGTTTGCTAGACAAGAAACGTTTCTGGAGCCGCTTTAAAGGAAATGAAAACTTCCCCAAGGACCCCTTTTCCTAGCTGCCTAAAATAATTTCTTAATAAACTCCTATAACATCCCCCCATGTGGAGATGTCACCATAACTGCTCTTAAGGGGTTTTGGGTGATGACTCTTTCTGGCTATTTCCTGCTGAGAAGGGGCATCGAATGGGGAACAGCAGCTAGGGCTTCTCCTGGGGTTGATCTAAGGGTCCTTGGAAGAAAGGTGTGTTCCTGTGTGGTTTAGTTTGCAGCACTATTTGGAGTTTGATTGCTTCTAGGTGAGAGGAAACAATTCAAGTTATAGTATTGAGTATACAGGGTCCAAATATTAATACAAGACATAAGTTCTCTGTCCAATATTTCAGTTAGAAGGTGCTACTCTGTATAACCCTATTGCAAATAGTAGAGTGAGTATAGCAGTTCCCACAAGTGTGGTATAGTAGATAATTTTCATCTAAAATTTTACTTGCCAAGATATTTGGGGATTTATGAAGTTCCTTGGTTTTATTTCCCAAACAAAGAAACCTCAGGGTTATGGGCACCCTACTCACTTTCATTACCTGGCAGAATTTGCAGGATAATTGCCCAGAACCAGCATATTGATCCAGATTTTTATGTTATCCATCCCATTTTGTTTCATCCAAGCTGTAGGAGATCGCCACTTGATTCACAGGAATAAGCAGGGTTAGTCTAAAATGTAGGCAAAAAGCTTAAAAACAATTAGACTAGGATTTAATGACAAATGTATGATAAGCTTTGGAGCACAATTTCTCTCTCCAGTCCTCATTTTTTGTAAAAACAAATTATGATAGGACCGTGTGTGTTGTTTGTAGAATAAATTTTAGTCTTATACTTGGCCTGATTATTTGCATAAAGTGCAGCAAGAGTGGTTATTTCTACATAGGCCTTTTGGATTGGCTTTGATGGAACTCTGTTCCACAGGAATCTCAGATAAGACCTTTAAAGCTGAGCCCAGCCATCCACATGGGTTTGTATCCTCAAATACCTGTGAGTTGGGTGATCTCCTCTTGAGGTCCCAAGATAAACTTGGAGCTGCTGGACCTGTTAGAAAGTGACATTCTTTACTGACGACAGGTTAAGATCTCTGTTCATGGACTGTGTAGACAAGGTATGAGGCCAGTACTCCCCAAGGGGCTTTTATTGGCTCTGCATGTCAAGCTTGATTCCTTAAAGGGAAACACACCCTTTCAGTCAAAGCCTTGGTAAAATAACCAGTTTTACCAATTGTGTCCTGTCGACAAAGAAAAATGGATTCTTATTGCACTGATGGAAACAATTATATTGCTGTAAGTTAAGAGTACTCACAGATAGTTTCCAAATTCTGGAGGAACCAGGCAGAGAAAAAGAAACATGCTCCAAATTTTGTTCACAGGAGCATACCTTATTCAATTATTAAAGGCCATAAATAGTTAAAATAAGTTTCCTGGACTCTGAAAAACAAAACAAGGATCAGCAATATTGCAAGCGAAAGTCAAAAAGGTGGCTTTAACTTTCTGAGTCCAGTCCATTTAATTAGCTCTTGTTTTGCTTGATATTTGTGAACATGTCAGTTCTTTGAGTCCTGTATGTTCTTCCTCTATTCCAGTGTTAACAATCTTCAAGGCTATTAAGAATCTGCATTTGAGAACATCTGTTAAAGTTCTTAATATGGCTTGATTATAAACCGTCTTTTGAGAAGGAACAAAGCAAGACAATTGTCTGTGAATGACAAAATTTCCAGGATACAGTTAAAAACATGTCAGACAAAAGTTTATTTATCTCTGTGGTTTACAATAACTTTACCCTTAATTATGATTGATAGCATATACTTAGACGTTAGAATTTTAGAAATCCCATTCAATTTGGGAACATATATTAGTATTCACCAAAATATAACTTAAAGAAGATTGGAAATATTTTGGCAATCTCATGTGACTAAACATGTCAAATAATCTTTTTTACCTCTTTTCTGAATGTTTCAGGGACCTTCTGAACCATCCAAAAAGCCAGGCATCAGGAAGGACAGTTTTGAAACTTGAAGTTTGATTTTGGGAGGCCTGTTAAATGTTAGAGGTTTAGAACATTTGATGTTATGAAATAGAATTCCAGATTGCCAAATGATGACTCAAAAGGCAAAAACCTTTCATTAGCCTTTACCATGACATGGAAATCCTGTTCAAAGCCAAAGTTTACCCTTGCATTAATTTATTAATGTTAACCCCAATTTGTTTCTATGAAATCTTATAGATCATTGCTTCTAATCATAACCAATTTGACTGGGAGGTGAAATTTTCAC
The DNA here is from genome assembly GCF_000001405.40 of Homo sapiens. NCBI lineage: Eukaryota > Metazoa > Chordata > Mammalia > Primates > Hominidae > Homo > Homo sapiens. Next base: position 43,666,991 of record NC_000007.14, on the reverse strand, counting down.
AAGCCTTTTATAACCCTTTTACTAAAGGGCAGATTAGTGTCTTAAGACCTGCTTGCCATGGTTTTATTTCAATGTCCAATTTGTGAAAAGACCATATAATACCCTTTTGAGTTTAATTAATATTCACTGTTAACTTTTAGCAACTTTTATTTTTGGTGAAAAATCTGGTTAGTAAGCAGTTTTAATTATATACTTGGTGTGGATCCTAGGACCCAGAGAGAAATGCAGATAAAAGTTTGACTTTTCAGCATCCAGCTCTATATGTCCCAGCCTTACCTATCTGTAAAGCAGGCAGTATACAATCTTGGAATGTTTAGCAAACCTAGTATCTAAGTTGTATGATTTAGACCACCTATTTGCATTTTGACGACACTTGCATTTTACCAATAATTCTTAAGACTGTTTTTATTTCTTGAAGTCATGTGAACTAAAAAATATTTAAGTGCTTATTTTTCTTTAAGCCAATTAGAGCTCTTTTTATAGACATTACACACAACACATATATAGCAACACAAACATATAGAAGATTGAGCCCTTGTTAAGATTTTTCATTTGCCAGTTTCTTAATAGGGTTACTGGCTTTAGGGTGGAGCCCTTAGAGAAACAAGGCCAGGTAGCATGCATTTTTTAGGGCCTAATAAGCAGGTACAGCTGAAGGCAAAGACAGATCCCTAAAATTAAGGGTGCCATTTTATACTGGATCTTGGGTCCGTATAAACAGTGTAGTGCTTCTACCATGCTCTTCATTGCAAGGCAACCCAAAGCCAATTGGCTTATTTTGTAATTAGCCCATGTGATGGTTATTTTTGTGTGTCAGCTTTAGTATAAGTATATAACTTAAAGAAGATTGAACATCTTAAGTGGCTAAAAGATGAGCTAAAAGATGTCCAGATGGCTGGTTAAACACAATTTCTGGAGGTATCTGTGAGGGTATTTTCAGAAGAGATTAGCATTTGAATCAGTAGACTGAAGATCTCCCTCACCAATGAGGTGGGTATCATGCAGCACATTGAGGGTCCCAAAAGAACAAAAAGGCAAAAGAAAGGACAAATTTACTCTGTCTGTGATACGATTTGGCTCTGTGTCCCCACCCAAATCTCATTTTGAATTGTAATACCCACGTGTGGAGGGAGGGAGGTGATTGGATCATGGTGGCAGTTTCCTAGATGCTGTTCTTGTGATAGTGAGAGAGTTCTCAGGAGATCTGATGGTTTTATAAATGGCTTTCCTCTGGGCTTTTCACTTTCTCTCCTGCCTGCCGCCATGAAGAGGTGCCTGCTTCCCCTTCTGCCATGATTGGAAGTTTCCTGAGGCCTCCCCAGCCATGTGGAACTGTGAGTCAACTAAACTTCATTTGTTTATAATTATTCAGTCTCAGGTGGTATCTTTATAGCAGTGTGAGAACGAATTAATACACTCTGCTTGAGCTGGGTTTTGCAGAACTCTTCTTAAGTTCTGTGAAACCACACATCTGAATAGGGCACTGCTTTTGTACTTTTTCCTGAAAAGTACAGAAGAGTGATGTATGTGAATGTTTACCTAAGCAATACCTTTCCTGTTTATAGCAGAAGAAGCCATTGTATTTTCTTTAAAGCATGGAATAGTAATGATTTATTTTCCTCACAACTGCAGATCCTTGGATTAATAGTTGATTTTCTTAATTTTGACGCTCTATACTGCTCGTTAAATACTGTGTATAATTTGGGATGTTGAGCAGTATGTTTTGTGATCTCATAAGACATCAGATTTAGATTGAAAGCTCAAATCTTTTCAGGAAAATGTCTGTTTTTTTCCCCATTTTATTGAAGTTGTAGTTCACAGTAGTAATAACGGTGTTATAGTGGATGAAATTTTTTTTTCCACCAAAAGCCATTAACATGTAAAACACATTAATGTTTTTTGAAATGAGCAATTCTCCTATTTTTCATATATTTCTTTTTTATTTTGAGACAGAGTTTCAAAATAATTTTGAAATGAGCAATTCACCTATTTGACTACACAGACTTCCAGTATGCTTGCATAAAAGGAAAAGTCATGTGAGAACATCGGAATTTAGAAGTACTTGAAAGTAAAAGACTGAAGACATAAAGGAAATGTAAGCAGGATGATAAATGTCAGTTGATTTAAACTGACAGGAGCTCTGTTCTGCTTTATAGCATATTCTTGTAGGGAGAGCTGATCCTAGCTGATGGCTAGCTCTGGAGCAGGCTTGTTGAAGCTGTTCATAAATGTATTTATGTTTTTAGAGACAGTATCTCACACTGTCACCCAGACTGGAGTATGGTGGCATGATTATGGTTCACTGAAGCCTTGAACCCCTGGGCTCAAGTGACCCTCCTACTTTAGGCTCCCAAATAGCTGGCATTACAGCAGTGTGCCACCTGTTCATAAATTTAGAACAATATTTAGTGTCAAGTTAGTGATTTTTCTAAGGGTGGAACAGGGATTACTACAAGGTGAACATGCTTCTGTAATCGCCACACAGGTCAGGAAATAAAACGTTATTTATATTCTATATTTCTTTATGTGATGTCTAGACACTATCTTCATATTCCCCAGAGGTAACTACTGTCCTGATTTAAAACACCATAGATTTTATGTGATTTAAAAATATATGGACACAGTATTATTTAGCCTAAAAAAGGAAGGGAATTTGGTCACCTTGATACTATGCGAAGTGAAATAAGCCATAACAAAAAGACAAATAATGGAGCCGGGTGTGGTGTTGCATGCCTGTAATCCCAGCCACTTGGAAGACTGAGGCAGGAGTATTGCTTGAACCTAGAAATTAGAGGCAGTAGTATGCCATGATCACAGCAGTTAATAGCTATTACAATCCAGCCTGGGCAATATAGCAAGACTCTCTCTCTCTCTCTCTCTCTCTCTCTTTCTAAAGACAAATACTAAATGATTCCATTTTTTAAAAAAAATTTATTTTTTGAGACAGGGTCTCTGTCACCCAGGCTGGAGTAAAGTGGCACGATCTTGGCTCACTGCAGCCTCTGACTCCTGGGCTTAAGGGATCATCCATTTTTCTCTTTTTAGTAGAGATGGGGTTTCACCATGTTGCCCAGACTGGTCTCAAACTCCTGAGCTCAAGCCATCTGCCTGCCTTGGCCGCCCAAAGTGTTGGGATTACAGGTGTGGCCACTGTGCCTGGCCTAAATGATTCCATTTAAATGAGGTATCTAAAGTAGTAAAATTCATAGAAGATATTAATAAAATGGTAGTTGCTGGGGCTTGGGGGATGGGGAAATGGAGAGTTGATGGTCAGTGGGTTTTAGGTTTTTTTTTGTGTGTGTGTTTTTTTTTTTTTTTTTTTTTTGAGATAGGGTCTTTATGTCGCAGAGGCTGGAGTGGAGTGGCATGATCATGGTTCACTGTAGTCTCAAACTCTTGGGCTCAAGTGATCCTCTTGCCCTGCCTCAGCCTCCTCAGTAGCTGGGACCACAGGCACGAGCCCGTAAGTTTTTGTCTTTAGTTTTTGATGTAGTAAATCTGTGTTGAAATTCAGAGTTATCGCAGATATCAAGAATTAGTATAAATCTAAATAATTAAGGCAGAGTGGTATTGTCACAAGGATTGACAAATAGATCAGTGGCATAGACTAGACTTGTATTAGGCTGTTTTTATTTTGCTATGAAGGAATACCTGAGATTGGGTAATTTATAAAGAAAAGAAGTTTAATTGGCTCATTATTCTGCAGGCTGTACAGGTGTGGTGCCAGCATCTGCTCAGCTTCTGGCAGGGGCCTCAGGGAGCTTTTACTCATGGCAGAAGGTGAAGTGGGACCAGGTACATCATATGGCAAGAGCAGGAGCGAGAGAGAGCTGGAGGAGGTGCCACATACTTGAAACAACCAGATCTCGCAAGAACTCACTATTGTGAAGATAGCACCAAGAGGATGGTGCCAACTCATTCAAGAGAAATCCACCCCAATCATCCAGTCACCTCCCACCAAGCCCCACCTCCAACATTGGGGATTACATTTAAACATGAGATTTTGGGGGACAAATACCCAAACTATATCAAGACTTTAGAAACAGATCCATACTGGTATGGCACTTGATTTATGACAAAAATAGTAATAACAGAGCAGTTGAGATAGGCCTGAGTTTTGAGACCTTGGGTCTCTTGGTTCCTTAGAGAGGCAATTCTCAAATATTTTGGCGTCAGGGCCCCTTTACATTCTGTTGTTTATGTGGGTTCTATCTATTGCTATTACTGTATTAGAAATTAAAACTGAGAACTGAAAAAATATTTATTCATTTTGAGAAAATAAACCCAGGTAACATTAACATAAATGGCATATCTTTATGAAAATTTTAAGATTTAGTGAGAATAACATTGTTTTACATTATTTCAAAAATTCTTTAATGTCTGGCTTGATAGAAGACAGATGTACCTGCTTCTGCATTCAATCTGTTGCAATATATTTTTATGGTTGAAATATATGAAAATAGGCCAGATGCAGTGGCTCACGCCTGTAATCCCAGCACTTTGGGAGGCTGAGGTGGATGGATCACGAGGTCAGGAGTTCAAGACCAGCTGGCCAACGTAGTGAAACCCCGTCTCTACTAAAAATACAAAAAAATTTAGCTGGGCGTGGTGGCAGGTGCCTGTAGTCCCAGCTATTTGGGAGGCTGAGGCAGGAGAATTGCTTGAACCTGGGAGGCGGAGGTTGCAGTGAGCCAGGATCGTGCCACTGCACTCCAGCCTGGGTGACACAGCGAGACTCTGTCTCAAAATAAAAAAGAAATATATGAAAATAATCTGTCCTCAAATAGATGCGTAGTTGGAAAAGGGAGGAGCATGTTCATAGCTTTTTCATGTTAATAGCCTTTTCAGATAATTGTAGATCTTCTTTGATACAACACCAAAACTTGGCAAGTGATAATTTCTTAAAGGTTAATTGTCATATGTAATCTGAAGGCTGATCAGTAAACCTTTTTGTATTCTGTTACATTAAAATTAATTTCTCTTGCATGATTTTGAAATACCATGCCTTGGTCATTTAAAAAATACTGATTTTTACTAACTTATGCAGATCATTAAAATGGTAAAACATTTTATTATAAATAACAAAAATTCATATTCATTACTTTCACCATGAATCTCATTAGCCAAAGTCTTATTTATTTGGTGGTAGATACAGTTTTTCCTTTTCAGGACAAGTAACATATTAGTGTTTTTTTGAAAATGGTTTTGACCTTGTGTTCACCCTGGAATGGTCTCAAGGCCCTCCAGAGGTACAAGGACCACACTCCAAGAGTGATTGAAGTTAGATAGAAACCCTGGATTGTGATCTAGGAAACTGGTATTTTCTTTCTGGAAATGTCTCTTTTTTTTTTTTTTGAGATGGAGTCTCGCTCTATCGCCCAGGCTGGAGTGCGGTGGCGCGATCTCGGCTCACACTGCAAGCTCCGCCTCCCGGGTTCACGCCATTCTCCTGCCTCAGCCTCCCCAGTAGCTGGGACTACAGGCGCCCGCCACCACGCCTGGCTAATTTTTTGTATTTTTAGTAGAGACGGGGTTTCACTGTGTTAGCCAGAATGGTTTAGATTTCCTGACCTGTGATCCGCCCGCTTTGGCCTCCCAAAGTGCTGGGATTACAGGCGTGAGCCACTGCACCCGGCCTGGAAAGGTCTGTTTCTTAGTAGAATCCCACTCTTTACCTACCACAAATCTAGTAACATCCTGTTAGATTGATGCCACAAACATTGATCTCCTATTCTATGTGTTAGATATGAGGCATTCTAAAATGGAAAACCCAATCCTAGCCTTAAAGTAGTTAAATGTCTATTGAGAATTAGGTAATTTAACAGCCATAGCATACTAAAGTAACTATTGTGAAAGTATAGGTGAAAGAAAATTAAGTTTGCCTTGGTAAGCCAAGGACCTCTTCTAACACTAAAATTAGCATTTGAGCTGAGACTTAAAGGGTGGTTAGGGTTGCCAGGGTGGACAGGAAGTGCCAGGGCCTGTGGCACTTACCATGTTCTGCTCAGTGTAACTCAGGAGGGTGGTTGGGATTTAAGAATGTGGTGAGGAAACTGGGCAGTAAGACCGTGTAATGCAAAGAAGCTTAGATTTTATTCTGAATAGGATGGGGAGCCATTGAAGAATGGGATACAATCAGTTTTCTGTATTAGAAGGATTCTAGACTAGAGAGGAATGAGGCCAAAGGCAGAGCAGTCTTGATAACCCCTTGGTTGAAAGAGATACTTAGGGGCCAAATTAGGGCATTTGGAGGATAAAGACAAGGTGGAAAATATCCAAAGATATTTAGGAAACAGATTGTATGGGTTTGAGGGGGCCTGATTAGATTGGGGGTAATTTAGGTGAGGAGCATAGGCCCTGGAGTCAGGCAGACCTGGGCTCAAATCCTGACTCTGTCACTTCTTAAAGGAGTGGCTCTCACAATTAACCCAAATCTCAGCTTCTTCACTTACAAAATAGGGAGAGTAATTCCTGCTTTATAAGACCCTTAAGAAGATTTGATAAGATACATGCAAAGCTCTTTCTTGCATGTGAGTAAACATATGGAAGCCACTTTTGTTTTTATGAGGATGACTCCCAGGTATCTGATTTAGGCACCTGGGTTGGTTCCGTTCACCAAGTAGGGAATGCAGGAAGGGGAGACCTGGTGTGGAGTGGAGGAGGGTCAGGGCAGGAGCTCACATGGGGACTTGTGGAAGTATTTACTAGGAATTTCAAGTGCAGAAGGGACACCTGGCCTGGAGATAGAGATGTGGGGATTATTTTAGTAGACCTAGATTCATGCCCTTGAATGAGATGTTCTTGGGGTCGGGGAGTAGGAAAGGGTATATAGAGTGTATCAATTTGCTAGGTCCGTCATTAACAAAATAGCACAGACTGGGTGGTTTAAATGACAGGAATATATTTTCTCACAGGTCTGGAGGTAGAAGTTGAAGATGAAGGTGTTGTCAGGGTTGGTTTCCTCTGAGGCCTTTTGCCTTGGCTTGTAGATGCCACCCTCTCCTTTTGTCTTAACACAGTCTTTTCTCTGTATGTGTGTATGTCTGAGTCCAGATTTCTTATCGGATTAAGATGCACCCTGAAAATCTCATATTAATTTAATTACCTCTTTAAAGACCTTTTTTCCAGATACTGTGATGTTCTGAGGACCTGGGAATTAGGGCTTCAACATATGAATTTTGGGAGGACACAATTCAGCCCCTAATATAGAATGGGGGGCTATGTAAAACAGGCAGGGGAGTGGAGAGGACTCTCCAGAGAAATAGAAAGCAAACACCTGAGTCTGTGAGAATAAAGGGAGGACTCTAGGGAGGGAAGAGTCAATAGCAAACCTCCCAGATTCCTTTTGTAGTCACTGATACCAAATTGTTTTATTTTTATAAATGTTTTTTTCTAAAATGGAGGCTCTTAATAGGAATGCTGAAGTAAATGTTTAATAGGGTTTGCCCTACTCATATTCATTTGCAAAATGGTTATGAATCAGAGTCCATTCCATGAAGTTTTTATGCCAGAAAGTACTGAATACCTTCTTGCTGTGGTTTAAAATCTACAAGAGAATGGCCTTGAAATGTATTTGTTCAAGCAGATGTCATGACTAATGATTTAGAAATCATGGTTTTCTATTTAAAACTTTCCATCAAGACTCTTTATCATTACTAAGTTCCAACTGCATGGTAGTTTTCAATGCTCAAGTTTTTTGTAAGGAGGTTTAAGGATAATATTGATAAATTCAGAAATCACTCTGCTATGCGCCTTGTCCTTCACCCTTTCCCCAATTTCTGTTAATAATTTGTCAACAAGTCCTGTTAATTCTGCTTCATATCTCAAGTGGATTTACTTCTTTGCAGGTCTGCTGCTACCAGCTAGTCCAAGCCACCACCAGCTCTGCCATGGAGCCTTTTAATTGGACTCCCTGCTTCCATTCTTGTCCTTTCTAGAGAAATCTTTAACAAAAAGCAAGTCATACTGTGTCATTTCCTGATTGAAACCTTCAGCATCTTCTCTTACACTTTGAGTAAAATCCAGACTCCCTACCATACCTACAAAACCTGCATGATGAAGACCCTGCCCTCTTGCCTGGCCTCCTCTTCCACACCTCATTCACGAGCCTGCCTTCTGCTTCTTGAAGATACCGAGCCTGTGGCTGCCTCAGGGCCTTGGCGTGTTTGGCGTGCCCTTCCCCTGGTTTTCAAATGATCCCTCCAGTCTCACATGTCACCTTGGCAGAGGTGCCGTTCTTCACTGCCACATTAAAATTGCGCTTCCCCCTTTCATATTCTAGTATGTCATGATATTTATTTGTTTGCTTATTTTTGAGAGAGTCTTCACATGGCATTTCCCACTTGAATATTTCAAGGTTTTGATAGTGAACACTGGCGAGAGGTAGGAGTGAAATTAGAGTAGATTTTAGAGGGAGAACAACCCTTACTATGTTATTTGGTCTTAAGAAAGTACAGTTTAGAAAACAATTCGATTTCATTCATTATTTGGGTTTTATAATTCATTATGAATATTAGCATATGTTTTATCAGGTGTTTATGTTATATCTTAGTTTCGAGAGGTTTGATTTGTTCTCAGATGACATTTTATCACATCTTTGAGCTAATTTCTTTTCAGTGGTAAATTTTTTTTTTTTGAGACAGTCTCGCTGTGTCGCCCAGGCTGGAGTGCAGTGGCGCAATCTCGGCTCACTGCAGGCTCTGCCTCTCAAGTTCACGCCATTCTCCTGCCTCCGCCTCCCGGTGCCCGCCACCATGCTGGGCTAATTTTTTGTATTTTTAGTAGAGACGAGGTTTCACTGTGTTAGCCAGGATGGTCTCGATCTCCTGACCCCGTGATCCACCCGCCTCGGCCTCCCAAAGTGCTGGGATTACAAGCGTGAGCCACAGCGCCGGGCCTTCAGCAGTAACTTTTTTAAAAAAAATAAATAAAATAGACTTAATTTTTTTATTTTAATTTTTATTTTTTGACACAGAGTCATACTCTGTCTCTCAGGCTGAAGTACAGTGGCAGGATCTTGGCTCACTGCAACCTCCGCCTCTCGTTGTTTTAATTTGCAATTTCCTAATAAACATATAATGTTGAGCACCTTTCATATGCTTATTTGCCTTCTCTGTATCTTTGGTGAGATGTTTGTTCAGCATTTTTGCCCATTTTCAAATTAAGTTGTTCATTTTCTTATTGTTGAATTTTACAAGTTCTTTGCATATTTTGGGTAACAATTCTTTTATCAGATGTCTTTAGTAAATATTTTCTCCCAGTCTGTGGCTTTTCTTCTTATTTTCTTAACACCCTATTTTTTTTTTAAAGTACTTATTACTAACTGAAGTGATCTTATTTGTTTACTGTTTGTCTCCTCACACTACAGCACAGGGTAAGGTCCATAAATGACCTGTCTGTTTTGTTCTCTTTTTTGTTTCTAGTGCCTAGCACGGCGCCTGGTTTTGGATGCAGTTGGCAAATATTTGTTGATTGAATGAATGGGTAACAACTGTTAACATTTTCAGTTTGTTTTATTCTCATTGAAAATGGCATCAAACTGATTTGAGTTCTTCCATCTTCTAATTTAAAACTTAAATTTCAGATTTTTACCATAATTTTCAAAATTAGGGATAATGGTTAGCCACTTGCAGTAGTATGAGAAGATAGTTCCACTATGGTTCAGATGAAGTTGATTTAAGATATGTAATTGCTAATCTATACACTTGCTTTGCCCTCTCCAGAGTGGTTCAGATTTACTTTCCCGGAGTAGTCACAGGACTGGGCAGTGAAAACAGGTTGGTTTATGTCAGTCCCACAAAGCTTTATGGGATGGGTGCTACCTGCTAGTGTTTACACATATATCGCCACAGATAACACATACACACATGTTGTACTTTGCAAGGTAAAAACTATATTACTCAAATTCTCTGTTCTTGACTGTTTTTTTTAATTTTTATTTTATATTTTATTTTATTTCTTTTTGAGATAGGGTCTCACTGTGTTGCCCAGGCTGGTCTTGAACTCCTGGACTCAAACAGTCCTCCTGCCTTGGACTCCCAAAGTGCTGGGATTACAGGCGTGAGCCACCGCAACCGGCCTTGACTGCTCTTTTGTTAGCTGGATTTGCTAAAACTGGAAAGCGATCTGTGGTCTCCCTCTCTAGTTCTTTTCTTTTCTTTTCTTTTCTTTTTTAATATTTGCGGTAGGTGGTAGTTTTTGGCTTTATTTTGGTATAATGATATTTGCTATGTTATGTTAATAACTACTGTATTATTGTTTATCTTTGTCTCAAATACTTTTTGTTTTTTTGTTTTTTGAGATGGAATCTCGCTCTGTAGCCATGCTGGAGTGCAGCAGCACGATTTTGGCTCACTGCAAACCTCTGCCTCTTGGGTTCAAGTGATTTCTCCTGCCTCAGCCTCCCGAGTAGCTGGGATTAGGGCTGCGCCACCATGCCCAGCCAATTTTTATATTTTTAGTAGAGACAGGGTTTCACCATGTTGGCCAGGATGGTCTCGATCTCTTGACCTCGTGATCCGCCTGCCTTGGCCTCCCAAAATGCTGGGATTACAGGCATGAGCCACCATGCCTGGCCTATGTTTTGTCTTAAATTCAACTCTTTGAATATTTCTGCCCTCCTTGTGTTTGTTTGAATGTTCCAAGTCTTCTATTTTTAAGTCTTTCTTTGCTTTTTAAATTGCTGCTCTTAAAAGTAACATATCTGAAAGAGGTTTTTAAAAATCCTTTTAGAAGATATTGTAAAAGGTATTTCCATTTTCAATGGCTGCATAACAAACCTTGTCAAAATTTAGTAGCTTACAACTAAAATAATTTTATTATCTTTCATGATTCCGTAGGTTGACTTGGATCAGCTGATGGTTCTTTTGTCCCATGGATGTTCTGCTGGTACTGCAGTCATCTGGTAGCCCACTTAAACTAGAATGTCCATGACAGCTCATTCACATGGCTAGTGCCTTGGTAGGGATGACTGGGTTCAACTGGAATATTGGAACAGTGGGGCATCTTCTCCCTCCCACCCATCTTAGGCCTCTTCCTCACAAAGTGGCTTCTTACGTGGTCTTTTTATGTAGCAAGAACCCCACTAGCAGGATAACCATAATTCTTATATAGTGGCTTAGGCTTCCCAAGAGTGCCAGAGTGCAAACTGCCAAGCCTCCTTAAAGTGGAGGCATGGAACAGTTCCAACATCAATTCTGCCTCCTCCTGTTGGTTGAAGCGAGTCATACAGCCAGTTGGATTAATTGGGGGAAGATACAACTATCAGGTGGTGTGGTTCACTGGGGCTGTCTTTACCTACATTTTATATGTTAATACTGGAGTTTTTAATTTTTTTTGAGATGGAAAATGTCTCAAAGGCTGGAGTGCAGTGGCGCAATCTCAGCTCACTGCAAACTCTGACTCCAGGATTCAAACGATTCTTCCGCCTCAGCCTCCTGAGTAGCTGGGATTACAGGTGATTACAGGGATTACACCACCATGCCCGGTTGATGTTATATTTTTAGTAGAGATGGGGGTTTCACCATGTTGGCCAGGCTGGTCTCGAACTCCTGACCTTAAGTGATCTGCCTGCCTCGGCCTCCCAAAGTGCTGGGATTGCAGGCGTGAGCCAACATGCCCGGCAATATCTGGAATTTTAGGCTGTATTGTAAATTTAAATATTGTATGTCTTTTTAAAAACTATGCCACTATGCCCGGCTAATATTTTGTATTTTTAGTAGAGATGGGGTACTAGTACTTGGCAGGAGGATTACTGGAGGCTAGGAATTGAAGACCAGCCTGGGCACCATAGTGAGATTCCATCTAAAATACTAAAAATAATTAAAATAATAAAAAGTAAAATAACAAAACACTAGATGTTTCTGTTCATTTTATAAGTAAACAATTATTTGGATTAATTGGTCTCAGTGCATGCTGCTGGTCCTAATATGCCATTATTTTTAAGGAATTTGGATTTTTTTTCAATAAGTTGCAATATGTTTTCAAATAATGTTTTCAGGATGTCTATGTAGATTATAGAATATCTTGAGTTTGTTCCAAATTTATAATGTCTTCCTCTTCACACAGTTTGGTTGGGCCTTTATTCTCAGGAATTTGTAGTTACAGAGAAGAAGCCTAAGGCTACTCCAATATGTCATCCTTTGTTGGTATACCTTTTGGGAAAATGGTATGTAAAATTTTACCAGGAGGTGTTGGTGAACGGAACTGGAACATGTTCTACATTTTTGTCTTTTTTCAAGTTTTCTTTTAGTATCATTTTTGTTTTATCTCATCTTCCATTTACTCTAGTTATTTAACATCAGAAGCAATGATCTGTTGAACAGATCTTAGTTTCTAAATCTCCACTTGCCATTTTCTTGCTCTTCATTTTTATATTCTTGTTCTTTCATTATGCATTTGGATTTTTTTTTCAATAACTTCCTGAATATGACTTCATTATGAATTTGGCTTTCTGCTATGTTAATTCTAGTTTGTGAGTTTCCTTGACATCACTCCTTATTTGAGTTTCTTCCCTTTCCTTCTTTAGCGTGTAGTGTCCTTTGTTCCCATCACGTGTGGTTCTTAACAGGCAGTCTTTCTACAACCAATTAAGTACCCAAAGTGATATTTTTCTCCATATTCTTTTATTTCTTAGAGTGAGTTTGTTATTGCACCGCTGCCAATCCTGCCTCTCCTTACTGCTGGGTTTACTTAGGATTGTAGTCTCTGAATGGATATAGAAACAGAGTGGGGTGGGGAAATGACAATGGCTGTCTCTGGAAGCTGGACTCATACCCAGTTTGGGGCTGGCCAGCCTGTTTCCTGATTGCTACAAACCCAGAAACTTTGAGCTGGGTGTGGAGAGAGGTGAAGGGCCGAACCCTTTCTCCACAGGCTTTCTGGCCATCTCTGCCAGGGTTCATTTGTCCATGGACATGTTTCTCTTTCTCTCTTCACTTACATTGTGGTTAGTGGAAATTTCCTCAGACTTTTGCAACTTGTTATGGTTCCAAGCAGGCCCTACTTTCTGTCTTTTCTTGTGTGTATCTTTATAGGTATTTTAAATGGAATTTCTGAAGTCATATCAGGAAGTGGTAGCTTGATACCCTCTTAAACTAAATGGCATCTTCCGTCATTTTACAGTTTATTAATCTTTAAAAAAAATCATTAATCCTTCCCATTGGCACAGGGACCCTCTCTCCAGGCAGTCTTGGTCTTCATGGGATGAGTAGCAGACATCTCTGATATTAGGTTGGTGCAAAAGTAATTGTGGTTTTCGCCATTACTTTCAGTGGTGAAAACCACAATTACTTTTGTGCCAACCTGTAGAAAGGGTGTTGGACAGCCTTTTATTAACATTCTTAACTCAGCTTAACAAAGGGAGCTTGCCTCGTGATTAAGAATAAAGGGTTACGGTAAGCCTTTCCTCTACAAGCATTCAAGTTATTCCATGATTTCAGAGCCAAAATGTGGTTAAAAAGTCAGCGCTAACATTTGTATACTTAATTTTTAAAATGCTTAATTTCATAGTCTTTTACTTAAAAAAACTTTTATCATGTTTACTCACATGCTTTTATCATTTTGCTTTTTAGTACTATCCTTTTGTCTCCCTTACCTTAAATTTGAGACATTTCATTCTTCAAAAAAGTTTAGCCTTCTTTTGTTTTGTTTTTGCCGTTCATACTTTTTTTTTGTTTGTTTGAGACGGAGTGTCGCTTTGTCGCCCAGGCTGGAGTGCAGTGGCGCAATCTCGGCTCACCGCAAGCTCCACCTCCCGGGTTCACGCCATTCTCCTGCCTCAGCCTCCCGAGTAGCTGGGACTACGGGTGCCCGCCACTATGCCTGGCTAATTTTTTGTATTTTTAGTAGAGACGGGGTTTCACCACGTTAGCCAGGATGGTCTCGATCTCCTGACCTCGTGATCCACCCGCCTCGGCCTCCCAAAGTGCTGGGATTACAGGTGTGAGCCACATACTTCTTTTTCTTAAATGCCAAAGTTTTAATCTTTATTTTTGGCCTTTTGGATTTTGTTTCTTATTCTTTTTCATTTTAATTTATATTGCCTTACTTTTTTCATCTCTATTGTCTTAAGCATAATTCTCTGTACTATCTTTCCACTGTCCCCCCACCCCCTCCCACCCTGACCCTTGACAACGGTTCGATTTTTAAAGGCTGGATGATATGTAATCCCCAGAGTGATAGTAGCAGTGGGCCATGCCCATTCAACAATAGGGAAGAACCATCTCTCCATTTCCTCCCAGTAGTCTCTAAGTGATTTTGTATCTCCTTTTTTTACCTTGTTCCCTTAAATTATAACTTGGGGATATATTGATTAAAACTATTTCCCAGAGTAGCAGTGATTTGCTTCTGGCAGATGGAAATGGCTTTTGGACAGCACATCCTACCTGTGTGAGAAGCTGATTCTTCTGAAATCCATGGTCTTGGCTCAGTGGAGAGACCATGCCCTCTGGAGTCAGACAGATGCATGTAATAGTTCTGATAGGGAATAGCTGCATGACCATAAGCAAGTTTCAGAACCTTTCTTTCTTAAGGCTTTTTTTCTAGTTCAGAAAGGCAAAAATAATATCTACCTTTCATGATTGTTTTAAGAACCAGGAGTAGTGCATATCAAACATCTTGCATGGTGCCTGGTCCGTAGTAGTTACCCAGATGTAGGACAAGCCAGGCCAGCCATGTTACCCAGAGGAACAGAGGTGAAGTGAATAGGTTATGCTTGGCAAAGCGCTGATTTAGAGGACTCTGGGTGTTAATAGGTCTGCTGGGAATGTCACATGGCCTGTGTTCATAGCCAGGCTTTTGGCCCTGCTCCTGCTTCAGGTACCTGTAATGCTGCTTTATGTGCTTTGTTCCCAGTATACCACTGGTTCCCAAGCCCGGCTGCAGATTGCGACTACTTGAGAAGGTTAAAACCCACCATTGCCTGGGTCTTTCCGCTGTCAATTCTATTTTAATTGGTCTGGGTGTGGCCTGGACATCTGTCTTGTTTGTTTGTTTTGAAACAGGGCCTCGCTCTGTTGCCCAGGCTGGAGTGCAGGGGCATGGTCTCGGCTCATGGCAACCTCCACCTCCTGGGCTCAAGCCATCCTCCTGCCTCAGCCTCCTGAGTAGCTGGGACCACAGGTGCATGCAACTACATCTGACTGATTTTTGTATTTTTTGTAGAGTTTCGGTTCCACCAAGTTGCCCAGGCTGGTCTTGAACTCCTGGGCTTAAGTGATCTTCCTGTCTTGGCCTCCTGAAAGGTGGGGATTACAGGCGTGAGCCACCGCACCTGGCCTGTTTTTTTTTTTTTTTTTTTTTTTAAGCTCTTCCTGTGATTCTGATGTGCTTCCCAGGTTGAAGTTGCACCACCTTCCTGCTTCCACCCTTGCCTTGTGGGATCCTGTCTATGGCTTGAACTCCCTGGCTGTTCTGTTGATCCGCCTGGTGATGCTTCCTCTGGTCCTGGCTGAGGGGAGGCTGACAGGAGGATCCTCCAGCCTGTGCCAGCTTGAGCAGCTGCTGCATCCGTTTAGCAGACTGTGCTTTGACTCTAGAAAGGGTTTAGTACTTTGGAAAAGGTTTATAAACTATTTGCCTTTGGAGGCCAAAGTCACCCCTTTGTGTATCAGAGCAGAGTTAAGACTGCTTTCCTCAGAGACCTTGGCCAGTGCTTTGTGCCACCTTCCTGTGGCTAACAAGTTCCTTGATTTTCAATACAGATGCAACCCTTGCCTTTTGGCGAACAGTTAAGCAAGTAAATCTGCCCTTATTTGGCAATGTAGTAGACTGATTGAACTTGAGTTTATTGCAGAGAATGGCACATCACATTTTTAAATTTTCACTTCTTACTAGAAGACTAGTTCTAAGAGGTAATATTCGTGCAGTTAGCCTAAACTCCATCTATTCCTCTACAGTGCCTTTTTGAATATTTGTTTTTTTGTGAGGTCGGGGGCTACCTAACACTCTTTGAAAGGCAGCTGAAGGGGCAGGTAAACTGAAGCTAGTTGAAAAGGAGCCCCTGCTGCCCCCCACTGACCCCTGAACCCATTTCCTGCCCACCACTCACACCCCAACCCCTGCTTTGACGTGGAAGGGCTCTGGGGAGACTTGGTTGATCCTCACTGCCTGAGCACTCTTGAGTCCTCACTCTTTCGGCTGCTTGTAAAATAATTCTTCTGTTTTTTTTTTTTTTTGGTGGTGGGGGAGTATGAATGTGGCTTTCAGAGTTGGATGTTATAAAACATAGTCATTTGGAAGTTGGGAACTTTTTATTTTTGTTATCTTGTTTTTAATACAGGATGTTTGCCACACGAGTCACTCGAGAGAATCTCTGAGTCCTGGCGAGGGCTTTCTGAGGCTTCGTGTGTTAGCAGCTGTTGTCTTCCAACTCAGCGGCAGGTTTGCCTTTCCCCACGGACACTCTGGACCTTGTAGCTCCTCAAGCTTCCCTGTCTATTGAGCAGATAGGAAGCCGTGTCAAATATGTGGCACCTTGAGGAAATGCCTAGTGAATGACAGTATGTCCTATTGTGCTCTAACTTTATTTCAGCCTTATTTCTTTTCTGAATATTATTTTTCATTTATCTTCATTTCCTTACCTATTTTCTTTTCTTCTAAAGTATGTATCTTTGTTAGCTCCATCATCCTTTTTGGAATGAGCAAGTATAAAAATAAGTAAATAAATAAGACCCATCCTAAGTATTTTAAGAAACCACCCTTTTGCGGCACACTTGCTACCTTGGTCTTAGCTCTGGGCTTTGGTGTCCTCTGGCAGTCCTGCTGCATTGCCTTCTCTCCCCCATCTGCCCACCCCTGTCCCAGAGAGATTTTTCTGTAGCCCCTCATCTGCAGAGTCCGACAGCTCAGGGTCGAGGGTCTTTCTTAGCAGTAATCACCCACTATGCTCTCACCCCTCCATTTCTGGACATGCTTCCTGTGGCTTCTCTCCTGCGCTTTACACTTCAGCAGTTCTTGTTTCTGCTCACTCTGCCTTTGTTTGTCATTTCCTGGATTTGAAGCTGTTCTGCTCTTTTCACCTTTCTCTTCTCAAGGTAAACTTCCTCTGTGAAACCTCCGCTGATGCCCTGCAGCAAGGTTGACCACTTCCTGAGTGTTACTTCCTCTCTTGGTGCATATGTCTGGTTGCACTAACCAGGCTGCTGCTAGCCCAAAGGCACCTTTGTGCAAATTAGAAAAAGACAACCATCCCCATCCCTTCTTCAAGATACTTTATAGTACTTCCAACTGTTGGCAAACTGTCTTAATAAAGATACAAATCTTTGATTTCTCTAATGTGCATGGTGCCCTACAAGGGTTGTGCAGTGCATAGCCGTGCAGTTGCATGTGATAGATCTATGTTATAATTATTTGTTTAATTGTCTGTATTCCCCTCAGGACCAAGGAAAATTCCTTATATCTTGATACTGTTTTTATATTCTTACTGTCTGACCAGATCAGACCCTCAGTAACCGTTTGCTAAACAAAAGAAGGAATGAAGGTACAAATATGTATCCACCTTGTCTGGAAAAATAGCAGGAAAGGCATGCCTGCCAAGGACTTTTACACTGAACAGTAAGAATATATTTTAGCTCAGAGACACTGTTTGTTTTCACATTTCAATATTGCTTTAATTAGATATCTTAAAGCTCGTGTACCACAGTGGTTGAAAGAGCAGATGCTGGAGCCAGACTGCATGAATTTGAATCCCAGTTCTACCACTTATTCACTTATTAGTGCACCTTTGGGCATGTTACTTAACCTTTCTGTGCCTCAGTTTACTCATCTGCAAAATGAGCGTGATGATAATAGTTCCTACTTCAAAGGGTTGTGAGAATTAAATGAATTATATAAAGTGCTTAGAATAGTACAAGACACATAATAGTCAGAGACAGAAGTATTAGGTATTATCAATATTGTTAAAGTCCATGTATAAGTTTACTGTACTATTGTTTCTTTTTAACTCTGAAGTGCTGTTTTCACTCTGTCACGTACAGCTTTTATTGCTAGCATCTTGCTTCTGCAGGTCCAGCCTCCTGTTGATTGGCCCTGTGTTTGTGCTGTGGTCAAAGCACTTGCTGTCTGCGGTTCTCCCTTGTGCACACCGGTTCTTTGGTTGCTGTAACAAAAACTACATAGGACACAGACAGGAAACCCGCAGGCTTTGTTTTTTCTTCCTAATTTGGCAGCAGAAGGGGGAAAAACCAGGGCCTTTCACAGACAAGGCTTGTTTTAGAGTTTAATTTTAACTTCTTGTTCGTGTTCTAAAGCTTGGGTTGGTAATAAATCTTGGCTGTATGAGACTAGAGAGAACTGGGCTTTAAAAATATGATTTTAATGTAAAATCTTTTCTAATTGCAGGACAACTTGCCTTTGATGATTTTCAAGAGAGTTGTGCTATGATGTGGCAAAAGGTAATGGAATGTTCCAGGGCCAAGTTCCCCACTAGAACCTGCCAGGGTATTCTCGAGTTAGACAATAGAAGAAAGTCACTCCCTGAATAGTTATGGGCTTCTCCTGGTCTTTAGGGTTCACTTGTGCTTTAACTTCACAGGAGGGATGGGCATTTTCTGCATTGTTTCCCACTCTGTCTTTCTCTCGTGTCTCATGCTGGCGTTGGAAGCTGTAACACTCTGGGAACCTCTCCATAACCCAGTCTGGCTGCCTCACCCTGTTGAGCTCTCTTCAAATTAAGCAAGATCTGACTAATACATTCTTCAGAGATGCTCTGACCGTTTTCATTATGAGAACTAAATGACTTTTCCCAGATCACATTACTGTAATTAACTTTACACTCATTTTGATACTCTTACATATTATAAGAGTGGATGGATGGTATGCTGTATTTACCGAGCTGGCATCCCTCCATCTGTTCATTCAGCCTGAGTCATAACCAGAGTTTCCTCATCCCAAGGGTGGTGCATTTTTCAAAATATGAAAGGAGCCAGTGACAGCTCCAGCCCATTCGCAGGCTTACAGGACCAGCCATTGCCACAAAGGATAAGCTTCCTGTTTACCAGTTGGCCTGAGACAAAGTGGTTGTGCTTCCTGGCCATGCGGGGCTTGGCACACAGTCTGGGCTGTGTCTGTCAGGATGGTGGGCTGAATGCTCGCTCTGTGCTGGGCTGGCTGGGGGTGGCAGGGCCCCCACAGCATGGGTCCTGGACATGGGCCACTCTCGAGAGGGCACCCTCAGGAGGGCACTCAGTTTGGCTTCAGAACCAACCCTGGCATTTGGAAAGGAAGCAAATGAGGGAGGGCGGTCTGGCCTCCTTTCTGGCTTCCTTAATGCTTCTTTCCTTTAGGGGTCCAAGCCGGGCAAATCCCCTTGGCACAAAACTGGGAATCCTACAATAAATTTGTATCTTTTGTTTTTAAGTATGCAGGAAGCAGGCGGTCAATGCCTCTGGGAGCAAGGATCCTTTTCCACGGTGTGTTCTATGCCGGGGGCTTTGCCATTGTGTATTACCTCATTCAAAGTAAGTATCCTGCTAGCCGCCTGCGGCCTGACCTCCTCCTAGCCTGCTCCTGCTCCTCCATCAGAGGAAATACTTGAGATGCTTTGTTTAGATTAGAGAAAGGAGGAGAGGGTGATTTTAAAGGCTAGTCCACCATTTCGTTGGCTATAGCTTCCTCTGTATCCTGTAATCTCAGTTTTTCCAGGAGCAACGAGTACAAATAAAAGGACCAGGACTAATATGCATAAGAAGCCCAGCAAAGCACGATGGGCTTTCAGTCCAGTGCACACACAGGGGCTCCATCAAGATTCTGAGATTATATAAAGAAGGGACAGAGGGAAGGGGAATACCAGATGGTTCACAGGTGGGGAAAGCTGTGGCTGTGCGTCCAGCATTGTCAGACTTTTTTTGCACTTTCATTCTCTGCTGTTGATTTAATGGAGGAGGGACCATGAGCAAGGAACTCTGGCAGGGGCAGAAAATAAAAGCAGAGACCACGATGGCAAAATCCCGACAGATGCCGCTTCCAGCCCCACTGCACTCAAATTTGAATTTGTAAAGACAGGCCACAATTACTGTCAGCAGCCAGGACATTTAAGGTCATTTTAATGCTACTGGTGGCAAAGCGGCAGCAGTTTTTTCTAGACTGGCTTTTTTTAGGCTCCTTTATCCCCACCCAGCTTGGCTCGTCATCCACTCTGCAACATTTTCACTTCTTCCCAGGATGTGAGTGTCACCAGCAGACAAGCAGACAGGCTCCAGTGTCCTCTCCAGCCTTTCTGCACCATCCTGCAGAGTTGGTGGAGTTGCAGAGTCTGGAGGGGGCCTGAGATGAGCGTTCCCAGGAATGATTCAGACTGAATAATTTGGCCTCCTCTTCCCTCTGCCAAAGGGACAGGGGCAGGACATGAGAGGGATGGGTGCACTTTTGGGTCAGGGTTCAGCTTTCTGGTGTGACAGCCTTTCTCCCTTAGGAGGCTGCTAAGTCGGTGAGACCTGGGCACTGCAGCCGACTGCCTGGGTTGAATGGTTGAATCTCGGCTCCAGCTCTTGACCAGCTATGTGGCCTTATGGGGGAGTCCGTCACCTTTCTGGGCATTAGTTACCTTATTGGTGTGATGTGTGGTAATGTTAGTGCTTGTGTATGAGGTGAGAATTGAATCTCACAACACAAGAGCTGTTGAACATTGTGAGATGTGTGGAATATTGAGAACAGTGCCTAGCCATAGAAATCACTCAATAAAGATTAGCTGTCTGGACCCTGCTTCTGTCCCTTCTTTTCCTATCATAGCTGGCACCGTGTTCATGCCTGTGGTATTCCCTGTATCCCTATTCCTGGGAAGCAGCCCAGGAGGGGGATTCCCTTGGCCTCTCCAGGGTCAGGTCACCTTTCCCTTCATTAGTGTGATGGGACCTTCAGAAGAGAAGCACTTTCTGCGGCCAAACTGAACACCCTGCTTGGGAAGCCTGCCTCTGCTCCCTCCTTTGGGCAGCTGATTATTAGAACTTACAGCTTCAGGGAGGTGCTTCCCGGAGTTCCCAGGTAGCCTGTGGGCTCAGAAGGATTCCTGAGACTGAGAGCAGTTTGAGTTGAAATGTTGGCTTAAATCTTGATGAATGAACATTTTCATATCCTGTTTCTAGGCCTGAGGGTTTTGTTGTTAATGTTGTGGTCTTTCTATTTTATGTCTCAACTTAGTGGAACAGGCAGTGTTGAGAAGTCAGGTATCATGGATTCTGGCCTCGGCTTTGCCATGGACCAGCTGTGTCACTTTGAACAAGTCATGGAATCATAGTAGGACTTTAGAGCAAACTTAGAGACTTGAGAGGAAACTTAGAGAAGAGCTGACCAAACCTCTTAGGTGTCAAAATAAGGCAATGAGTGAGGGTAGAAATGAGGTGAAGCAGAAAGGGTCTGCATGAGGTCAAGGCCCAAGGTCATCTGCACATCCCTGCAAAACACTGCCTGCCTGTGCTTTGGTTTTTGAGTCTGTAAAATGGACAATTTAGAGTAGATGGCCTTAATTATTCGTCCATCCACAGATTTCACGTTTCTGTTTCTACCCTGTACGTCAGTTGGATTATTTAATTTTCTGTGTAGTAGATTCTACCTGACCAAGTTCAATAAAGAAAATAAGTGTGTCTTTCGTCCTTAGAGTTTCATTCCAGGGCTTTATATTACAAGTTGGCAGTGGAGCAGCTGCAGAGCCATCCCGAGGCACAGGAAGCTCTGGGCCCTCCTCTCAACATCCATTATCTCAAGCTCATCGACAGGGAAAACTTCGTGGACATTGTTGATGCCAAGGTAATGTGCTTTCCCTGCGAACCGCAGGCTGGTGCCTGCTGAAGGAGAGGAGAGTCTACTGTCTCCTGGAAAGTCCTGGAGTTAAGGATTTGGGATGGGAAAATCCACTAAGTAAAGCTAGGTTTGGCACCTTTAAAAAAAGTTTTTCTATTATGGATTTTAATGTTTATATAAAATATATTTTATATTATAGATATTTCTGTATACTTTTCTTCCATTCTGGGGAATTGATGTGGCAGGGAATGCAGTGGGTATGCTGATGTCGCCATCTTGAATTGAAGGTAGTAGAGAAATGACCAGTGGTGGTTTGCTACCATGTTGGCTTTGATAGCTCTCAGCACTTTGGGAGGCTGAGGTAAGAGGATTGCTTGAGCCCTGGGGTTTGAAACCAGCCTGGGCAACACAGCAAGACCCTGTCTCTCTCTCTCTCTCTCTCTCTCTCTCTCTCTCTGTCTCTCTGCCTGCCTGCCTGCCTGCCTGCCTGCCTGCCTATCTATCTATCTATCTATCTATCTATCTATCTATCTATCTATCTATCTAATCTATCTATCTATAATTTAGCCAGGCGTGATAGTGCACACCTATAATCCCAGCTACCCAGGAGGCTGAAGCAGGAGGATCGCTTGAACCCAGGAGTTGGAGGCTGCAATGAGTTATGATCATGTCACTGCACTCCATCCTGGGTGACAGAGTGAAATTGTCTGTAAAATTAAAAAAAAAAGAGAAATGCATCTATATCCAGTCAGTGCTCATTCAAATGTACCCAACTCTTTAAACTTTGATTTTTAAAGTGTATTTATTTACATTGCTTCCACAGAATACCAACCCATTTTTTTAGCTATAACTTATCTTTTTGTACTTGATCACACTCACTTGCATGTAAAACACATTTGTTCTGTTTAACAAACATATTTTGAGTATATGCTCTGGTTTGAGAAATGATTCTAAGCTATGTGGGGAATAGAGGTGCAGAAGGCTTTTGGGGGTTTACAGTTGAAAATTCCTGAGTAAGACAGGGTGAGGGAAACCCTGTCACTATTGTGCAGGCCTAGGGGAAGTGGCTCGAGGCCTGGGAGATGGCTGTGAGGACTTTGAAAGGTGGAGAGGAACACCCGGCTGAGGAGCAGCATGCCTGGGAAAGTTCATCACTGTGTCGCCTGTCAGTGTGATACGGCAGTGGAGGCACAGGTGGGCGAGGTGGGTGTGGGCAGGTAGGAGGGGCTGCGGCCACCAGGGGCCACAGTGTCATCTTGGAAGGTGTGTGCTTGACTCTGGCAGCAGAAGCCCGTAAAGTATTTGGAGGATGAGTGAGGTGATCCGACCTACATTATTTTTTGTTATTTTTAGTATGTTCTTAATGGACCCAGCTCTAATGAGACTTTTTTCTAACTACAAAAGCAATTCATGCTCTGGTATTCTGATTAAAATATTCGGTTTTAAAAGAAGGTGGATTTGTGTAGATTGGTAATGCCCAGGGACTGGCTACGGGGAGCCATCTTTAGGAGAGAGATGTGGCCACACTGGTGTGCAGTGGTGAGAGCATGAACCAGAGGTGTGGCCTGGAGAAGCAAAAGACGGATGTGAAGCCATCGTGGCATCCAAGTGACAGAACTTGGTAACAGTCATGTATCAGGAGCGGGTGGGTCAGAGGTGATGGTCCAGTGTCCAGCATGGACGTGAGTGGAAGGACGGCAGCGACACTGCGTGAGAGAGGACATCCTGGAGGAGGAGCACAGGGAAGGGCTGGGCATGTGTGGAGTGCTCACTCTGTGCCAGGCCACCGGATTGCTCCCATGGTGTGGCGGAGCCTGTCTGTTGCTTCCTTGCCTTTGGTCACTTGGCTAGACCCCAGCAATCCTGAGAACTTGGAAAAGCCACTGGGTAGGTCTGGCTGTTGCGTTTCTCTCAGCACAGAGCCCAGCTGTAGCACTGAGGAATTGTGTGCCAAAGGCGCCTTTGCTGGGGCTGGTTGATGCAGCATCCATGATCTGGTGCTCCAGGAACCCCAGTGAGAGTAGGGTAAGGCCATGGTGGTTTTGGTGGGAGCTTTGTCCTGTCCAGCTTTCACTTTGGCCCCAGTGGTGCTGAGAGGGCGCCTTCCTGGGCTTCCCCACATCCCTGGGGCCTTGGCCATGCTGTGACTATGTTGGTTGTGGTGCTAGGTTCTGGCTTCTACTGCGGCCAAATGCTGTGACTCTGCAGTGACAGGAGTTCAGAGTCTGCTGCATCATGGCCACCTGGAGCCTCAGTGCACGCCTTCCAATTTGTGGACTATTTTTGACATTCTGTCAGGGTCCTTTCTTTATAATCAGCGGTTTGTGAGGATGCCTGTATACAGCATATGCCCTCTTATCCCAAATTCCTTTATTTGCAATTTTTACAGTTTTTCCAGAGGTGAGATGTTTCAGTTGTTCATGAAGTAATTGTCATACATTGGGATTTTTTCCCAAGTATGTGTGTGAGATAGTCACCAGTGACCAACACTTTGCTTTACCAGAACTCCTGCTTTAATCTTTGGCAAGGTCTGGCTGGTGAAGGAACCAACCTGTAAAGTGTCACATCTACCCATGGAAGCACAGCTGCCCACAGTTCAGACATTGGCCCCTCAGAGTTTGCTCTTCTTCAGAATCCTTCTTGCTTCTGCCCATTTCTTTCTCCTTCCTTTTTAAATTTTTTTTTAAAGCATCCAGAGATGCTCAGTGTATACTCTGTTGCTTAATTCTATAATTTCCAGAGAAAAGCTGTAGCTTGACTCAAACAGTGGGACCCTGAAAATTTGTTCTTTTTTAAAATTTTTTCTTGAGATGGAACCTTGCTCTGTTACCCAGGCTGGAGTACAGTGGTGTGATCTTGGCACACTGCAGCCTCCACCTCCCAGGTTCAAGCGATTCTCCTGCCTCACTCTCCTGAGTAGCTGGGACTATAGGTGTGCGCCACCATGCCCGGCTAAGTGTTTGTATTTCTAGTAGAGATGGGGTTTTGCCATATTGCCCAGCTGATCTCGAACTCCTGGCCTCAAGTGATCCACCTGCCTCAGCCTCCCAAAGTGCTGGGATTACAGGCGGAAGCCACCATACCCGGCCAAAGATTTGTTCTTGAAGTGTGACTAGGTGACTGCCTATTCACCTGAGTTATGGAGCCATGTTCCAAATCTTGTGCCTTCCTTCAGGTGTGTTTGGAAAGCACAAATGTGTACCTCAGTAGTTTCTTCTCTTGGTGGCAACTTGGAATGGGTGGGATACTCCCCGCCCCAATTCCCTCCCCTGCCCCTGCCCCGGGAGGTATCTTTGGCCATCACCGAGGACACAGGAAGGCACTCTGGGAGATGCCTGTCTCATGATGGGCTTCCTTATTAACTGTGCCTGTGTCTCCTTCGCGAGGCTCATACCTTCTTTGGTTTTCATGAGAAACCAAAAATATTGCATTCACTGTTTTTTTTCTCAATCGGAGTGTGATCAACTGCTTACGGGCTCTCAGGCTGACTCCCTGAGCATGGGCATGGCAGCACCTGGCAGCATCCCTGTGGTACGAGCCCAGCCTGTGGTGCTGGGGATGAAGGAGAAACTGAGAACTCTGTGTTGTCTTTCTCAGACAAGCCTTCATGTATTGTATTTTCTTTAAAGCCTGTTCTTTAGGGTCCAGGTCAAAATATGTACCAATTTCCTGGCAATAGGTCCCTCTTTAAAACAGTGAATTTTTTTTGGTATTTTATTGTGAAAAATTTCAAACGTACAAAAAAGACAAAAGAATTTATACTGTGAGCACCTATAGCTGGTACCTGGATTCTACAATTGGATTTTGCTCTGTTTCCATGAATCTGTATTGTTATTTTGTTGGATTACAAAGTAATTTTCAAACATCATACACATAAGCACATATATCATTAAGTAGAGTTTAATATTTGTTATGGTTCCTGGTTTTTTTTTTTTTTTTTGAGGTAAAATTTACATTCTGTGAAAGGCACAAATCCAAGCGTCCTATCTGATGAGTTTTAACAAATACACCCAGTTGTGTCACTCAAGCCGTTATCTAGATGTAGATTGTTCCCAGCACCTGAATTCCCTCGTGCCCTACCCAATGGGTCCCTTCTCACATCTTCCAGCTCCACCAGAGGCAGTCACTTTTCTTTTTTTTAAAATGATGTTTGAAAATTACTTTGTAATCCATCAAAATAACAACAGGTTTCCAGGACAGTTTAGCCTGTTCTAGAATTTAACATAAATACTTGTATACTCCTCCTGTGTAAAGCCCTTTGGCTTGGTGTGTTTTTGATATTCATCGATGTTGCTCCGTGTATCAGGAGTTTGCTCCTTTTTAACAGTGGACTTTTGAGCGATCATTGGAAGTACCCAGAGCATTGACATAGGAGTCCTCCTTGCCAAATGGAAAGACTGCCATTGACCTTACCAGCCAACCAAAGAGGGGCAGGACATTTGGAAAATCAAGTGGATTCTCCAGCTGGGCTGTTAGAAAAGAACTCACTTCTGTGGAGAATCACTGGATTTTATAGGCTTAGCTCTAGAAAGCATCATTTTGTCATCTTCTGAAATGACAATAATTATCCAATTACATCTCTCCTTTCTGTCATTTTACACCCACAGTTGAAGATTCCTGTCTCTGGATCCAAATCAGAGGGCCTTCTCTACGTCCACTCATCCAGAGGTGGCCCCTTTCAGAGGTATCCTGGGAAGGTGACGGCAGTGGGGGAGCGGGAGGAAGACTTCCTGATGAAAGCAACCCCAACTCCGTTTTCATTTGTTGTTAAATTACTGTGGGCATAGGAAGAATTATTTTTCAAGCTTGAAGCTGAAAGCTTCGTGGCCTGGGCAGCAAGCCAGTACTGCGGCTCTTAGCTGAGTCCAGTTTATCCATACAGTCTACTGAATTGCCCTCTCCTTATGCCGTTGAATTTGTAAAACTTTCCAGTTATAGTGATCTGGGTCTATCATAATTTGATGCTATGTTACAGCTTCTCACTTGACTGCCTCAATTGTTATAAATGAATAAAGGGCATGGACTCTTGTTCCAGAATTTATTCATCACATTCTTTGCATAAGCTCTCCACCCCTTAATTGGCTTTGCTTGTCTGGTTGCCAATAGCTACATCCACTCACTTCCCCCACGGGAAGCCTCTCTCATAGATGTTTGCTGTTTAGCCAGGCTGTATTTTAATTCCCAAGGACAAAAGGAGCAGGAGGCCCCACCTAGCTCACCCTGGGCTCACTGACCTCTGAGCCTGGGATTAGTGTACAAGCTGGCTGGATTCCATGCCAGGAACTGAAGGTCACTGTGAATTAGGAAATGAGAAATAAACTGCTCCTTCTTCCTGATGTCCCTTCCATTCGCCTGTCAGTCATTGTTAAGCCTGCCTTGAAGTCGAAGCTGGTTAAATAATGAGAGCCCATGGTAGAATGTTAAAAATTGTGTTGACACAGCACTCGCACAAAATAATGTTTAAAAAAATTTAAGGCATTATTCAAAACAACTGCTTTCCGCGCCCCTTTTTTTGACTACGGCTGTTGCCTCAGCCTTCATAGATTAGAGATACTATACTTTTGGTTTCTCTCAGGTGGCACCTTGACGAGGTCTTTTTAGAGCTCAAGGATGGTCAGCAGATTCCTGTGTTCAAGCTCAGTGGGGAAAACGGTGATGAAGTGAAAAAGGAGTAGAGACGACCCAGAAGACCCAGCTTGCTTCTAGTCCATCCTTCCCTCATCTCTACCATATGGCCACTGGGGTGGTGGCCCATCTCAGTGACAGACACTCCTGCAACCCAGTTTTCCAGCCACCAGTGGGATGATGGTATGTGCCAGCACATGGTAATTTTGGTGTAATTCTAACTTGGGCACAACAAATGCTATTTGTCATTTTTAAACTGAATCCGAAAGAAACTCCTATTATAAATTTAAGATAATGTAATGTATTTGAAAGTGCTTTGTATAAAAAAGCACATGATAAAAGGAATCAGAATTAATAAAATGTTTGTTGATCTTTGCTAGTTCTCATTTCTTTCCTTTCTCTTCCTCTTCCTTTCCCCTGGAATTTTCAGTCCTCATTACAAAGCCTGAAGCTTAGTAGCACTGAAGGGATTTTTTCTAAATTATTGACCTGAGAATGATGAGGAAGACCACTGGTTTTTCACTCTACCTTGAATTCATGTTGTTAAGTAGCTTGTGGACATTCTCTATCACTTTGGAATATTTTGTTTGCTTTGCTTTTATTTATTTCTATTTCAGACACCAACCATCTGCCCAGTTGAAGATTTGCAAAATAATTGTTTTTATTCCAAACATTTTGAAAGCTTAGAAAATTTATATGTGTACATATACATATAAAGTTAACTTAGGAAAGTTAGTTTGAAGCTAACAGCATCTGGCTGGGTGTGGTGGCCCATGCCTGTAATCCCAGCAATTTGGGAGGCCAAGGCAGGCGGATCACCTGAGGTCAGGAGTTTGAGACCAGCCTGGCCAACATGGTGAAACCTCGTCTCTACTGAAAATACAAAAAATTAGCCAGGCGTGGTGGCGGGCGCCTGTAATCCCAGCTACCTGGGAGGCTGAGGTGGGAGAATTGCTTGAATCCAGGAGGCAGAGGCTGCAGTGAGCCAAGATTTCATCACTGCACTCCAGCCTGGGCAACAAGAGCAAAACTCTGTCTCAGAAAAAAAAAAAAAAAAAAAAAAAAGGAAAGAAAAAGAAGGGAAAGGGAAGGAAAGGAAAAAGAAAGCTAATAGGTTCTTATCCATCTGCTTTCCAAACAACTTAACCGCATGTTAGATAATTGTATCCTTAGGTTTTATTAGTCTTATAAGGAAACATATTATAAAGCAAAAGAACTTCCTTCTGGGCACCAGAGCCTACAAAAACAGAAATCTGGTATCTGCTTTGAAAAGGTCAGTTTAACCCTCTTAGCATTAGCAGGCTTAATGCCATTGTGGTTGTCTACAATGAAGGACAGCCATGAGCTCTCTTCCTACATTCTTAATATTCATTGAAGAGAAGCCTCTCAGGAAAAAAAAAAAAAAAATGAGCTTAAACATGCTAGTAGAGTATGAGGTCTTCAGTTGTTACAAGTTATCTCTATTCTGGAGTTGTTTCTTTAAAAACATATTTATGTGTTCTTTGAGTAGATTATACAGTGAAAAGTGTCTCCCTGAGAGCACTTTTGTCAGTGTGTTCAGATAAATATTCCAATCTCTACAGTCTTTTAAAATAAATGGCAGAGCACTGTACAGTTTTGTGCTTTTGCTCTTTAAGTTACACACTGTCCTATTGTCTATATGTTGTGAATTTATGTGGTGCTTCCTATCTGTCTGTTCTCTGACAACTTTTACTTTATCTTAGTGTTTGAATTTTGTTTCTTTGCTATGGCCAAATTATAGAAAACCAGGGCTTAGGTTGGCCATCTGTTCTGAAGTAAAAGTAAGTGTAGAGTTTGAATTAATGGAGAGGCTTTTCTAATCTACCTGATAGGAAATAGTATTATGTAGTGAAGTGCTCCTTGATTTCTATTTGAAAGCCGCTATCTCGGGTATTTTTTCTGTTCACATTTACTTCCTGTGCACTTAATGCCTTTATGGGTGATTCTGAACAGGCTGGAACTTGATCACTGCAGTAGACACTGTCTTTCCTGTTCTTTGAGGATAGCAGTGATGTACACTTGCAGTCCACTGTTTCCTGTATATCCATTCATCACTGTGACTCAGCCATCGACTCCACTAACTACCTTAATGATGTCTTGGATAATGCATCAGAGGAAAAGGTGACTTTTTGAGGAAGGGCCCCCAGTACATCCCATAAAGAGACAGGATAGCCCAGAGACCAGAGAAAGGGGTTTCCTAGAATTATACAAACTGTAGACTTGTAAAGACTGCAGGAGAGGGATCACAGCCAGCAAATGGTAGCGTGACTCCTATGTGCTTTACTATAGAAGAGGCTGCAGGGCCTCCACCCACAAGTTCCTTACCAGCTAGTGTGCTGGGTGGATGGGCAGGGGTTGTAGAGAGTATTATAATACTGTGCCAAAAGAATTTCAAGCTGTGGTGCTAAAAATGATGTAGAAAAGAGAGATATCAGTTAGGGGGAATCTAAGAGGCTGTCCAGAGGCAGTAGTGTCCCTGTGGGCCTTGAAGTCCAAGATTTTGATAAGCAGACATGATGGAGAGCACAACATGCAAGTGGAAAGCACAACATGAAGAAAGGCCCCAGAGCGGGCAGATGGGAGCTGTGCTCCAGAAATCAGAAGCCCAGTTTGGACAGCGTGTAGATGAGCGCAGGTAAAGTAAAAGAGAGGCCTGGAAAGGTAGGTTGGCCACAGTGTGTGAATGCCACTGTTGACATTTTGCATACAATTTGTGGCCATCAAAGATTTGGGGGTAAGCACATGATTCTACTGTTAATGAAGGTTTCAGAGATTGTGCTGAATGTGTACTGACAAGACCTGTATGACTTTCAAGTAAGTCACAGATTTTACTGTCTTTGTTCAATTTTCCTAGAATTAGCCTCCACTTGCCTGCAAACATTCCCTATTCACCAACCCAAGGACATGATAATACCTGATAAGGTTTTATTGCTGAGTTTTGGTAAAATTTGTATACAGGAACAGTGACACTAAAATTACATATACACAAAACAGCCAGAACTTAACAATAGTTCCTTCTGTCCTCTGGCCACCAGCAAGGCCAGGGAAATGCTCAAGAAGCGGCAGTTCTGAAGGGTTTTCCCAAAGCAAGCAGCTTTGGAAGTGGCTTTAGGCCACTTGACTCTCTGGCGTTTTCAGTTTGTCCATCTGAAAAATATGAATAAATATTTACCAATCACTTGCCTTACAGGTGAGACAATGTTTATACTGCTCATTGGGATGCTTGGGCAAAAGATGCTGTTTTACACAGGAGGCTCAATGATGGGGGCGGTCCAGAAAGAGGTGGGAGGGTGATTGATAGGAAAACCTCCAGTCTCCACCCACTAGAAGATTCTCACCTCCTTAGTAATGCGCTCCTGGTTCAGGCATGTTTTTTGGCAGAGTTCCTGAGTTGAAAGCACTGTCAGGAATGTGTACAGAAAAACTGCGCCCATGTTATAATCCAGGGCAGAAAAGTAGGAAATGAAAATACTAAAAACATGCCTCTAAGACACGGGTTGGGTGCCGAAGTGAAATCTGACTTTGCAGGAGAGAGTACTTTTCATTCCTAAATTATCTTGCAAGTTTTTTTTCCCTTAGAGGAAATTTCCAAAAGGAATTTTTTTAAGGAAACTTTTTAATTGACTTATCAGATCACATGAGGTATGTTAAAAACCTTTTATTATTAAATAATAAGCCGCCAAGGCAGAAATTAGACCCCCTACTATACACCTAAAACATGTAACACTTATCTTTTAACACTTATCTTTTAACTTGAGCTACCACATCAGTCACCTTGCAGTCTTAATGACAAAGTAATTTTTCACTTCCAAATTATTTTTATGAAACGAGAAACTATAGACCTGTCTCCCTTATGAAGGTTGATGCAAATATTCAAAATAAAATATTAGTGAACTGAGTCCAGTGATATGTAGTGGTATATTGTATTATTTTTCACGAAATAGGTTGGTGCTTCTCCCTCTCAGTGCTCTTTCCTGTGGGAGGATTATACATCCCTGCCTCGTTGAACTTAGGTGTGACTGTGTGGCTTGTGAGTGGAAGTGGCATGCAGGACTTCTGAGTAAAAGTTTTAAGTGCCAGCCCTTGGTTCATGCTGTCCACTTTGCCTTCGTCCCTAAGATTGGTAATGTTCCAGATGGTGGCTACTTCAAGGGCTTGGGGGCTCGGACAGCTGACCCACAGTGGGACACGGAGCATAAGGGAGACATAAACCCTTACAAGCCCCTAAGATGGGGGGCTATTTGTTACCCCAGCTTAACCTAGTGCACCCTGCTGTTAACAGTGACTAATAGAGGTTTATTCCAGGAATGCAAAGGTGGTTCAATATCGGGAAATCCTGGAATTATTTTAACCTAAGACATGGCTTAGATCTAGGACTTAATATTCAATTGGAGAGACACACAAACCATTGATTGCAGAACATGTCCTTGGTGGTTTGACTGAGTCAATATTTATAAAATTATATAAAAGTTATATTTATAAGCATATATTTTATAAATTAAGCTACTTTCTAGGACCACATTGTTAGAAAATTCACTATTCAAAACAAAGTAGAAGAAACAAGAAAGAGTAGACACACTTCTCGCTATTCCTCCACTAAGTGCAGCCTGGACTTCCATAAAACAAACATCAGACTACTGTGAAAGATGAGAAGACCAAATGGCTAGGAACTTCAGTACCCAAGGAATAACACAGCATCGATTTCCCTGGGTTTTCTTTTGCCTAATATTGGGCAAATATGAGGCACTGGAGAAACCAGTACCCCAGAAACACCAATAGGAGCCAACGGCTAAGCAAAGCCTGGTGTCTCTAGCCAAAGGATCAGGACAGGGCAACTTAGAAAGATGGAGAACTCTAAGAAGTAACTGCCCTACTCTATGCAAACACCATGGAAAAACCCATGGCCCCAATCCCACAGCCTCATCAGCAAAAGCCAAGTGGGGAGCCTAGACCTTCTTTGCCTGTTGTAATGAGGCCTCCCCATCCCCTGCTGGAGCAGTGTCAGAGCTAGCCCAGCAGAGAGCTTGGGACATCTATCCCTGCAGGATGGTAATGAGGCCCACCCCCATAGTGTCAGTGGAGGCCATGTTGGGAGCTTAGACTTTTACCCTGACCCAGGAGGAACAACTGCCCCCACTCCCATGGTATCAGTGGGACCCACGTGTTCTAGCGGGAAGCTGCACTTAGCCACCCCTCCCCCTGCCTGTATTCAAAGGGGCTCAGTAGTGAGCCTGAACCATCAACCCCACCACATGCCCCCGTCACCCACTTGGGTGGTGTCAGAGTAGACCTACGAAAACATGATTCAAACAAGGTCCAGCGTCTCAAACCCAAATGGGCAGAATAGAACAGAAAGCCATGCTCTTATGCCAAGAACCAGGCAAATGTCAACCTGAATGAGAACAGAGAGTTAACAGACACCAACACCAAGATAACACAGATTTTAGAATTATCTGACAAGGATTTTGAAGCAGCCATCATTTAAAAAAAAGATTCAGTGAGCAATCATGAACATGCTTGGAATAAATGAAAAAAATAGGAAGTCTTAGAAGATGGCAGAATCAAATGGAAATTTTAGAATTGAGAAGAGTAAATGAAACAAAAATCTCACTGGATGGGTTAAACAGCAGAATGAGGAGTAACGAGAAAACAATCACTGAATTTAAAGATGAAATAAAAATCTGAGCGGAGAAAACAGACTGCAATTGGTACCTGTGGGCCTCTAGCTAAAGACCTAACATTTGAATCATGGCTCTAAGAAAGAGGAGAGGGAGGGTGGGGCTGAAAAAGTATTTGAAAAAAAAAATGGCTGAGAGTTTACAAATTTGTCAAAAACAAATGAACCTTTTATAGGCGTATATACCTAGTTTCATTGTGTTTTACTTTATTACACTTTGCAGATGCTGTGTTTTTTACAAATTGTGGGTTTGTGGCGACTGTCGAGCAAGTCTTTTGGTGCCACTTTTTCAACAGCTTGTGCTCACTTTGTGTCTGTGTCACATTTGGTAATTCTCACAATACTTCAGACTTTTAAATTACTCTATTATGGAGAGCTGTGATCAGTGATCTTTGATGTTACTATTGTAATTGTTTTGGGCACGATGAACCTCACCCACATAAGATGGTGAACTTAATTGATAAATGTGTGTGTTCTGACTGCTCCACTAATTGGCCATTCCCTCGTCTTTCTCCCACTTTTCAGGCCTCCCTATTCCCTGAGACACAACAGTATTGAAATTGGGCCAATTAATAACCCCACAGTGGCCTCTCACTAAATGTGAGAGGTGAGGAAGCTGCAGGAGAAAATTTGAAGCTAGCAGTGTTCATGAGATGTAAGTAAAGAAGCCATCTCCATAAAAGTACAACGTGACGCAGCAAGTGCTGATGGAGAAGCTGTAGAAGTTACACAGAAGATCTAGCTTGGACCATCGATGAAAGTGGCT
The DNA here is from genome assembly GCF_000001405.40 of Homo sapiens. NCBI lineage: Eukaryota > Metazoa > Chordata > Mammalia > Primates > Hominidae > Homo > Homo sapiens. The sequence goes on along the minus strand of NC_000007.14, from coordinate 43,633,167 downwards.
ACACTAAACAACAGATTTTAAATGTAGATAAAACAGCATTTTATTGGAAAAAGATGCCATCTAGGACTTTCATAGTTAGAAAAACTCAATGCCTGGCTTCAAAGGACAAGCTGACTCTTGTCAGGGGCTAGTGCAGCTGTGACTTTCAGTTAAAGCCAATGCTCATTGACTATTCTGAAAATCCCAGGGCCCTTAAGATATGCTGTATAAACGCAACAACAAAGCCTGGATGACGTTGGGTCTGTTTACAGCCTGGTCTACTGAGTAAGCCCACTGTTGAGACCTAGTGCTCAGAAAAAATAGATTTCTTTCAAAATATGGCTGGGTGCAGTGGCTCACACCGGTAATCCCAGCACTTTGGGAGGCTGGGGCGGGTGGATTGCTTGATGCCAGGAGTTCAAGACCAGCCTGGGCAACATGGTGAAACCCTGTCTCAAAAAACAAATCCAAAAAACCAAAATATTGCTACTCATTAACAATGCACCTGGTTACCCAAGAGCTCTGATGGAGATGTACAAGGAGATGAATACTGTTTTCATGCCTGCTAACACAGTATCCATTCTGCTGCTGATAGATCAAGAAGTACTTTTGACTTTCAAAACTTGTTATTTAAGAAATACATTTTGTGGTTTCTCTGATGGTTCTGGGCAGTCAGTTCAAAACCTTCTGGAAAGGATTCACCATTCTAGATGCCATCAAGAGCATTCAATTCACGGGAGGAGGTCAAAATATCAACATTAATTGGAATTTGGAAGAAATAGATTCCAATCCTCATGGAGGACTTGGAGGGTTTCAAGACTTCAGAGGAGGAAGGAACTGTAGATGGGCTGAAAATAGCAAGAGAACTAGAAGTGGAGGGGCCTAGAGATGTGACCGAATTGCTGTAACCTCAGGATCAAACTTGTATGGATGAGAAGTTCCTTCTCATGGACGAGCAAAGAAGGTGATTTCTTGAAATGGAATCTACTCCTGGTGAAGATGCTATGAACATTGTTGAAATGACAAAAGATTTAGAATATTCCATAAACTTAGCTGTGGCCAGGGTTTGAGAGGATTGACTCCTAATTTTGAAGTTCTACTGTGGGTAAATGCTGTCAAACAGCATTGCATGCCACAGAGGAATCTCTCATGAAAGAGTTAATAAATGCAGCAAACTTCACTGTTGTCTTACTTTAAGAAACTGCCACAGTCACTGCAGGCTTCAGCAACTTATCTTTTCCTACCCTCCTCTCGCATTTAAAAGTACTTTTAAATTAATGTATGTACATTATTTTTAGGCATAACACTGCTGCTCATTTAAAAAAACTACAGTATGAACCATGTTATATGCAGTGGAAAGGCAAAAAATTCATGTGACTTACTTGCTTGTATTTGGTTTATTGCAGTGGTCTGGAACTGAAAGTGATGCGTATTTCTGAGTTATGCCTGTATTTAAGAAGCTGAGTGAAACCCAAAGAAGTCCATGATAGGACAGACTTCTGAAAACTAAAGACAGAAAAAAGCTTGAAAGCATCAAGAAAGAAGTGAAATCTTAGCTAGAGGGAAAAGTAACTCAGATGACAGTGGATTTCTCTCTGGAAACCATGGAGGCCAGAAGGAAGTGAGACAAGTTCTTTTAGTGCCAGAAGAACTATCAACTTGTGGCTGGGCACGGTGGCTCACACCTGTAATCCCAGCACTTTGGGAGACCAAGGTGGGCAGATCACTTGAAGTCAGGAGTTTGAGACCAGCCTGGCCAACATGGCAAAACCCTGTCTCTACTAAAAATACAAAAATTAGCCAGGCATGGTGGCACATGCCTGTAATCTCAGCTACTTGGGAGGCTGAGGCACGAGAATTACTTGAACCCGGGAGGTGGAGGTTGCAGTGAGCCAAGATCCTGCCACTGCACTCCAGCCTGGGCAACAGAGCAAGACTGCCTCAAAACAAAACTCTGTCAACTCCAAATTCCTATTTGGTGAAATGATCCTTCAGGATTGATGGGGTAATAAAAACATTCTCGGTTGATAGAAAACTAAAAGAATTTGTTGAATGAGTCTACCCTATAGACCTTGAAAAGACCAACCCTAAAGGAAGTTCTTGAACCAGAAAGGAAACATTTAAAAAAAAAAAGTTTTGGGATGTCAGGAATAACGATGGAAACAGCAAAAATATGGGTAAATACAATAGACTTTCCTCCTTGAGTTTTCTAAATTGGTAGTGGAAGCAAAATTGTCTGACATAGATCTCAATGTACGTAGCAGGTTATGTTTAAGACAATTATAAATGGGGTGGGGAGGGGACGGGCAAGAGAGTTTTCTACATTTCACTCTAACTGGTAAAATGTAGATATCAACAGATCTTTATATAGCAGTGAAGCAGTTCCATATCTCAAATGTGTTGGTAGGAAGATAAAATGGCATAAAATGATATACATTGTGCAAATATCAATTTCCTGTAGTTACGTAAAGATGTATCTGTACTGTCTTTTCAACTCCCTGTAAGTCTGTAACTATTGCGAAATCAAAAGCTTTAAAAAGTATAGGATGAAAGTATTGAATATGCTGCTTTAAAAGGGACAGGGTACAGTTTTATTGGCTTAGAGAAAAAAAGCGGGGGCAGGGATGAGGTGACAGTCCTCCTCACCTGAATAATTGCAGCTGAGGATTAAACATATCTCTTCCCAAATACTTTATCTTCTAGGTATACTTCTCTTACAATTTATTAGAAAGCTGGTTACTTGAGATAACTAAAGAGATACTAATTTTCATGCAAACCCATCACAATGTATTGAAACTGAGATACTTTTCTGCTGCTAACATATTTAGGAAAAATAGTTTTATTTTTAGTAAATAAAATCTCCACTTATTTCAATAAAAATGGCAAGGAGAAAATGTCATAAGATTATCCTGCCATGTAAAATAAGCTGCTCCCCAAAGGACTGTGTCAAGATTGGTTTTAAATAGAAAATATCTATTTTAAATATATTTAGATTATAATTGCCTGGGGGTTGGCAAACTTTTTCTGTAAAGGGCCAGATACTAAATACCTTAGGCTGTACGGGCCTTCAGATCTCTGTCACAACTGTTCACCCGCGCGGTGTAGTGTGAAGGCATCCACATACAAAATGTAAACACACAGGTGTGGCTGTTCTAATAAAACCTCACCAAACAGGCAGCACAGGCCACAGTATGCTGACCTCTGCACTAGCCTCATCTCAGGTTAACTGTCCTCTAGTTATTAAAAAAGAAACCCAAAATTAAGTTACACAAAAGTAATTTTTAAAAACTACTTTGGACGTTAAAATGGGGCCAAAGGTAGAATCCACGGAGGTAAAAGTTCTTGACGAGCAGTCAGGAAATCTGAATGATTCTGTCCTTTGTTCTGCCCATAACCAGCTGTGAGCTCTTGGGCAAATCACATATTCCCTCTGCGATTCCATTATTGCATCTCTAATCTGAAAAAGTAGAGGAGGGATTCCATCCAATTTTGTTACTATAAATTTCAGTTCAAGCAAACTTACTCCCACTGTTACCAACAAAAGTTTCAAAAGACTCATTTAAATAATTTATAACATAGTTCTGGTTAGGCATGATGAGCTAAAAATGAGAGTTGGGGTATTAAAAGCAAACAAAAAAAGCTGAAATATGAAGACTATCCAAAAAACAACAGCATCAAAAACCATGAAATACACAGGGATACAGTTAAAGGATATATAGGATCTCTGCACTGAAAAATGTAAAACACTGCTGAGAAAAAATGAAGTAAATGGAAAAACATGTTTATGGATTGGATGACTACTTGACTTATAGATTCAGTGAATCCTAATAAAAATCCACAAGGCTTCTTCTGGGAGTAGTTTGGTGGAAATTGACAAAATTTATTTGGAAATGCAAAGGACCTAGAATAAACAAAGCAGTTTGCAGAAGAAGAAATTAGAACGTCTGTTTTACCTGAGATCAAGACTTACCAAGTTTTGACAAAAAGATAAACAGAATGGAACAAAACTAGAGCCACAGATATATGGTCAAATGATTTTAGACCGGGCACCAAAACAGTTTAACAGTGAAAGGAGACTCTTTGACAAGTGGTGCTGGAACCACTGAACGTTCAGTAGAATGTTCAAAGGTATTTGATGCCTACCTACTTTATGGCATATAAAAATACTAATTCAAGGTGAATCACAGACCTGAATATTCGCTACAACTATCATACTCCTAAGAAAAATAAGAGTATCTTCATGAGCTTGGGTAGGCAAAGACTTCTTAAAGAGCACAAAGAAAGCATTAACTATAAAACAAAAATTCATAAATTGGATTTCACCAAAACTAAACCCTTCTTCTCATCAACAGATACTACTGAGAACAGGCAAGCTATAGAGTGGGAAAAGATATGTGACACATAAATCTGACAATCCTTTATGTCCAGAATGCACAAAGGAGTCCTATCCAATTAAAAGGAAAAAAGGACATGAAAAGTACTGTCCATTAGTCATCAGGGAAATGCAAACTAAACCACCATGAGATACCGCCACATATCCAGAAGCATGGCTAAAATGCAACAGGTGGACAATACCAATTGTCGGCAAGGATGTAAAAAACAACCAGAGTACAATGTGCTGGCAGGAACACAAAACAGCACAATGGTTTTAGAAAACTGTTGGGCAGTTTCTTAAAAAGTTAAATATACAGCTACCATAAGACCTAGCAATTCTACTCCTAGCTTTTTAATCCAAGAGAAATGAAAACATGTCCACAAAAATCCCTGTACAAGAATATTTATAGCACATTTATAATAGCCCCACAGAAACAGCTCAGGGGTCCATGAACAGAAGGATAGCTACATAAACTGTCATGCATTCAAATAGCACGACACAACAATAAAAAGGAACAAACCAGGCTGGGCATGGTGGCTCACGCCTGTAATCCCAACACTTTGGGAGGCTGAGGTGGGTGGATCACTTGAGGTCAGGAGTTCGAGACCAGCTTGACCAACATGGTGCAACCCCATGTCTACTAAAAAAAAAATACAAAAATTAGCCGGGTGTGGTGGCGCATGCCTGTAATCCCAGCTACTTGGGGAGCTGAGGCAGGAGAATCCCTTGAACCTGGGAGGTGGAGGTTGCAGTGAGCCAAGATCCCACCATTGCACTCCAGCCTGGGCAACAAGAGCAAAACTCCAGTCTCAACAACACAACACAAAACAAAACAAGAAAAAGCAACAAACTGCTGATATAAGCATCGACATAGATGAATCTCAAAGACATCATGCTGAGTTACAGAAGCCAAATGGTGCATGCTGTATGATTCCAACTACATGAGTTTGAGGATAAGGAAAACCAGTGCAACAGAACAGGAGTGTGGTTAAAGGAGTGAGTACATTTGTCAAGCCTGATGAGACTGTATGGATTTAGATCTGTACATTTCATGATATGTAAATTATATCCCCTTCTCTCCAAAACAATAGTGATTAAGGCTCTCGAGGTTAAGATCAAGGTGTTCAATCTAGCTTTTTAAATTCCGCAACAGATAGAATGGATGAGGTGGCCAATCTTGGACAATAAATATAGTACATGGCTATTTTTCATTTTTATCAGTCTAATTCAAATTGAGGTGTGAGTTTAAAATGTATTTAGGATTAGTCTGCTGATGCTAGTCATCTTTCTCCTATCTATATTCATGTATGTTGGTGTCCATGGATTGGTATTTATTTTTTCTAAACAGGTATAGGCCTCTATGGACTGAGTCACGCACCACCCCCATTACATTACTGAGGACTATAATTCATGTTCTGTCTCACATTCTCTAAGTGATCTTTATAACCCTTTAATACATTTTTCTTCCAAACTGAGGTTAGCTGGAAAAATTTAAGAGATTCAACAATGAGCATCTGTCCTTCCTCTATACCACTACTAGAGAAAGGTATTAATTACCTCCTAGTTTTCATTTGAAAACAACAAAACACAAGATCAATCAAATATCATTTCCCAGTTGATTAAAACTTATACATTTTATACATTTCATAAACAACGTTTCACCACACCAAAATATTGTTGAATTATAGTTAAAACTGGATTTATAAACCGAGTAAACTCAATAGTACTGTTTAGTCCTTTATAAATTTGGTGATAGAAAAAAAGGAACATTAACAGCTTTAGATAAGTGTAGAGCTAGCTGGCAGTTATTAATAGATTTTATTTGGCCTAATACTATGAAGGCTCTTCATGCCCTGTTTTTATCTTATAAACCAAAAAATGCCAATACACCTTTACAAGTATATTCTGAAGGGCCTCTTAAAAAAGCACCCTATGACTCAGTATTTAAGCACAACAGCAGCTAAAGATACGCAGCAAACTGAAGTGGCCAGCTAAAAGAAAACAGATCTTTCTCACAAATACAGCAATTATATTAAATATATTTATTACGAGTATAAAATGGTTTTTAAAAAGCCCAAATGATTCTGATTTTAAAACTTGATGACAGATCCATCAAGTACAAACGTGTCATTCAATAGTGGTTATTTTTTCCTGGTCACCTCCTCCCTATTTTTTCAGAGAGATAAATATTTGCCTAATACTGTGTTTAACTTCTTCCAAGACTTACCTGAGACTCAAAACTGTGGCCATGGATATTCATTAAAAACTCTATCACTGTGGCACAATTTCTTCTTCTGCATTTTGGAGCTTGTTTAGGAATGCTAGGTTCCAGGAAACTGTATAAATAAAGCCAATTTAGTGAGAAAACAGTGCAACCTGGTTGTCTGAAGTGCCTGATGAATTTCACCTAATGGTGTAAAGGGCACTCCCAGGTGCTTTGACAGGTTCACACAGCAGGACTGGGTGAGATTACTGACTTTGTATATGTCTATGACATTTACACACATTTGGGTATTTACTGTACATACTTTAAAATAGTGGTTAGGTGCTGTCATTTTCATGATTTTGACAGTTGAGAAACCATGTTAGGGAGAGAGCTTTGTGTGACACCCTAATCAGACCGTGAAGGGACAGGTCTGAGTTGTTCATAGTGCAGAGCGAGGCATGGCCACGGTACACAGCACACAGGTGATAGGCAAATATTTAATGCACTGAGCCTTTTGTGTGTAAGGATAATTAGTTACTTTAAGGTATTCGGCATACACTTTTACATTTCCATATTTTAATTGGACTTTACTGGTCACTGTGGGGCATAGATACAACTGAACTGTTCAATCCTAATCAAATAAAACTATTAGTACATTCTTATACATCTTTTTGGGACAAAGTACCTCCTACTTACAGAGTATCCAATGTAAATTTTTTATGGACAAAGTAAATGTTTATAAATATTTTGGCATTTTATAACTTTTCCTAGCATAGCTTGAGGGCTGATAAGAAACTCAGCAGAAACAGGCTGTGGTTGGCATGAAGACACTCTCTCTCTCTCTCTCTCTCTCTGCTCTAGGGGATTTTACTCACTTTGGGACAAAAGCAATATAGTAGCATCTTTTCACTGACCAAGGTAACCAGAGTGTTGATCAGATCACACTGATACCTACAAGTGGCCAAAATTAAATGACAAGCATGGGGGGAGGTGCCAGGAAGTGGCAGGGGTATAGAGTGTGAGAGAGAACAGATGCATGTGAGTGTGGTGTGATGAGGGAAGCAGCTCAAGAGCTGACACCTAAACCCAGAATAATTTCAGAGGTGAAAAATTACCACCTCTCTTACTAGTGACATTGAAGAGAAAAAAAATTAGGGTTTTTCACTGATATGTTACTAGTATTTAGGCAAAAACACAACAGAAACCAAATCAAGTCACTATAAAGCAGTAAGAAAATATTTAAAAAAGACATTATCAAACTTTAGTGAATGTTATTCTAAGTCTCGAAAATTTAGATGTCTGTTTAGACTAAAATTTTGCCAAAAACAAATCCAAAGTGAAAAAGTAGCAATTTTAGTAGACATTAACAAACATTATGCAGATATAGATACACATATGAATAATGCAAGAGATTTACAGAAGTGTAGTTTTGGCACTTTTACTTGGATTTTTTAAAGAAAGTGAATACAAATATCTTTGTACACAAATTCTCATTCTGGAGAAACAGGATGTAGAATTCAAAGGTGCCAACATCTCCCTTCTTAAAAATAACATTGAAACGGGTAACTGTACCTGTTAAATCTCCTGGTTGGCAACTTTTAAAATCTGGCTTCCACCTAACTCCACAAATTTGACAAAGTTATTTTTGTTTGTGTAAGTGATACTGGTTATCCACTTCCAGTACATGTACCATTTGGCCAGAGGTCCATAAATAATATTAACATTTTCAATGTAGAAATCTTGAAGTTCTAAAGGGAAATATTGCTCAGTAGATAAATTCTCCTGGAATTTCTTGTAGCAAAGGTTCCTCAAATTTAAATCGTTTGGAAATGGCCTTTTGCTCCATTTTCTCTTTTTCAGACTGTCTGCATTGTCCTAGAGTATATGAAGTAACTACAATTAACTCTTCGGTTACAATGGATTCCTTGGTTTCTGATTTGTCGGTATCCGAATTAATTTCAGGCACAGAATGACCTTCTTGGAGGGCATTTGCTTCTTCTAGTGCCTTTTCCATCCTGAAAGAAGGCTCTTGAATACTGCTCTGTGTCAACCAGGGGTGCTTTAGACATTCTTCAGCAGTGGCTCGATCTCTGTAAAGATACATGTTTTACAGTTAAGACATGTTAGAACTTCAATTAAAATTAGAGCATAAGGTACTGTATTTATTGCATTATATTTTGGGAAGTCTGACAAGTTGGCAAAAATCTTACTGTGATTCCTGAATAAAACTATTAGTCTTGGAATTTGGGTGCAATTTCCCACAATGCTGAAAATTTTGTGAAAATGTTGAAATATTTTAAGTAAGTTATGTCTGAAACGCTCTCTTGAGAGACACCAAGAACAGATGGGAAGTATCTGCTAGAGATTAGCTGTCATTTCACTGTCAATTTCTACTAACCATGAATTATGAGTGCTATTTACTGCCATGACACATTTGCAATAATACAGTTTTGCTAATTAATATTTAAATCCTGTTATACTGAGGTATGGTTCACATTTTCTCAAAATATTTTCATTTTTGCCCCCTTTTCTTTCAAGTTATATTAAGCCAAGGGTTTCACCTAGATTTATGTCAACATTTTTGTGTTTCCATTATGGTGTTTTAGAAGTTGAACTATTTTTGGTTGGAGGAGATTCAAGAAAAAACTGTCAGTTTTTTAATACTGAATTTTTTAATATTGAATTAGTTCAATATTAAACTAATAAAAATAATACTTACTCAGGTTTCTTAACTAAAAGTGTCCTGATGAAATCAACAGCCGACTCAGACAAAACATCAAATTCTTCCTCAGAATAACTTAAATTCATCTGTGAGATGTTTAAGAATGTTTCTTGTTTATCATTGCCTAAGAAAGGTGATATTCCTGTAAGCATGACATATGTTAACACTCCAATGCTCCTAAATTAGAAAGAAAATGCAAGAAAAATTTAGTACCATACTCATTTCTTGAAACTAATTTGATCAATTTTTCATTAATAACTCTTACCACATATCTGTTGCCATGCTTATAGGATCATAACTAAGAATTTCAGGAGCTAGTATCAGAAAGAGAAGAAAACATTTAGTTTTGTGGAAAAAAATTCCTAATTTGCTCTAAGAGATAAAAAACTAAGCATTAGAAACTATAAGGCACTATCCAACGTTTGGGCTAAAATGAAAGGTTACCATAAATTAATATGAATTAATATAAAGCCTAACTAGATGTTTGTAATTAACTTGTTTACTTTTCACACTTCTACCCACCATTGTTGAGTCCCTAGTATTTTACAAAATATTTAAATATTTTAAAAACACCAAACATAAACTGACAATCTCTGTGTTATTAAGCATTGTCTCTATCAGATCATGGCTTTTAAAACTTTCTCACTACCACTGATATTTCTGCTTCTCCATTGCCCCACCCTCACCCGTGGCACTTTCTCCTCTCACCTGGGCCTTTTCAACTACTTGTCCCACCCCTCTGATCTATTTTTCTGTTGCAGTCAGAGTGAGCTTTTTAAAACATCTACCCATTAACAAAAAGTCAACAAGGTTAAAAAAAAAAATTGGGCATTCTGACACTACAGGCATGGGACAAAGGCAACTAAGTTGCATCTATAGAATTGAGAAAAATAATATGCTTTGAGGCTGGGTACCCAGCACTTTGCAAGGCCAAGGCAGGAGGATCGCTTGAACCAGGAGTTCAAGACCAGCCTGGGCAACATAATGAGACTCTGTCTCTACAAAAAATAAACAAAAGCTAGCCGAGTGTCATGGTGCATGCCTGTAGACCCAGCTATTGGGGAGGCTGAGGTGGGAGGATCACTTGAGTCTGGGAGGTCAAGGCTGCAGTAAGCCGAGATAGTGCCAGTGCACTCCAGCCTGGGTGATAGGGTGAGACTGTGTCTCACAAAAAAAAAAACAAAAACAAAAAACTTTGATATAAAGTAAATTGCTGCCACACATAAACACAATAGAAAGACACTGTCAAATATGCAAGGATTCAGGAAAAATATTATAAAAATGCTCCTTAAAAAAATCTACTCACAATCCACTTAACTAAAGATTTTTTTTTTCAAAACTATACAAATAAGGAGGCTAAACTATTAAAATGCAGTCAATAAGTACTGAATCCACAGAAAAACAGACCAAAGACTAAAAACTGTGGTAATTACAATTAAAAAAAGGAATGAAAATGTTCTATTTCTATGAAAAAACGAAATACTCAAGGTCATGTATCTACTACTCATTTGTGACAAACCCCCATAGAATAAATGAGTGGGAGGAAGAGGTTGGAAAGGAAATGCGAGGTATGCTAATCTCCTAAATTTTGATTTCTGAAATGGTTGAGTGAGAAACAGAGGTTGTGAATGTTAAAGTTTCAAAAGAAGTGACTAGGAAATTAAAAATGAAATGCATAGCATCCAAATTACCGGGGAAGAAACAGTAAAACAGACCACATAGCAAGACTGTGGGAGGAAGGGTACAGGAAATACCAATAGCTTACTTTTTTGAGTGCTTATTATGTGCTGAATACTGGTTTAAGGGCTTTGTACAGCAAATCCAATGAAATCCTTACAAATTCCCTATGAGGTCGGTACTATTACTAGCCCCTTTTTATGGACAGAGGAATCTGAGGTATAAAGAGATTTAAGGGCCAAGGTCACATAGATGGCAAGTACAGGGCCAGAACTCACACCAGTTTCTGTGTGTATGTAAAATGACTGTGGGAGGCATAAACTCACCTTTTAAAAGGTGAGTCACGGAAGGAAAAAGAGGAGAGTCCCTTTGTTTTTCTGTATTATGTACTTTTGAATCATTTTTAGTTTTTTTCTTTTTGGATTGAGCTTGTACTTCCATTATAATGTTTTGAGATGGGGAAAGGCTCTTGATAGAAAATTTAAAATTTACTAAGGAACAGAAAGCTCTAAAACAAATCACTAGCCTGGGCAACACAGTGAGACCCATCTTTACCAAAAAAACAAACAAAAAACTGGCCCGCTGTGCTGGCACGTGCCTGTGGTCCCAGCTACTCGGGAGGCTGAGGCAGGAGGAGCTCAAGTTGGGAGCTGCAGGAAGCTATGATGGTGCCACTGCATTCCAGCCTGGGTGGCAGAGTGAGACTCTCTCAAACAACAACAAAGAAAGCATTAAAACAAAACAAAAACCCACCTCATTCAGGGCAATAATTACTATTTTGATTTTTCAGCTCACAGACCTACATTCTGCAGTCTTGTGTATTTGAGCTTACAATGGTACCCATTAAATTTGGCTAAAACACTTGGGTTGCTGTTTTCCCTAAAGAAACACTATTAAGTCACATCCCCAAAACTAACTTAGTGGTCATGACGCATATTAGTCAGTGTACTGAAAATTAAGTATTCTGGCCCATTAAAATATATAAAAAATTTTAAAGGTTGTTTCTGTGCCTGTGGCATCTTTTATTATCTAATTAACTAAGGATCTTTTAAAAAATCTCTGAATTATTTTTTGAACTATCATTGCCATACAGGTTTGTTTTCTTCAACCCTATCGGCCCTCCTGAGTCTTTCTGTGCTCCGGATAGCTCTTTTCTTGTAACATCCTCAGTCCTTCAAGAACTACACACTCCTTTTACCCTCTTCTCTGAAAGGAGACCCTGCTCTCTTCATTCCCCCTCTTCTAGCCTGTATTTGCTCACTTCACACTTCTACCCTCAGGCACAGAGTCTTCCCTCAGGCCCAGGCCACAGCCTTCTCCATTCCTGCCACGGCCGCCCTCCTCTTCTCCCAGGTCTGCTGGCAGCCTAGGTGACTTCCACACTGATGTCCATGACCCAGACAGCCTACCTTCACAGCTTCTTGATTTCCTGGTCTAAAAAACTGCCTTTCCAGCCTTATATCCAAGGCCTCATAATTACAAAGAGCTATTTCACCACTGAAATTTTAAATATTAATATTCTTTTTTTTTTTTTTGAGACGGAGTCTCACTCTGTCGCCCAGGCTGGAGTGCAGTGGCACGATCTTGGCTCACTGCAAGCTCCGCCTCCCAGGTTCACGCCATTCTCCTGCCTCAGCCTCCCGAGTAGCTGGGACTACAAGTGCACACCATCACGCCTGGCTAATTTTTGTATTTTTAGTAGAGACGGGTTTTGCCATGTTGGCCAGGCTGGTCTCAGATTCCTGGCCTCAAGTGATCTGCCCACCTTGGCCTCCCAAAGTGCTGGGATTACAGGCGTGAGCCACTGCACTTGGCCTAAATATTAATAATCTAATCTCTGGTCACAACCTCTCAGTTTCACAGCCTTATTCTACAGATACCTTAAAAAGACCATCAAACTATTAATCTTTCAAACTCCAATTTTCCTCAGTCTATCAAAGAAAGTAATAGTTGACTTCTTTGATGATACGCCTACACCCATGGAGTATCATCATTCAGCTGCTTTCTTGCTGCTACCTTCAATGTTTAAGCTCCTTTTTCTTTCTGCCAGAAGCACTCAACCATGGATCCAACCAAATGCCCTCTCTGCTCCACACTTCTATGGAGCCTCAGACTTGGCAATTCCTTTGTCAATGTTTGTTATCAACCAGAACATCCTTAAAGGTCCTTACTTGTTAAATATCCTCCCACCCTCAGATAAGCTAATATCCTACTTTGTTAAGAAAATCCTCTCCTATTCCTTTTAGAAGTAATCCCTTCAAATTCTCTTAGCTCTGTAGTGAAGAGATAGTGAAGAGATCACCAATTTGGTATCTTACTCTTGAACGTTTTCCATTGTAAAATGTAATCCAAAGGAATAGATCTCTGATGGTAGAATTTCAACATAGTAGATAGCTGGCTCCACTATGAGTCATGCCACATGGACAAGTCCCCTAATGAAGGTGATGCCTGACCCCAGAACAAAACTACTTTTATGAATACTTACCCACATATTCAGGGGTACCCATAATTTCTCGGAGCTCTTCACTGTTCTTCAATATTCTTGAAAGGCCAAAATCAACAATCTTAATGTCACCCAATGGAGATTCACTTGTCAACAGAATATTCTGAGGCTAAAAGAAAATACACCCCCGCAAAAATCAATATAACTATGATTAAGTACACAAAACATGCAGCCCATAAAACATATTTCACCTATGAAACTGAGACTGAGGAATTTAACAGTAAACAGTCATTTGTTAAAGAAATATTTTTACAATTTATTGCCTATGTATAAGGCAGCAGGCCTGTACTCTCTTGTATTTTCAATCTCTTCCCCTACTCTGGCTCTTCCTCAGCATATAAATATGTTTCTATCCCTACCTTATGGAAACCATTCCCCATGATCCTGAATCTCCTTGCATGCAGCACGCTTGCTCCTACTATTCCCTCAAAGCTCAGCTTCTTGAAAGCATGGTCAAGCACAATTGGTATTGTTTTCTCAGTGCAACTAAATCTCTTCTGACCCCTTGACTGAATCTGCCTTCATTAAGGTCACAATAACTTCAATAATCAAAGACCCACCAAATCCCGTCTGTGTCTTTCAGGGACTATTTTGCATGCAATGATTTCTGTAGCACTGGGCACTGTCAAGCATCCTTGTATTGTTGAAATTCCTCCCCATTTTCTCCACCTTGGGTCTCTTCCTTCTTCTACAGATCCCTCACAATTTTCTCAATGTTTTCCTTCTGTCCTCCTTTTAAATATTTGTGTTGTTCAGGATCTCTCGCTGCATGGCCCTCTTCTCCCACCACTCTGCATTCTATTTTGGAGCGATTTCATCTACTTCCAAAGCTTCAGCTGCCACTTACATACTGATGACTTCTACCCTAAGTTCTCTCTGGACTTGTGAGTGGGGATATGTGGGGTGAGGACATGTACAGTAATGGGAAAGAGCTCCCCAGAGCCACAGAATCAGTGAGGTTCATATCCATGGAGTCATTTTTACCCAGTGGAAAATAACCTAAGATACTTTCACATAAAAAGACAAGCAAATATATTATGGACTAGAATGTAAAATTCATTAAATTTTTAAAACACGAAATTTGAAAGGAAAGTTTGTGCTTGCATTATAAAGGGTCCTCACTTAATGTTTTCTGCCATTAAGAATATTTCCAAAGGTAAGCTGAGAAACACTGGTAAATTACAAATACTTCACTCTAACACCCAGTGTTTTAAGATTGGGCCCCTGCTTCCTTTTCAAGATTAATCTGTCACGGCTCCAAAGGCAATCTGTGCTCCAAATCAAACAGTCTGTAATCCCTAAATAACACAGCTACTCCCACATCTCATGCCTTTACACACGTACTGCCTTTGTTCAGGACGCCCTCTCCCCTTTTCTGCCTGACAGATTTATTCTCATCCCTCATTCCATGCATGATGGGTCTCAATAAAGAACCAATTCCTCTGTAAAGCCTGCCCTGGCCTCCCCTGCTCCTTCCAGGGAGGGCTTAATGGCTGCCCCGTCCCTGCTCCACAGCATGGTGTACACAGCATGCTTACTCTATTGTTCTGTTAGCTGTTTGTTTCTGTCTCCATCACATTGGTCCTCTAGATGTATAGAATGAATGTTCACATTTCCTTTCCTTCCATTCATATTCTGCCCCTCCATCTGACTTCTGTCCTCTCATTCCACTACAAATCACAAAATCCAGTGATATTCTTCAATGCTTTTTTCTGGACCCCTCCCTTAGCAGTGTTTGACAAAGTTAACCACTCCTTCCTTGTTTATATGTTATCTTTCTCTTGGCTCCCATGACAAAACACTGTCCTGGCTTTCTTCCTATCTCTGGCTGTGTCTTCCATCTCCTCTGATGGGCCACCTTCTTTTACCTGGTCCACTGGATGCTGGGTTTCTCAAGGCTTGATCTTGAGGCCTTTCCTCTTTTTACTCCAAACTCTCAGCTTGCATGATCTGCACCCAAGGCTTAAATATCACCTACACCTTAAGACTCACAATGTTTTTCTCTCTTTCAGACCTCTTCAACCAGCTGCTTACCTATTATCTCCCCTTTGATGTCTCAAAGGTACCTCAAATTCAACATGACCAAAAACAGACTCCTATTTTCCTTCCTAAATCATATTCTCCCTATGCCAATGACAGGCGTCTCAGTGAATGCTATGATCATCCCTCAGAATAGGAGAGAACACTAACAATCATCTTGGCCATTCCTTTCCTCCCCGCTCTTCCATTTAGCTAACATGTCACCATAGTTGATTTTAAATACTAAATTCCAAGCATTTCTAGACTTTGCCTATTTCTCTCCATCTACGGAAAATTAAAGCTACCTTTCTTGCTCTATTGCAATGGCCTCTTCAAAGGTTTGCTAGGATCTGTTTTGCCCACATTGAAGCCAGAAGGTTCTTTTGTATTATATAAATTGGATCTGTTGTCCCCTTTCCTAAACCCTTCCACAGCCTCCCATTGCTCTTAGGTAACCTCCAAACTCCTTCGCATGGTGTGCATGTCCTGAGGTCCAGCTTCTGCCTAACTAGCTCTCCAGACTCATCATATGCCATGATCCCCCGGCTCCATGAAGCTGGGTCCCACGGGACACTTTCCAGTCTCATACTTGCCATGCTCCCTCTCACAAGAGTGAATTTGTATATGGTATTCCCTCAGTCTAGAACGCTTTTTTCTGTTCTTCTTTGCCTAGTCTCAACTTGGTGAGAAGGCCTAAGATGGTAGTGAAGCAGATTACAACAATTTCCATAGATGAGAGGGGCTACAATATGAAAAACGAAATTGAGGCATAGATGGTCCCTCCTTTTTTGAGACGGAGTCTCACTCTTTTGCCCAGGCTGGAGTGCAGTGGCGCGATCTCGGCTTACTGCAAGCTCCACCTCCCAGGTTCAGGCCATTCTCCTGCCTCAGCCTCCCGAGTAGCTGGGACTACAGGAGCCCGCCACCACGCCCGGCTAATTTTTTGTATTTTTAGTAGAGACGGGGTTTCACCGTGTTAGCCAGGATGGTCTCGATCTCCTGACCTCGTGATCCGCCCGTCTCAGCCTCCCAAAGTGCTGGGATTACAGGCGTGAGCCACCGCGCCCGGCCAGACGGTCCCTCTTTTTAAAAAGGGTCTTACCTTCTATCCAACCATCCTTCCTACCCTTTTCTATTATGAAAATGCCCGTAGGTTTATCAGTCTGAATTCAGAGAACGGGAAGAATCTACAGCTTCATGAGGACAGAAGCCACAGTACTGATTACTCTTTTGTCACTGTGATCAGTGCCTACCACACATTTATATTTGTTGGGTGAATGAATGGAAGAAACATAACTATAAAAAAATTAACAGGGTGTCTATTTTGTGTTAGGACTAGTGGTAGTATAAATATTAGCAATAAGAACGCCCTACTGTCAGAGTTTATAATCAAGAGAAAATAGATGAACCTGCCAGGCTCAAGTCACTCTTCTGTGAATTGCACCATGAAAGCAATATATACAAAGTGCTCAGGCGATAAATATATCAGAGTGATTAATTCTGCCCTGGAAAATTACAGAGGAGATATGTGAGCAGACCCTGAAGGGTAAAAAGATTTCCTCATTTTTTCAACAAATATTTATTGATTGCCTAATGAGCTAGGCCCTGGGGAAATAACAGAAAACAAGACACCAGTCCTCTCTTTTGGAGCCCTGCATCTTAAGACAAATAAGTACACCTCAGGTCGCTTTAAGCACTATGGGGAACTCAAAGCAGGGTGATGGGCGAGAGTGGTTGCTTGGGGTGTGTGCATGGGCATGTTATCTTTAGGGGAGTCAGAGAAGGCCTCTCTAAGAAGGCAACCTGAGGGAGGAGAGGACAATGTTAAAAAAGAGCCAGTCACAGCTCAGTGTCCTGGAGGGGTTGGAGTAAGCAGGAAGCATTCCAGGCAGAGGGAAGAGAAGTATAGAGGCCGTACTGCTGTGGAGCATCTGCAGGAAATCCTGTGTGGCTGGACGACAGCACAAGGCAAAAGGGGTACGAGTGGTGGGAGGCATGAGGTTGGAAAGGAAATGGCTAGGAGATCACAGGGCTTTGTAGGCTATTCTGGAGTAAATGGCAGAAGGCAGGCCACGTTTTCTTTGTTAATTAGCTTCTAGCTAATTCTTCACGAAAAAAACACCTATGTACCATCATGACTATGAGTCCTCAGACTTTTCAAGGCAATTTTAGTTTTCGTATGTTAATAAAATACTATAGTACAACAAAAGGGCTGGGCGCAGTGGCTCACATCTGTAATTCCAGCAATTTGGGAGGCCGAGGTGAGTGGATTGTTTGAGCTTAGGAGTTCGAGACCAGCCTGGGCAACATGATGAAAACCTGTCTCCACCAAAAATACAAAAAATTAGCCAGGCATGGTGGTGTACACCTGTAGTCCCAGCTACTTGGGAGGCCGAGGTGGGAGGATCACTTGAGCCTGGGAGGCAGAGGTTGCAGTGAGCCGAGATAGTGCCACTGCACTCCAATCTGGGTAACAGAATACGACCCTATCAAAAACAAACAAACAAACAAAAAACAAAACAAAAACTATAGTAACCACAAAATGTCTTATTATTCAGGCAAATTTGATAGGAGGGCTTTGGTTCAGTGATACATATTCATAATTGAATGTTTTGCCCTTTTGAGTACACGCAAAATGCCAGGTGAAATACTGCTAGGGAAAATCTTCACCAAATCTTGAGATTTTCTTGTGATTAGTAAACATGTACATTCTATGAATGTTCTTAAATACCATTTGTTCCCTTAAAATAGTTTAAATGTTTTTCCCTTTTATGTATTTACACTTTATATTCCCTGAGAAATGCTTTCTTTAGTTACTATGCAAAAACTAATTGGTTTGGTGGTAATGTTGTAAATCCTAAATCAGTGTGATCAAATTATTAAAATCTTATTGTATGAGAAGTCTAGGCCCTGTTACATGCATCTATGATACACCAATGTGAGAGACTTTCTAAAAATGAAGTTAAACAACTGAGAGAGAGGTTGCTAGAATAAACACATTTCTCATAAAATCAGAGCTATTTCATGGGATTTCAGTTAATATTTATTATGTGGCCTTTACCAACTAACTGTGCCCAATTTTGACCACAGGGCTATTTTTAAAAATAGACTTTGCTTCTCTAAATAAAATATATATACAATTACAGGACTATAAGCTCTGTTAGTTCTTCGATGGTGAAATATATCTACTTCCAATAAGCCGAAATACATGTCCTGAAAACAAAGCTAAGTACCTCAGCATTTACAATTTAGTTAAACTTCCTTTCTAGGGAATCCAGTTCATTATAAAGAAGTTGTGGCACACAAAATCTAGTTCTATTTAAAATATATGAATCCCAGGTAGTAAGGGAGAGAAAGAAGCAAGGTCAATCAATAGAGAGGTGATAACAGTGGAATAGGCAGAAAACCTGCAGACGGTCCGTAAATAGATGGTGGCTGTAGGGAAGTCTTTTATTTATCTCGGTATCTTCATCTTTGTACATAATCCATTTAACGTTTACTGAACAATCACCACTGGAGAAGATTTGGCGGCTAAGATCATTGTAAAGTTGAGGTTAACCTGCTCAATAAGGCTTAGGGTGTCATGGGCAGGGTTTTAAGGAACATTTTATCAGACAATTAAAGTTCTAGTATATTAACTATTAAAACCCAGGTTAGAGTAGAGAAATAGGTTAATAATCCCATCTAAATTAATTTGGGGGACTGTTTAGGAATGTTTTTATTACCCCTGCTTTCAAGTAATATACTGATGCTCAAATTTAAATCTCATATGGAAAGTCCCAGCTTCTGGCTACTTTTTTTGAAATTAATTTTTAGAAATTAATGTTTTAATAAAAAAGTTTTTGAGACAGGATCTCACTCTGTTCCCCAGGCTGGAATGCAGGGTGCAATCATAGCCCACTGCAGCCTCGAACTCCTGAGCTCAGGCAATCCTCCCACCTCAGCTTCCTCTGTAGCTGGGACTAAAGGCGCGTGCCACCATGGCTGGCTGATTTTTTTAATTTTTTGTGGAGATGAGGTCTCACTATGTTGCCTGGGCTGGTCTCAAACTCCTGGGCTCATGTGGTCCTTCTACCTCAGCCTCCCAAAGTGCTGGGATTACAGGTGTGAGCCACCACACCTGGCCTTCTTCTAGTCTACTTTTAACCATGAGCATAACTGGGTGGAAAAGTTAGTGATAGAATCCTAGTATAGTTGTCCCATGGTATCAGTGGGGATTGGTTCAGGGACTCCTTGCAGATACCAAAATCTGTGATGCTCAAGTTCCTGATAGGAAATGGTACAGTATTTGCATATAACCTAAGCACATCCTCCTGTAAACTTTAAATCATCTCTAGGTTACTCAGAATAGCTATTATAATACCACACATCACCTCATTTGTGTGGATTCAATGAAATACTTGGTGGGGGGCCAATTCAAGTTTAGCTTTTTGGAACTTTGTGGAATTTTTGCACCCTGAATATTTTCAACCTGTGGTTGGTTGAATCCATGGATGCAGAGGGCTGACTGTACTAACACTGCTGAAAGACTGAACCAGTACAACACCATTTGAAGAAAAAAGAGCAATAGATTTTAAGACCAGATTTCTTTGTGCTATTTTTAGTCAGTCCTCCCTCCCTCTGACAGGACTAAAACCAGGCCGCTGTACTGAATGACTAATTCACCAAATTATTGAGACTGTTTGGGTACTTTTAGTTGGTTTTGTTCTGACTTTGCCAGGGTTGTTGTTTCTCAGATTTGCAATTTCTGCAACATTTTATATATTAAACGAATGGGTTTTCTCTTAATCATGGCTTGTCTTTTCTATTTTTGTGGCTGTATGGACTCATACTTTTACAGACTCCTAAATCTGCATCTGCTACTCCCTCCCCCACCCCAAGAACTTTCCCAGCTCTATTTAAGATATTTGGCTGACAGTCTTCAGTGAATCAGTCTTTTGGCAAATTGATCATTCAGGCTCTGCACCAAAGCTAAGCAGTGTATTTCCCATAGCGTCAATTATATCCTTAATAGAAGCAACTATAACAGTTGTTTTAACTTCCAACTAACTTCTGTCACAGGGACAGGAGTTTCCCATTTTAACCAGCATGGAGACTAAATAGCCTAATAATTCAAAATTACCATACATATTGGGATTATCAGTTTTTAGAGAATGAAAACATAATATATTTAGCTTTGAGGCAATGTGGGAAAATAATTTCTTAAAAAATAGCCTAGTCTTTCAAACGCTTCTAGAGACCAAGAGTCAACATTATGAGCACACACTGTCGAAGACAGAGGACAGCAGACTCACTTCATCCAGACTCACAGAGGCCAATTGGAAATGACCTTTTAGTAGAAATCACTCCCGCATGCATGGTTGCCATACCAACCCCATCTCTATCCTCTCCCTCCAGTAGTTGACTCAGAGACATGTCTGACTGCACATGGAGGGGCATGAAGGCAGAAGGAAGGCTGAGAACCCTTTGGACCACTTTGTCTTCTAGTTCCTCTGGGTCGAGGAAACATGGAGAGTCCAGTTTCCAACATCAAAGGCCTGTCATCGTCATCAAGGCCTCTACTGAATCTGGAAAGAATTCTAAACCAAGTGTATTAGAGAGAAAGGAATATGATTGATACTGAATATACTGAGGAGAAAGGGATATAATTTCCTTGTGTAAATACACACTTAAAGTTGGTATTCAAGAACTTAATATTCACCTTTGATGCTCTCAAGTAACATCAAAGATCCATGACACATGGTGCTGACAACCTGTTTGACTTGCTACTTAATTAGTTCTTGAATAGTCACAGGTTCAACTGTCATAAGCTGAAAGCTCATTTCCTATAGGTGCAATGCTATTTAAATTGGGGTTCTCTTCCTGGAAGTCCATCATAAGACTAGTAAAACATCATTAAAAAATAAAACAGATACACGATTTTGCAAAGTTAAGAGTGTAAAACCAAACATGAAAGAAGCTACAGCATAAACATTTATTTTGGGAATTCCTCTGCATGGCTAATACTTAAAGTATTAGCCCAGTGAAAGTCCGTACTGCGGAGGCCATATCTTCCTTGTAAATGTTCCCGAGGGAAGCAAGGTGGAAATTTCTTGCAGCAAGGATCTTTGAACTTCTTATGCATATGACACACTGAAGGGGAAAAGCAATGCCCCCACCCAAGCTATGAAAGGTTTTAACTAGGTAACCTTCAGCATTAACATCAGGCCACCTCAGCGTGTGGGTGTGCACATGTCCATACTTGCTTTCAAAAAACGCCACTGTGTACCATGTGGCTACTGGGTCCTGAGTGTCCATTTTAGCCATGGTATTAAAAAATTAATATCTTTGAGAAAAGATAAATGTGTATAAAATGAATTTACATTGGCATCTTTCAAAAGAGAACAAGAAAACTTCCACATTGTTTTCTTTTCCCTGTATTTTTCTGTAGGAAACGAGTAAATTTTTCTGTAGGAAACTAGTATTTAAAAAGAAACTACCTTTCCACCTAAATTCAAATGGGACATTATCAAGTTTGCTGTAGAAGTCAACCTCCAGATTATACACACTGTATCCTCTTTTTTTTGTTTTGAGACGGAGTCTCATTCTGTCAGCCAGGCTGGAGTGCAGTGGCGCAATCTCGGCTCACTGCAACCGTCACCTCCCAGGTTCAAGCGATTCTCCTGCCTCAGCCTCCCAAGTAGCTGGGATTACAGGTGCCTGCCACCACACCCAGCTAATTTTTGTATTTTTCGTAGAGATAGGGTTTCACCATGTTGGCTAGGCTGGTCTCAAACTCCTGACCTCAAGCGATCTGCCCTCCTTGACCTCCCAAAGTGCTGGGATTACAGGCATGAGCCACTGCGCCCAGCCTGTACACTCCTTCTTGAGAGTGCGCCTTCATGCAATAAAAATTAAGCAGTTATTTATATAGTATTAAATATATACATATATGAATTTATATTTATATAGTATGACTCTATCTATCTATATAAATAAACAAAGGTATTACGGAATGTGCCATATAGCAGTTCTTTTTTTGAGACGAAGTCTCGCTCTGTTGCCTAGGCTAGAGTGCAATGGCGTGATCTCAGCTCACTGCAACCTCCACCTCCCGGATTCAAGCGATTCTCCCCCCTCAGCCTCTGGAGTAGCTGGGACTATAGGCGTGCGCCACCACACTTGGCTAATTTTTTGTATTTTTAGTAGACATGGGATTTCACCATGTTGGCCAGGCTGGTCTTGAACTCCTGACCTCAAGTGATCTGCCTGGCTCGGCCTCCCAAAGTGCTGGGATTACAGGCATGAGCCACCACACCTGGCCATATAGCAAGTCTTTTTTTTTTTTTTTTTTTTTTTTTGAGACGGAGTCTCGCTCTGTTGCCCAGGCTGGAGTGCAGTGGCACGATCTCGGCTCACTGCAAGCTCCACCTCCTGGGTTCACACCATTCTCCTGCCTCAGCCTCCCAAGTAGCTGGGACTACAGGCACCCACCACCATGCCTGGCTAATTTTTTTGTATTTTTACTACAGACAGGGTTTCACCGTGTTAGCCAGGATGGTCTCGATCTCCTGACCTTGTGATCCGCCCACCTCGGCCTCCCAAAGTGCTGGGATTACAGGCGTGAGCCACCGCGCCCGGCCCTGGCCATATAGCAATTCTTAAAGTGGCCCCTGGCCTGAAGTTTAAGCCTCGCCTTGCCCTACCCTGAATCAGAAACTTTAGGGTTGTGGCCTAGCAATTTGTATTAACAAGCCCTTCCAGGTGATTCTGATTCATGTCTGGGTCAGAGAACACTGCCATTAAGCATCTACTTTCTGCTAGAGGGGATACTACAGCAGAGGTCAAGGTAGATCAGTAGATGATCGTGGTGTGAGATGATGCTGCAATTCAGGATGGGAAAGTTTTTTGGGGGTGGTCCAGAGGCTTCGGCCTTCTCAGGTTACCATCCTTCCTAACCCTATTTCCTCTGGCCAGTAAGGCCATCTTTGTAAATGAAATAAACACTAGGAACTAGGGTTGCTGTGGCATGTTCTGTGTTTGAGGAATGTTTCATTTCCCCACAGTTGCACCTGGACTTGATATGAAAGTAACCATCAGAAAATCAACAGAGATCTTAAACTTGCCTACCACAGACACCTGCAGGAATATACTAAGAATCATCATAGTGGACCTTTATTGTCTCCTGAGCACCCATTCTTTGTTCTTTCAGAAACACAACTGGTTTTGAGAATCCATCCCTTCTTCACTCAGTCCACGTAAAGGTTAGGATGGTAGAAAGTGTTATACCTCTTCCTCCAGAGTTGGAGCCTATGACACTGATGACACTGGCATGGAAAGCCAAAGCCCTACACCAACCAGCACACTTACTGGTTCCAAATTGATCTACGCTGGTGTAATCAGAGTGAATCTCAGAACTTTGGACAGAGCTGTGAGCAGAGACTGACTTTCCTGCTGTCTCCAGGTAGCTGCAAGGCTGAACAGCAGCACCTACTTTATTACCATCTTACTGTCATTCAAAGAAGGCAGAGCTGAATGCTGGAGAAAAACTGAGTACTAGCAACAGTTTTTGAACCCTGAATACTGTCATAACTGAAGCTAGAATTATCCCTGGACTTGTTTGCCACTAAAATTTCCTTGTTTTGCTTACCCTGGTTTCAGCTGGCACCCTGATCACTTGAAAGGAACATAACTGATATACTGTCCTTTGTTTTTCTTTCCTTCCTCTTCTCCGCCTTTGATGATTTTAAATTAGAAATCTACCTGCCTCTAATCTCTTTAATTTTCTCATTTATTTACTGCTGCCTATTTTCCAAAACACTGCTTCTCGAATATTCCTGGCTCAAAAATCATCTATGTCTTCATGACATATGAAACCCCTAGAATCCAGCCTTTCCCCAGCTTTTAATATCTCCTAATTGATTTCTCAATTCCAGTGAAATGATTCCATTTATTTTTTTCCCAAACACATCACAAATATTCCTAACTCTTGTGAGCAATTTTCTCTCATTCTTCTCAACTTATCTAAATCCTAACTTTTCAAAAGATCTAGCTCAAGTTCTGTCTTATCATATTTTGAGTTCCTTTCTTTGGCATTGTATTATTTTGTATCTTTCCATGTACACATGTGTGCATTATCTCCCTGATAAAACTAACTGGCTAGAGGATAGGAGTAAAGACTCAATTCTAATATCCTTGTTACCTAATAATACACAAACGTGAAACATGTTTGAATAAATCACTGTTAAATATTTTATGTCTTGAATGTCATTCTTTAGCAATCTCAAAATTGTAATTTGAATCTTACCTTCAAATCAAGATGAACTACATCACGAGTGTGTAAAAAGTGAACACCTTCTAAAATCTGTCGCATAAGTCTTTGAACATCTTTTTCTTTAAAGGCTTCTTCTCTGTCTGCAACACACTGGTCAAAGATTTCACCCCCAGCAGCACTAGAGAAGGGCAAAATTAAAGTAATATATAACTCATAAGAAATGGCGAACACTTACACCAAAACTACAGAGTAAATTAATTACAGTCTGGCAGTAACTGTATACCTTTTTTAAAAAATGTATTTTTATTTTGAAAAATAGAGATGGGACCTCACTATGTTGCCCAGGCTGGTCTCAAACTCCTGTGCTCAAGTGATCCTCCCACCTTGGCCTCCAAAGGTGTTGGGATTACACGTATAAGCCTTTGTACCCAGCCTGTATAACTGTTAGTATGGATTTAACAACCTGAATCAAAACACGGTATAGGCTGAGCCAACTCAGTTCCAAGTAGCTCAAGATGCACCACGATGTAATGTACAGTTTACTAAGCCCTCTGCACATACAGGCCACAATTTGCTGGTAACAGAACTGTGTTCCTCAATTGAAATAAAGAACTGCATTTTGGCTGAAACAGTTTCTTAATCACAGTTTATTGTCATCTGAGTTCCTCAGCCCATTACTATCAATTTACATAAACACAAGGATTTCTTTACCTAAATTTTAAGAGCAATTAGTCTCTTTACACTATAAAGTTACCCATTCTTGCTTTTTTTTTTTTTTTTTTTTTTGAGACGGAGTCTTGCTCTGTCACCAGGCCGGAGTGCAGTGGCGTGATCTCAGCTCACTGCAACCTCCGCCTCCTGGGTTCAATCGATTCTCCTGCCTCAGCCTCCCGAGTAGCTGGGACTACAGGCGTGGGCCACCACGCCCGGCTAATTTTTTTGTATTTTAGTAGAGACGGGGTTTCACCAGGTTGGCCAGGATGATCTCGATCTCCTTGACCTCGTGAGCCACCCACCCTGGGCTCTCAAAGTGCTGGGATTACAGGCGTGAGCCACCATGCCCGGCCCCATTCTTGCTTTAACAAATGGTTTCTTCTTGGTGTTTTCAACAATTTAAGTAGTTTACATAAGCACAAAATATACTGCTAACTACAGTTTTGTGAAAATTTTCAAGTATGTATTTCAAATATAGACTATTATAATAAAATTGAGGCTGGGCACAGTGGCTCACACCTGTAATCCCAGCACCTTGGGAGGCTGAGGCAGGCAGATCACCTGAGATCAGGAATTCCAGACCAGCGTGACCAACATGGAGAAGCCCTGTCTCTACTAAAAATACAAAATTAGCCAGGCATGGTAGCGCATGCCTGTAATCCCAGCTACTCAGGAGGCTGAGGCAGGAGAATCACTTGAACCTGGGAGGCAGAAGTTGGGATGAACCGAGATCACACCATTGCACTCCAGCCTGGGCAACAAGAACAAAACTCCATCTCAAAAAAAAAAAAAAAAAAAAAAAAGAAAATCGAAAAGCTAGATTGAGTGACCATTAAGATGACATTCATTCCTCTCAAAAAAAAAGAGACTATATTTCTCTCGGTACAACATATAATCATATAACCCTGTTTAACTGTGGATTTTACTCATTAACTAAACTAAATGCCATATTAACTAATATCACTAAATGTGATCTCACTAAAGAACAATCTGAGATGTTAAAAGCATCTCTCAAGTATAGTAACAGAAAATATAATATTAACTAATTTACACAAAGTACTTTCCTTCACATGGAAGCTAGAGAAGCCCTATAATAGCTTTGCTTTTTCTATCTTTAACTACAGCAACACTACTTTTTAACCAAAAAATTTTACTGGGAAATTAATTAAAAAACTGTTAACAAAAAAAGTTTTGTACAAAAACTACTTTTACAGAAAACATTTAGAACTTTAAAATTTCAACTTTCTAGTGGTCATTGGAAAGTTGTGAGATGATTATCTTTTGACCAACATTATTCAGAGCCATATAACTGATGTTTAGAAGCTAAGAGTAACTGAGTTTCCCTAGCTGCCTGCACCTTGGCTGTATCATAGCTTCCCGCCTCAAACCAAACACTGTTTTTTCTATCTAAAGTAGCATTTCCATTTCTGTCCTGCTCTGAGGCCCAGTTTGGATCTTTACTTTCTCATTATTCAAATTCAACAAACCATCAAATATGTTAGGCCCTATGCTCCATCCTAGAGATAGAAAGATAATTACAAATAAGTATGTCTGGTCCTTCAAGCTCTAGTGGGGAAGAGAAAAATGAAAGATATTTAAATAACAAATACATATGCATTAATATATATGTGAAATTATATATTAAATGACTTGATAACTTAGCAATTGAGCAATTAATTGGAAAGGAAGTAGAAAAAAAAAATCTTGGAAAGATGACATTTATTCTGAGCCTTGAAGGATTACTTAGAAGTCCACTAGATGAAATGGTAACAGCACATCCTAGATAGAGGGAGCACATGTGTGAGGGCACATTGTGTAAAAAATACATGGTACACTCATTAAAGGGCAAGTTTCTACTTCCCCATCCAACCAAATGGTATGGCACTTGCCCTCTGGCTATAAACAACTAGAAAATTAAAGCATATGAACCAACTATTTCAGGCATTAGAACAACAGGTATAGGACCATGAGCTGTGAGAAAAGGTAAGCTCTCCAATCTTCCTACTTGGTAACAATTTATGGACAGGGGTATAGGGTAGGGGAGGAACCCAAGCAGAAGTGGAATGCAGCAGCCATGCTAAGCTGAGAAGACAGACTGGGAGTTTGGCAAGGCTAAGACAGCTGGAATTGGCAGGTGAGTACCAGAGAGGAGGGAGCTGCACAAAGAGATCTGCTCAATAGTACTTTGAAGTCTTAGACAAAATAACTCTGGAAAATTATAAGGCTGAGAAATTCCCAGTGTTCACAAAGAACAAGGGTAAGACATTTAAATTTTGTCAAGCTAGAGTAGAAAAGCCACTCTAAACACTGGGGCAACGAACAGACTTCTTTGGGAGGGCCATCCTTTATATCAAGGCTAACCTAGTTCTAGGTCTGTCCTAACCAAACTGATCTACAAGTAATTTAAATGACTGCCAAAACATACTTCACCATTCTTTAATGGGATAAAATCTACTCAACCCTGCAACATTCCAAATGTATGTCATTTTACCAAAAATTTCTAGATATCTGAAAATGCCACAAATTACAATTCACAACCAATAGGAAAAATAATAAAAGCAGACCCAGAAATGACAGAGATGATGGAATTGGCAGATAAGGACCTTAAAACAGGCATTATAAAGATGCTCAAAGATTTAAAGTAAAATATGAA
Source organism: Homo sapiens (assembly GCF_000001405.40). Classification (NCBI taxonomy): domain Eukaryota; kingdom Metazoa; phylum Chordata; class Mammalia; order Primates; family Hominidae; genus Homo; species Homo sapiens. The sequence continues at coordinate 43,605,066 of NC_000007.14, read as the reverse complement.
CATAATCATGTAAGAGATGGAGGTTACAAAAAGAACCAAAAGGAACTTTCATAGGTGAAAAATACAGTATCTCAAATGAAAAACCCATTGGATAGTCTTTATAGCAGATCAGACACTGCAGAAGAATCAGTGAATTTTAAGATGCAGCAAAATAAGCTGTCAATGGAAGCACAGAGAGAGAGAGGGAGGGAAAAAAGACTGAACAAAACAAACAGGACCCCAGGGATCTATGGGACAGCATCAAGCCATTTAATACACTGTAATTCAAGGAATAAGAGAAGAGAGGTAGGGGTAGGAAAATATTAGAAAACATACCCATGGCTGAAAAATTTCCAAATCTGATAAAAACTATAAACAAAAAAATTTAAGTAGCTCAATGAACTCCAAGCCAGATAAATACAAATAAAACCAAGGCACTATACTCAAATTGCTAAAAACCAGTGAGAAAGAGGAAAATCTTTAAAAAGGCACATTTATAGGTGAACCAAGGTAAGAATGATCACAGACTTCTTGTCGTAAATAATGCAGGGAAGATGACAATGGAATGACAAAAAAAGCAGTGTGCCAAGAATGTAGGGTGAGGTAGAAAAGGACTAGAAGGAGATGAGGTAGAATAGAAGTCAGGGAGAAGAGCACAGGATGAGGGGAAAACAACTCAAAAAATTCAGAGTAAGGCAATGATGGGCTAATATATACTGTGAAATGCCTCCTCCTCCAGGAAGCACTCCCTAACCTCCCAGGCAGAGTAAAGGAGCACAGTATATGGATAAAAGCAGAAGCTTTGGAATCTCACACTCCTGGACTAAATTCTGGCTCTGCTATTTGTAATACAGCACAACCTAAGGTTGATTTTTTTTTCTTATATATAAAATTGTGTTCTAAAATTTATAAACAGTGTAAATAAAGCATATAAGTAATATATATAAAGCTGGAAGACTTAGCATAGTGCCTGGCACATAGTGAATGCTTAATACATTTTGACTATTATACTCTAGTTCACACAACAACTAGTAAGAACTCCTAGTAAATCATCAACATTGCTGCAATCATTTATAGGCCAAATATCCCTTCTCTTAAATGTTTGGGACCAGAAGCATTTGGGATTTCATATTTTGAAATATTAGCATATACATAATGAGCTATATTGGGGGAGGGGACCCAAATCTAAACACAAAATACATTTATATTTCATATGCAACTTACATACATAGCCTGAAGATAATTTTATACAATGTTTTAAATAATTTTGTGCATGAAACAAAGTTTGTGTACACTGAACCATCAGAAAGTGAAGGTGTCACTCTCCGCCACCACGTGGAATCACAGCAAGTTTACACTTACACATACCTGCTGCATTAGCACAGCCCCCAGCATAGTTATTCTATCCTTAGCATCCTTAATTCCTATAAAGGTGATCTTATCAGCTGTGGTCAGCATCTTTCTGGGATAATATATAAGGTCAGATGTGGAATTTTCTACTGTGGCATCAGGTTAGCGCTCAAAGTTTCAAACTTTGGGACATTTCATTTCCAGGTTAAGAATGTTCAACCTCCATATCTATTTCCTTTGCTAGACTTTTAGCACCTGGAGATAAGGGGCTATGTTTTTTCACTTTTTATATGATCAGTACCTATTAGTATCTAGTGCACATAGCAGGTGCTTCAGGAATGATTAATTGATGCAGTGATCATAACTTGCCTGTTTCCATAACAACAATCTATTGATGCGGCTGAGAATTTTGGTATCTCAGTATCCAGAGTATATCTCTAAGACTTCCTCTTCAAACTAAAAGTAGAACATAAAAATTTTTGGCCAATTCATACTGATTTTGGTCTAAAAAAAACCTGATCATCAAAGAAACAGAAGCCACCAAACGTTTCTAAGCAAGAGAATAATATCACCAAATCTGTATTTTTATTATTTATCTAACAGTAGCAGGAGGGATTTCCCAGGATTGAAACCAGGGTGACCAGCTGAGAAGCTACTGGAGAGGTTTAAGCGGAAGACTTGGTAATTCATTATACTGTATAGGAGTGTTAAAGAGGAAAAAGGAATTAAGGATAACTTCGAGGTTTCTAGCTTGAGCAATGAAACAGATGGGGATACTAAACAAAAGAAAAACAGGCCTTAATAGGGCAATGCAGGAGTACTGATATTGACTGCTATTGACTGCACTGATACTGATATATTGACCAATAATGATCTGCAGTTGGACACAGGAATACGCAACAGGCAGCTGGAGCTTAAGAAAGGGGCAGAGGTTGGAAACAAAAATTTGGAAATAATCTGCATGTAAATGATAGCTGAAGCCACAAAAATAGATTGTTATCCAGGGTAAATGTATAAAACATAAATGTATGACATAAGTAACGCTGATGGAACTGGGGGGAACACTTACATTTATATAGTAGAAAAGGATAAACGGCTCTGAGAGGAGGAGGAGATTTTAAAAAAATAGGGCTGTGAAAGCCAAGGAAGAACATGATTTCAAGAAAGAAGGGATAATATCAAGTGTTCAAAGAGAGCAAGAACTGGCATGAATACTAAAATGAGGAGACTAATTTTGGCACACAGGACTGGTGACCTCATCAAAGTATTAGAAGAGCAGATGGCATTAGATTAAAAAGTGAATGGGGTATTGGCCCATGAACAGATGAGTGAATCAATGAAGTAGAACAAAACTGGAAGGTGAGGAATGCTATAAATCCAGACTATTCTTTTAACAAGTATAGCAGTAAGGAAAAGAGAAAGGCAAGACATAAGAGTCAAAGCTGAGGAAGGAATTTTAGCATAGAAGAGACTGAAATATTAGAAAACAAAGGGAAAAGAACCACCACGGGAGGAGGGACTGAAACTCTAGAAGAGGTTACATAACTTAGGAAAAAACAAAACACAGGTCCTAGAAAAGAAAGGATGAGAATTAAAGAACTTAAATAAGGGTTTCAGTCTTGGAAATAATTAGCTGAATCTCTTCCATTGAACAGCAGGGAAGGGCATGAGAGCAACAAAGACAGATATTAGAGGAAGAGAGGAGGGATGCTTGGGGAGTGTGTGTCTGATGGCCTTGATTTCTCCATATGGGGGAGAAAAGGCTAGGTATCTCATGAATGGTAGGAAGTAGGTGACACAGTAAAGATATTGATTAGCTCAGGGGGTGGGGGTGTTAAAAGGACATAAGAGATTAGGTACAGACTTGCCAAGCTATACCATGAGCCTAGCTGAAGATGGAACTCTTACACTTGTACTAAGTAGATGAAAAACGATCCAAGTCCTTCCAAGAATGTGTGGCAGCACAGGAGGAGGGACACACAGCATGCATTCTGGGTTTCAAATGGGCAAATGAGTTGCAGAGGATGACCAAGAGGAAGAGGGAAATAATGTGAGGTGCTGGTAAGAGAGGAATTGAATTAACTACTAAAGAGGAGAAGGAAAGAAAAGGGAAGAAAAAAGTCAGAAGCCGGGTGAAGACTGGAAGAACTGAAATGGGTCCCAGGATGAAAGGCTGAAGAGCAGGTTTTGCAAGAATGAGGAGATTTTGGAGACAGAAATTTCAGGTGGTCTTTTCTGGATCAATTTCCAATTCTACCTTAATCCTATCTGTAATAAACAGAAAAAAACAAATCCTTGGTAAGCAGCGGGCTCCCATATGAGATTCCTAAACTTATTTTTTAAAAAAACTTTTAACCGTTCTGCCATTTTTGGATATTCCTACTATCATAAATTAGAAATGCACTGTGACAAATACTTTTGTGCTTCTCATGTTCGTATTATTTCTTTAGAAGGGATTCCTACAAGTGAAATTATTGAATTAAAATATAAGAACACCATGTTTTTGAATTACATTCTCAAGAGTAACATGCTTAATATTTTAGCCATCCAGACTTCACCCGCTATAAACTTTTAAATAAAAACAACATAATGCCATACACATTATTTTGTAACATGCTTTTTTAAACTTAATATTTTAAATCTTTGACAATATATTTATAGTTACCTTAGCTTTTTAATGACTGCCCAGTAATCCACTTTGTGACATCACTTATTTAACCAACCTTTTTTCTAACAAACATTTAGATTATTTCTACCTTTTTGCTACATGGAGAATGCCATAAGGAACATTTTGGTAACATATCTTTGCAAAACTGCCTAATATTTCCTTGTGAAAAAAATTAATAAAAGTAAAATTAGGCCATGCATGGTGGCTCATGCTTATAAGCCCAGCATTTTGGGAGGCTGAGGCAGGAGGATTGCTTGAGGCCAGGAGTTTGAGACAAGCCTGGTCAACATAGTGAGACCCCATTATGTACCATCAAAAAATTTTTTCTAAAAGTAAAAGTGCTGGGTTAAAATGTATTTTTTTAAGGCTTTTGATACATACTTCAGACTGTCCTCCAGAAAAGTTATACTAAAATGGCTCAATCAATGAATATCGCTTTTGTTTATAATCACTGCCAGTTTGATAGGTGGAAATTCACAACTTATTTTAAAATTTACATTATAAAAATAAAAATATTTTCATCTGTATATAGGCAATTTACATTCATGTATGTCTGTGAAAATTTCTCTTCATATCACTTGTTCATTTTTTTTAAACCAGAGCTGATCATAATACTGAAAGACACAATCACAGATGCCATGATCCAGAATGTAAAAATCCCAAAAGATCAAAATCCCAAAAGATAAAAAATCCTTAAAGTCTAAAATCCCCAAATCACAATCTTGAACAATTAAAATCTCGACTGTTGAAATCCTGAAAACTGAATTCTAGGGAGGGGATTTCCACTGTGTTTTCAGTTGTATGCAGGCTAGGTGCATCATGGTAGGTGCATCTGTTACTGTCTTTATTTGGAAATTAAGTACAGTTTAAAGGAGATGCATTATGGGTGCCAAACTGACAAGGGGTGGATTTATGGTCTTAATTTCAGTTGTTGGCTTGACTGGATTAAAGAATACCTAGAAATTTGGGAAAGTATTATTTTGGGCGTGTCCGTGAGGGTGTTTCCAGAGATTAGTGTGGGAGTCCGAGTGGACTAGGTAGGAAAGAGATGCCTTCAGTGTTGGCAGGCACCATGTAATTGGAGAGAAGAAATATAGAAGGCAAGCTGGTCTCTCTCTCAGAGCTGGGACCAATTTTTCTCTTGCTGCTGTGGACATCAGAACTCCAGCCTTTAAATGCCAGGACTTACACCTGACCACCCCTGCTCCCTACACTCCCACTCCCTGGGGTTCTGAGGCTTTTGGCCTGGATTTAAAGTTAATGATTGGTTTCCCTGGTTCTGAGGCCTTTGCACTTGGACTGAGCCATGTTACCAGCATCCCAGGGTGTCCAGCTTGCAGGCCTATTGTGGAACTTCTCAGTCACCATAAGCACATAAGCCAGTTTCCTAATAAGTCCTTTCTCATATTTATACACATATCCTATTGGTTCTGTCTCTCTGGAGAAGCCTGACTAATAAAGATTTGGTACTGGGGAGGCCCAATATGATTCCTTCTCACTGTATTCCTTACAATACAATGGAAGAGACCTATGAAATTGTTCCTTCAAAAAAGGATGTGATTAAGTTAAGCATACAAGGCTACCTAATGGTTTAAAAGCTAATTATTATTGGTGCTTTGAAAGCAGAAAATAATTGAATTGCAATGGCTGAGCAATAACCAGGCTTTCAGGTGGACAACATATACTTACAAAATTTGTAGATCACAACCACTGTCCAAATACAAGTGCAGCAGGTGTTTCAAAGGTTATAGAAGTGAAAATGCAGGTGAAAAATCTAAGAACTCTTTCCTGCCAAATTATTCAATCATGTACAACTTCTGCCCCTTCACATATTGCACCAATTCACTATGCTATGCATTTCATCTTCGCATTATTTTCAATACTGGAAGTATGAATTGGGTGAAAATTTGAGGAGAGTTCTAATTCATTTTATGAATATTTTGCAAATTTGACTCCATCAAAATATATTATCACAATGTTGATTTTGTGTATGTAAAAACATTGAGGCCAGGCCTGGTGGCTGATGCCTGTAATCCCAGCACTTTGGGAGGCCAAGGCAGGTGGATCACCTGAGGTCAAGAGTTCGAAACCAGCCTGGCCAACATGGTGACACCCTGTCTCTACTAAAATTACAAAAAAATTAGCCAGGCGTGGTGGTGTGCACCTGTAATCCCAGCTACTGAGGAGGCTGACACAGGAGAATTGCTTGAACTGGGAGGCAGAGGTTGCGGTGAGCCGAGATCATGCCACTGCACTCCAGCCTGGGTCACAGAGGAAGACTCCGTCTCAAAAAAAAAAAACCAAAAACCAAAAAAGAACAACAAAAACATTTAAACTTTCTTAATAAATGAAGAGATGTCCTTTTTGTACATCTGCATTTGTGAAAAAAAATTTCTTGAGCTCTTGGCTCTTTGGGCAACTGCATATATGGTGATGACTCACTGAGGTTTTCGATCAATTTTGTCAAAAGACTTAGGTTGTTTGTCGTAGTATTTCAGAGGACCACAGTTATCAATGGAGGTGTACAGAATTATCAACTATGGGGATATACATTTATATATTTCACTTTTTGACCTATTTCCTTTTTTTTTTTTTTTTTTGAGACGGAGTCTTGCTGTGTCACCCAGGCTGGAGTGCAGTGGCACGATCTGTGCTCACTGCAAGCTCCACCTCCCAGGTTCACGCCATTCTCCTGCGTCAGCCTCCTGAGTAGCTGGGACTATAGGCGCCTGCTACCATGTCCAGCTAATTTTTTGTATATTTAGTAGAGACGAGGTTTCACTGTATTAGCCAGGATAGTCTCGATCTCCTGACCTCGTGATCCACCTGCCTCGGCCTCCCATAGTGCTGGGATTACAGGTGTGAGCCACCGTGCCTGGCCGACCATTTCTTTTATAAATATGGTTTATCTGCTCATAACCGTTACATTTGTGTGACTGTCGGTATATCTGAGTGTTATGTTTGTAAAAACATGTATGTTATTACTCTCTGTTTTAGCATGTAAATAAAGTGGCCTATGAAATGTCATGTATTAAAATTTTATTTTTAATTGACATAATAATTGGACAATTTATGGTATATAGTTATTTTTATGTTTCCTAAATAAATCCCCTTTTAAAATGTAAATAAATTTTTTTTGTTTTTTGAGACAGAGTCTCACTCTGTCACCCAGGCTGGAGTGCAGTGGCACTATCTCGGCTCACTGTAGCCTTGACCTCAGGTGATCCTACCACTTCAGCCTCCCAAGTAGCTGGGATTACAGGCATGCACCACCACTCCCAGCTAATTTTTGTATTTTTTGTAGAGACAGGGTTTCGCTATGTTGCCCAGGGTGGTCTCCAACTCCTGGGCTCAAGAAATCTTCCCACTTTGGCTGCCCAAAGTGCTGGGATTTGGCTGGGCTCACGCCTGTAAACCAGCACTTTGGGAGGCCGAGGTGGATGGATCACCTGAGGTCAGGAGTTTGAGCAGCCTCACCAACACGGTGAAACCCCATCTCTAAAAAAAATACAAAAAATTAGCCAGGCATAAAGGTGGACGGATGCCTGTAATCCTAGCTACTTGGGGGGCTGAGGCAGGAGAATCGCTTGAACCCATGAGCTGCAGTAAGCCGAGATTGTGCCAATGCACTCCAGTCTGGGCAACAAGAGTGAAAATCCATCTCAAAAAAAAAAAATAATAACAACAAAGTGCTGAACTACAGGCATGAGCCACCGCACCAAATAAATGTCTTTTACAGAATTTTTTAGGATTTTTTTTCCATAATTATATTTTCAAGATTTTGATCTTTTGGGATTGTGATTTTTGAGATTTTAGACCTTAGGGTTTTTGATTTTTTGGAATTTCAACATTTAAGATTGCATCTTTTGGGATTACGGTCCAAACCCTTTGTAAACTGGGAGGTTCATGTGTTTGTGTGTATTTGCAAGATCTGGTTATATATTCAAGCAACTTTAACCGCTTTGGCTAGATGAATATTAGAGGTATTTTTCCGAGTTTGTCTTTTCATTTTGTTTGGATTTATTGATGTATTAAGTCTTTTTTGTTTTTTTAAATTAATTATTTTTTAAAAGAGACAGGGTCTTTGTTATGTTGCTTAGGCTGATCTCAAACTCCTGGACTCAAGTAATCCTTCCTGCCTTGGCCTCCCAAAGTGCTGGGATTACAGGCATGAGTATTAAGGTTTTTTTTTTTTTTTTTTTGAGATGGAGTCTCACTTTGTCGCCCAGGTTAGAGTGCAGTGGCGCAATCTCAGCTCACTGCAACCTCCACCTCCTTGGTTCCAGCAATTCCCCTGCCTCAGGCTCCTGAGTAGCTGGGATTACAGGCACATGCCACCACGCCAGGCTAATTTTTTGTATTTGTAGTAGAGACTGGGTTTCACCATGTTGGCCAGACTGGTCTTGAACTCTTGACCTCAGGTGATCCTCCTGCCTCGGCCTCTCAAAGTGCCGGGATTACAGGCATGAGTCACCACGCCTGGTATGAAACCAGGATTTCTTAAGGAGAAAGAACAGTCCTTCATTTTTCAAAGCTGTTTTCTGTGCTGTTATCTACCTACTTAAATTGAAAACATAGTAAGAATCAAGACCACTGTTTCTAAAAGAAAGGAGATTAACTCAGACTATAAGAACATGTAAGGATTATAAAATGCCTTTTATTTTAATATTAGTTTGGTATTACTTTGTTAAGAATGCCTCTAATAAAATTGTAAGATAACCTTTTATCCAATTATGACAAGAATTTCATTAAAGAATGAAAATAAAAAAGCTAATATACATGCATCCTTGCAAATTTGGAACATGTTATATTAATAAGAGGAACACCTGAAGATGATCTAGAAAATTCTGAGATTTCCAGAGAACCAGGCCTGGCAACATTATCACAGATGAGTGGCATTCCGTAAAGGAAGTGTAGACTACCAAACAAACTTAATCTAAGAAAGACAATACTTACTATTCCAGAACTAAGATCATTTCTGATGCAGTCTCATAAACTTCATGTAAATTAATGACCCAAGGATTGTCTTGTGCTAGTTCAAGTACAGCAATCTCATGAATTATTTCCATCCGACAATCTTGGCCTTTTCTTCTTTTTCTCATGAACTTTGCAGCAAATTCTTTCCCAGAATCTTTCTTTATACATTTTCTCACCACTGCAAATTTCCCCCTAGAATTAAACAAAAACATTCACTGTTAAAGTTGACAACTTTCCAGAGATGGCAGATTTCAATGAAATTTCCAAATACCCATTGGTAGATATTCAAATTTAGCTTATATACAATCACAAAAGTAGAAACATCACTTAGAAATTTATATAGGCTACATCTATAGATTTATAGATTTATCAAATAAAACAAAATGTATAAACCTGCACAATTCATTTTCTAAAGAATAACAAATATTAAAGTCCATTTTTTTGCAGAGTTACACATAACTTAATTTTTTGCACATTTATACATAAAATGATTTAGGTCTCTAAAAAAGCCAGTTGAAGCCAGGCATGGTGCACCTTTGTAATCTCAGCATTTTGGGAGGCTGAGGCAGGTGGCTCACTTGAGGTCAGGAGTTCTGGACCAACCTGGCCAAAATGGCGAAACCCTGTCTCTACTAAAAATACAAAAATTAGCCAGGTGTAGTAGTGCTATGCCTGTAATCCCAGCTACTCAGGAGGCTGAGGCATGGGAATCGCTTGAACCTGGGAGGTGGAGGTTGCAGCGAGCTGAGATCATGCCACTGCACTCCAGACTGGATGACAGAGTGAGACTCTGTCTCCAGGGGGGAAAAAAAAAAAAAAAAAAAAGCCATTTGATTTTTTAATAGAAATTGGTCACCAGAATCCCTAATATGATGAATTTCACTGCACTAATTGACTCTAAAGAGCACTATCACTTTCTAAAGGTAAGGATCTCACTCATTTATCATTTTAACTAGAGCGTCAGCTAGAAATGTATTTTCTCATAAAGACAGATACAACAAAGTGTTATATTGATACATTACTATTTGTCATTACACTAATAAGTGGGTAAACCAGGGACTCAGTATAGCATACTGATTAAAAGTATGAGCTCTGGAATTAAACCTATGTGGGCTTGAACCCTATAAGTGGCACTTGACAGTAACCTTAGGTGGTTTATTTAACCTCTTTTAGTTTCATTTTTCTTTTCTTTTCTTTCTTTCTTTTTTTTTTTTTTTAAGAGACTGGGTCTCTCTATGTTGCTCAGGCTAGTATTGAACTCCTGGCCTCAAGTGATCCTGCTAGGATTAAAGGCATGAGCCTCCATGCCCTAAGTCTCATTTTTCTAATCTGTATAATAGGGACACAAATGGCATCTACTTCACAGGGTTCTAAGAATTAAAGAATAATATATTTCAATTGCTTAGCATGGTACTTGCCACACAGTAAGTGCTCAATAAATATTACTAATCACACAAACATCATTAAGCTGTGATAGTCATCACCCGTAAACATCCACTGAATCCTTAGGTTGAAAGACAACTTAGAAATCATACAGTATTTTACCTAACACCAAATGCCAATGTCTTATTTCAAACTGTGAGGTAATCTTTTCCACTACTGGGTACATATTATCTTAATAAGGTCTTCATTACAAGCCTAAACCTGACTTCAGTTGAAGGGTTACAGTCAGGGTCCTCTGCTGAGCAGTACAGACCAGACCTCACTCTCTTTTCCACATGGCAGTCTATCAGATACTGAACACAGCAAACACCATCTGTTAGCTGCCACTCCCTCTTCCCTTTCCCAATTTGCAATCAATCCCCATCCCCATGGGTTTTTTTTTTTTCCTTTAAGAGACAGGGTCTCACTCTGTTGCCCAGGCTGGAGTGCAGTGGCACCATCATAGCTCAATGCAGCCTTGGACTTCCGGGCTCAAGTGATCCTCCCACCTCAGCCTCCTGTATAGCTGGGATTACAGGCACATGCCACCATGCCCACCTCCCCATAAGGTTGACTCCCTATTATGGCTCAGCAGAAAATGTGCCAACCAAATCTGAAGCAACTAATCCAGGTATAATCGATCAAAGCATTACATCATTATTATTTTTGTTGCTCCTGGAACAATACAACCTAAGATTGATTGTTAAAAAACTTGACATGTTTTCATATTTCAAATTGGGCTGATAAACTACCTAGATTTTTTTCCACCTTGAATTTTTATCAAGTCAGTATCCTCATACTATATTTTAAAAATGATTGCTAAAAAATTTGGAATAATCAACAGCATAAACAGACAACCTACAGAATGGGAAAAAATATTTGCAAACTATGCCTCCAACAAAGGGATGATATCCAGAATCTACAAGGAACTCAAAAAACGAGAAAAAAAAACAACCTCATTGTTTTTTTTTTTTATATGAACAGACATTTTTTCAAAAGAGCAGCAAACAAACACATTAAAAAATGTTCAACATCACTAATCATCAGAGAAATGCAAATTAAAATCACAATGAGGTACTGCTTTACAGCAGTTGGAATGGCTATTAGTAAAAAGTTAAAAAACAACAAATGTTGGCGAACATACAAAGAAAAGGGAACGCTTATACACTGCTGGTGGAAATGTAAATTAGTTCAGCCACTATGGAAAGTAGTTTAGAGATTTCTCAAAGAACTACCATTTGACTTGGCTATCCCATTACAGGGTATCTGCCCAAAGGAAAAGAAATTATTGTATGAAAAAGACACCTGCACTCATATGTTAATCACAGCCCTATTCATAATAGCAAAGATACCAACCTAAGTGTCCATCAGTGGATGACTGGACTAAAAATATGGTGTGTATATGTATCATGGACTACTACACAGCCATAAAAATGATGTCTTGTGCAGTAACATGGATGGAACTGGATGTCATTATCCTAAGTGAGATGACTCAAGCAGGAAGTAAAAAACTGCCTGTTTTCACTTTTAAGTGGGAACTAAATGGATACACAGGCATAGAGTGGAAAAACAGACCAAACAGTAAGAGAGTGGGAAGGGGGTGAGGAATTAAATACTACCTATTGGGTACAATGTACGCTATTTAGGTGATGAGCACACTAAAAGCCCAGACTTCACCATGACCCAATATATCCATGTGACACAAATGCACTTGTACCCCTGAATCTATTTTTTTAAAAAGCTTTCTAAAAAATTAAGTGCAAGGCTTTAATTGCCCTGTTAAATTCTTTTTTGTTGTTGTTTTTGAGACACAGTCTCGTTCTGTCACCCAGGCTGGAGTGCAGTGGCACGATCTCGGCTCACTGCAACCTCCGCTTCTCGGGTTCAAGCAATTCTCATGCCTCAGCCTCCTGAATAGCTGGAATTACAAGCACATACCATCATGCCCAGCTAATTTTTTGATTTTTTTTTTTTTTTTTTTTTAGTACAGATGGGGTTTCGTCATGTTTGCCAGGCTGGTCTCGAACTCCTGGCCTCAAGTGATCCACCCACCTCGGCCTCCCAAAATGCTGGGATTGTAGGCATGAGCCACCATGCCTGGCCTGCCCTGTTAAATTCTAACTTCTAGGCTTTGATCTAGCATTCTAGACTACTGACATAATTTTGAGTAATTCTTCCTTCCCAGCTATTGTTAACTGCAAATATAATTTTCATGTCCTCCATGTTTTTATCATTAGTAATATAAATGTGGAATGACAAATCCTTAAGCATAGCCCTATGGCTGTTCAATTTGGTAACAACCTACCTAGCAGCACCCTTATTCAGATAAAAGTTCTTTTGTTCACAGAAATATGAAAGACTTCTACAGATATGGGAGAGAGTAACTATAAATGAATTCCTCAAAGAGTAATTAATACCTTTCATTTTATCCCACAAAATCATTAGGCTAACATCTCCATCAAGTTTTAAAAGGTTCCCAATGATCTCTGAATTCTTTTAAGACAGAAAACAATTGTTATTAATTTGATATTTTCATACCTACATGTCTGAAGTTTCAAGAGAAGAGAAAGTTTAATTTGTAAAAAATTCGTCTGAAATGAAGTCTCAACATATAATTGGCAGCAAACATGTTCCTGGTAAATTAGAAATGACTCAGTAGAACGGCCCTCAAACACATATCACACACACAAATGTTTACTGTTGCCACACCTGACATTCAAAGCAATAAAGTACTGTGCAGTAAGTAAAAAACTACTTATTACATAGCCTGAAAGTCTATTTTTAAAGACCAAATGGAAAGACAGCTAATTCAGCAAACAGAATTGGAACTCAAAATTATGTCAGTAGTCTAGAATGAAAGATCAAAACCTAGAAGTTAGAATTTAACAGGGCAAATTAAACACGGACTCACACACATTGCTAACCTGTGAACTGTGGGAGCCCTGTTACAGAACAGCCATTGCTAAATTCTGGGGCCTCTTCCCCATACTTATTCATCTGTTGCTCATGCTCCTCACCCATTCCTTTAGGTGCTAGAATGCAGTTCCCACGGCTCTCCTTTCATATCAATGACTACACTGACACCACCTTTGTTTTTCTGGAAACATTCCTCACAGTTCTAGATTTATTCTTTTCTTTCCAACATATCCTGTACTATACTAGGGTCAGCAAGTTTTTCTGTGAAGGGCAAGCAAGATGGTAAATATTTTTGGCTTTGTGGACCAGAGGGTCTCTGCAGCAATGACTCAAGTCCACTGTTGCAGAACAAAAGCAGCCATACAAGAAAGGTAAATGAATGGGTATGTTTGGCTTCCAATGAACCTTTTACACTGAAATTTAATTTCATAAGCTTTTCATGTTATTAAATATTACTCTTATTCTAATTTTTTTAACTATTAAAAAATGTAAAACATAAAAAATGTAAAAACAGCTTGCAAGGCTTTCAAAAATAGGTGGCTGGCTGTAGTTTGCTGACCCCTGCTCTATCCTATGCTGAATAAAACTCTTCCATCATTCTAATACCACATACCACTGAAACTGACATTATGACAGCAGGTCGCAATGATTTGAGGAAGCATGCATGCCTTCATCTCTAAATGACTGGTGCAATGGGAGGGGGACCCTTCAAACCACTCAAGGAGGAGTCAGAGAAGATAATAACGGATTTCTTGGAGCTGTTCTACACAGCCACATTGTATAAAGAAAACAGGAGATTCAGCATTCAAGCTGCAAAGTCCCAGTGTATATGCTCAGAATTACATTGACAGAGTTCCCTAAATTCCATACCTCAAAAGGGCTCCAACATGCATATTTTACCATGACTTTATGGTAAAAATTGTGACTGTACCTCAACCTTTAACTTTAGGTTATTGAGTCCTCTACAAAACATTTTAAAAATGATGTTTCCCTGACATTATGGGCCATGGTTATATACAGCTCTCTTGGGGCTGATGAGGTCCAAAGGGCATAAGATGTTTGTTGCACATCTACTTTTTTTGTTGACTCAAAAGCCAAACTTCTTCCTGGAATAAACAGTTGCCATAATTTTCAGGTATATTTTTTCATTTCAAAAACATCTATATTTTGCTAATAGGTACAAAACTGAGAACTTAGGTTTTCATTAAATATTTTGGGATGAATATCAGAAATGAATACATTTCAGAACTACTCACTGAAAACATATTCCAGAGAGGTGGGAAAGGTAAGATACATAAACAATTATAACAAGAGGAGGTGACATTTGATTGAGACCCACCAGTCCGAGCTCCCTAAGTCCTTTGCATTATCAGTGCCTAAAAACACTGCTTAGGGAGACAGGGTGAGTATCTTTAGGTAGGTATGTTTGCTAAGGAGTTTGGGCTTCATCAGGCTTAAAACTGGAACCTATTAGAATACTGAAAATAATTGTTTAGAAAAGATAATTCTGGTTGGGCACGGTGGCTCATGCCTGTAATACCAGCACTTTCGGAGGCTGAGGTAGGCGGATTGCTTGAGCCCAGGAGTTCGAGACCAGCCTGGGCAACGTGGCGAAATCTTGTCACTACAAAAAATACAAAAATTAGACAGGCGTGGTTGTGTGCACCTGTGGTCCTGGCACTTGAGATGCTGGGATGGGAGGATCAGTTGAGCCTGGGACATCTAGGCTGCCGAGATCATGCCACTGTACTCTAGCCTGGGCAACAGAATGAGACCCTGTCTCAAATAAAATAAAATAAAATAAAATAAAATAAAATTAAAATTAAAATTAAATAAAATTAAAATAAAATTATAAAATAAAATAAAACAAAACAGGTAATTCTAATAGTGTTGTGAAGAGTGGATTGCCAGTGATAACTAGAAACAGAGAGGCCAATAAAATAATTCAAAGCAGTAGGTCTGCACTCAAGTACCAGCGTAGGGACTGGGAAGAGAGAATATGTTTAAAAGACACTCAAAGTCAAGATTTATTAGCACTCCCTGGCAGGTGTGAGTTGTACGCAGAGATGAGAGGAGAAAGGAAAGGTGAAAGTCATGGATGACTTTTAGATTTTTAATATAGGTACTGTGTAAATGTGGTACCAGTTATAGTACTGTGTAATGTGGTAGGAGTTATAGTTGGACAGAAGGTTGAGCTGCCTTTTTTGGTAAAGAGAATCCCATTTATTGAAGGGATTCCAAATACAAATTCAAGTGTTGGATTATAAGCAAAGGTGAAGAGATAATAGAATATATAACATTCAGGTAAACATCAGAAAATGCACATGCTAATTTGAGCAGTACAAAGGGGAAGTAAAATAATGTCCAAGGTCCTGTTTTATTCTAGGTTAAAGTGCTTTGTTTATACCTTTATTATATTTATGTCAATCTTATATATTACAACTTGTTGTACTATGTCTCCCAGCTGGACTGTGAGTTTCAGGGACCTCACTTATTCTTCATCTTTTTATCTCCATAGTGCCCTGCACATGGCAGGTGTGCAAATATAATCAGCACACCTAGTATATATACTGCTTATTATTTTGTTAAATAAAAGTTTTATGGCAACTTAACCTCATGACATTTAATATACTGGACTACTTGCCATTCTCTCTTCACTGAATTTTTCTACTGCTCTGACTTGCTGTTTTATTGACAATGGCAACTACTACTGAAATTCCATCCATTCTTTACAGCCCAACTGAAATGTTATTTCCCCCATAAGACCTTCCAGTGGCATATCATCTTGCCTATAAAGGGGACAGTGATTGATCTGTTACATTTGGGAATAGCTTCCAGAGCCTAAGGTAGTGCTTTTATGTACTTGATACATAAGTACAGTATTTGCCTAATTACACTGGAGTGATGTCTTTTTTCTTTTTTTGAGACACAGTCCCACTCTGTCACCTAGGCTGGAGTACAGTGGCACTATCTCTGCTCACCACAACCTCCACCTCTCAAGTTCAAGGAATTCTCCCGCCTCAGCCTCCCAAGTAGCTGGGACTACAGGTGTGTGCCCAGCTAATTTTGTAATTTTAGTAGAGATGAGGTTTCACCATGTTGGCCAGGCTGCTCTCAAGCTTCTGACCTCAAGTGATCCGCCCACCTTGGCCTCCTAAAGTGCTGGGATTACAGGTGTGAGCCATGTCTTAAACGTAAAGAAGTTCCATTCAGGAAAAACCTAGAATGGATTTTGTCTTCCTTATCGCTGAAAGGACCAAGGAAAAGACCCTAGGCGTAAAAATCAGTGAGTCCATTCAAATAAGACATTAGCATGCGTGATAAGAAAAGGCAGGGCCTTACAAGTCAAACTTGGTTTTAAATTCTGGCTAACAAGTGTGTAATACTGGGCAATTTATTAATCCTTTGGAACCTGGGATTCCTCATCTGTAAAATGAGATCAATGGCACTTTACCATACAGGGCAGTGAAGACTATACAAAATTACATCTTTAAAGTGTGTAGCATTCAGCAAATGATCAATAATCAGTGGCTATTTTTATTGTTTTTGGCATTAATTTCAGATCTATGATATAACCAATGATAATAATTTAAAAAAAATATCAGAACAGGAGTTCTGGAGGTGAGCTATTAAGTCTACATAATGTGTAAATTCTCTCAAGAAATCTAGTTAACTTCTTACTTACCTGAAGAGGTGACTATAGCTACTTAGCTTTCTAATGCATTTGGTTCAATAATCATATTTTATAAAATTGTGTCATCTATGGTTTTATGAAAAGATTAAAATTCAAATTCTTACATTCATGTATTTTAAATTAAGATTTTAACATTTGAAGCATGAACTTTTCAAAATTAAACAGCTGACTGACTTAAAGTACCTGCCTAAGAGCAGAAGCCATACTTTCCAAGTAACTTTATTGTTGAACCACAAATATGGCCAATTTTCTTTTATCTATCCAAAGTATCAGATTACCCAAAACTGTTTGTAAATAAAATTCTTCAAACTAATGACTAGCTGTCAAGAAATCTTAAATAACATCTGTGTTAAAACAAAGCAATTTCTGCATGGATATTACTTAATAAAGGTCTTTATTTGTTAAAAAATGATAACTTATGACACACGCTTAAGTTCTTGTCAGATACAAAAACTGAAGCTATTACCTACAGCCATCAATCTAGGTAAGGACACACAGTCCCCAAAATACCCACCCAGAGTCCCCTTTCAGTTTGAATATTCTCTTATTCTCTGATAAAAATCCTCTCTTGTCCCTATTACCCCTGACTGCTCTGAGGAGAATGAGATAGGACATCCCTAATTTACTTTAAGGCCCCAGTGGGAACTTAACTATATGACACTGAAGCTTGGTCATGTTTGTTCCAATGTAGAACTCATTAACAGATCCTTTCCCCTGTCTCTACTAAAAATACAAAAAATTAGCCAGGCATGGTGGCAGGCGCCTATAGTCCCAGCTACTCGGGAGGCTGAGGCAGGAGAATGGCGTGAACCCAGGAGGCGGGTCTTGCGGTGAGCTGAGATCGCGCCACTGCACTCTAGCCTGGGCGACAGAGCGAGACTCCATCTCAAAAAAAAAAAAAAAAAACAAAAAACAATAAAAACATATCATTTCATTAAAATGACAGGAAATTGCTTTAGTCATAAGATACAGACTACAAATTATTCTTTGAAAAACATGTGTGGTGTAATGGGAATGATTTCAAAGTCAGGAGTCCCAGCTCTGTTATCTCTCACAAGACTTTTAAATCTGTCTTTGTTTTCTCATCTGAAAAATGGGGCTTTCCAAACAGGCTTGTGGTGAGAATCAATGAGATAATGCATGTGAAAGCACTTGTAAAACTGTAAGGCCTGCACATTATAAAGTACCTGTTTCAGATGGGAACTTGTATTTGTAACTTTTTTCCTTAGGAAAATCCAACTATTAGCATGTACTAATATTTTTAAAGTGTTCTTTTGGCTTAAAATATTTTTTTCTTAAGAAAAAATTTATCGGTATATTAAAAACATTAAAGTTGAGGACTAGATAATGAAAACAAATGTAAGGCAAATCATTTGCTATGAAACTGGTGTTATCTTTAAGTTCCTTGAAACATCTTTCTGTTTCTATATTATCAATAAACTCAAGGGAAATCAACACGAAAAAATTATCAGAACCCAAGGTCATTTCTCTTGTGTGCCCCAGTAACGAAATCATTAATGTGGTTTACATTGGCATACATCCTGACTCAAAGAAAGGTAACAAGCCTTAACCAGTCAAGCTTCAAGCAATAAAAGAATGTTTTACATCATATATTTACCCTTATTTACGCTGCTATGGACTCTGTTGGAGACATGAAAGAATGCAACATTTCTTAAATGATCAACATCACATCCTGTCATTACTCTGGAATCAATGTTGACCATTTAAAAAATTCTCTTTGAACAGTCATCTCATTGAAAGTTTTAGATCTGTGATAACATAGTAGCACCTGAAAAAGAATGATTTGTTTGAACAGTTAACTCATCACACCCCTTCTGCATTTTACTAAATGAAAGGCCATAGAATAAAATGAAAAAAAAAATCTGTTTTTCTTCCCACATCATTAAACTATTAACACGGGTATTCTCCAAGTTCTTTATCAGCGTGAGATTAATTAGTTATATCAGAAATGCAACCAGAGTTAATTGTTGGAAAAATAGGTTTTCTATCTTATCAAAGATGAAGCAGAGACACACTTAGCTATGTTAAAACCATAAATACAGGCAAAGTTTATAAAACTTAAACAAGGACTGCTTATACACAAACAGAACTTTTCCTTCCTGAGACTTCTGAACAGTTCCTGTGACTTCATTACTTTTGCCAGACATAGAGGCATTTTTTGAGATTGTGCAGGTTTTCTTTTTGGGTTACATTTAAAATAATAACATTTATTGAATTACACCATGAATTACATTTATTGAGTGCTTCCCCTAAGCTAAGCACAGCCTTAAGGCTATGTGTTTTACTTAATTCTCTCACCAACCCTATGAGGCAATAAACGGTTAGGTAATGCACTCAAGTCCACATAACTAGTAAGAGCCAAGATTCAATCTCACACTGTCTGACTCCAAAGCCAATGTTCTTAAGCACTGCATTAAACTCCTATGCGATAAAAAAGGGTGCCACAAGGGAAAGAATAGATTTAATTTTATTTTTCAGTTCCAGGCTCTTATATCAAGTATTTATCTAATAACTGCATTGTTATGCAGCTTTACAATCTACTCCTTTTGTAAAGAAATTTATGTAAGAAAAGATATGTAGAAGATATCACAATCTTAAAAAAAAACCTGATCGGAAAGCTAATTTTATAATGGAGTTTAAAACAAAAGTTGAAAGAAACATTCCTGAAGGAATTGGTACCATAACACCTGGTGGGGTGCAAATCAGTTTCCAGATTATAACATCTCCAAGACAGTGCTTGCCACCTGAAGACATTCGTTTTGTAATATTTGCACCGGTTTTCCTTGTGGAATGAAGCCAGACAACCAAATAATGGAAAAACGTAGTTTTCCTTTTTTTTTTTGGAGATGGAGTCTCACTCTGTCACCCAAGCTGGAGTGCAACGGCGCGATCTTGGCTCACTGCAACCTCCGCCTCCCGGGTTCAAGTGATTCGCCTACCTCAGCCTCACGAGTAGCTGGGATTACAGGCGCCCACCACCAGGCCCAGCTAATTATTGTATTTTTGGTACAGACGGGGTTTCACCATGTTGGCCAGGCTGGTCTGGAACTCCTGACCTCAGGTGATCCACCCGCCTCAGCCTCCCAAAGGGCTGGGATTATGGGCGTGAGCCACTGCGCCCGGCCAGTTTTCCTTTTTTCAGGTAATAGGGGTTACTTCAGAATGTTTGGAATGTCGACAAATTAGAATACACAGCTAAGTCACAGCTCCCTTCATCTTTTGTCACAAAGTATGCACAGATCCAGTCAACTAGGGCCTAGCAGTGAAGTAAATCTTGTTCCTGAAAGGTGTTTTTCCTTTTGTTAACATTTAGGAATAAGTAAGACTTTGTTAAGGTAGGATTCCACCCTCCCTACACCCCCACCCCCCAAAAAAAACTATTTCCAAAAGTTACCTTAATATGTGTAAGGCAGTGTGTTTTTAACATTATAACCAATGTTACATTGTTTGCCTTTCCAAGACCCCAGCTGAAGGCTGTTCCAACTGTCAGGCCCTTTCCCATTACAACATGGTGCTATTTTGCAACCATGACAAATGCTGGCAATAATGCGAACATTTACTGAACGCCATGTGGCAAGCCCAGTGGTATGCGCTTGACAAGCATGGCATCTTCAGGCCACCTCTGAGGTAGGTACTGTCATCATTATACGATTTTACGGATGAGGAAAGTGAGGCTGGAGAGTCTAACCCCTCCAAAGGCAAACACAGCAAGAAGGGCACGAATATGAACTCAGGTCTGCCCCCAAAGCCAGAGTATTTAACAACTTCTTCAAACTGTTCTCAAGGAAGAGTCGCCAAACCCCACAAAAATCACTCGATCACCCCTCTTCAGCATACAAAATGTAAAGCATCCGAACAGCCTGCACCTGCAACTTTACAGACCAAGTTGTAAGCTCTCTCTACTCCCACAAAAAAAGGGTGGGCTAGCGTGGGGTGGGGGGAGAAGGCAAGAATCGGTTCCCAGCAAAGTAAAAAGCGAGAAAAGGGCCAAGCGCCCACGAAAGAAACCAATCTAAACTCGAAGCAAAGGGACCTAAATGCTTTAGAACTAAAACGGCAGAAAACCAACCAAGAAAACGAAAATGAATTCAGCAGAAGACCGACACAAGGTAACAGAGCGCCGGTGCAAAGGAAGCGGTCACAACGGATGCTGTATTTTATTAAAACCACACAGGCAGACCAAGAAAGTCGCAAGAGTTGAAGGAAAAATGCAAAGTCGGCTCCACAGACCTCTGGTTTTCAGACCCGCTGCTCGGGGTGAAAGGCAGAGCGCGGCCCGCACCTTCTCTCGTTAAATAGCCATTCGAAACGCCACAGAGAACGAAAGGGCTGAGGAAAGTGTCCGCGCCTCCGGGACCGCCATCGAGTTACCACCACTCGCTTGCTGGGCGCGGCGCGTGGAGGGGGCGCTGGTGCGACTCGGCTGCCCTACTTGCCGTCGGCACCCAAGTTTGTGCCAAGTCACAACGCGCGTTATCGGCAGCAGCAACGCCACTTCAGCCTCGCCGCCGCGGCGCCGGCACTTATCGGCGCCCACGTCCCGCCCCGCGCGTCCGGGAAGGTTCCGCGCCGGGCCCCGCCCGTCCTCACCTGCCCAGCTCCCGGCCCGGGCACAGGCTGTAGCCGTCCTGGAAGGGCTCGGTGCGCACCACGGCGCGTATCTCTGTCAGCAGCCCGCGGGCCTGGGGCGGCGGCGGCGGCCGGCACGGCCCGCTCAGACCCCGGCCTGCCCGGCCCGAGCCTGAGGTGGCGCCTGGGGAGGAGCCGCCGCTGCCTGGCTTCTCCAAAGGGATCATGGTGTTCAGGCCCGCTTCTTTCCTGGCCGCCTGTTCACTCCGAGCAGCCGGAGGGTCACGGACCCGCCCCCGGCTCCTAGTGCCGGTCCGCGGAGCCTTCAAACACCCGCTCTCCCCAGCGCGGCGCTCGGACTGCGGCAGGCAGACTACCGGTAGCTCGGGCCCGCCCCGCGCCCCGCGACCGGCCCCGCCCCCGTGACCGCCCCGCGCCTGCCCTGCACCCTGCTTCTGGCCCCGGCCAACCCCTCCCCACGTCCGCCCCGCGCCCGACCCCGCCCCGGCCTCACTCCGTGGCCGCCCGCCCCCTCGCTGAGCTCCCGCGGGGTCCTGAGCGCCCGATGCCTCACGCGCGCCCTCTGCAGCTCAGGGGGAGAAGGTGCAGCTTTCGGGACGGCCCGGAGGCTGGAGGCGACTCACAGCACCACCCTTTGGCCAGGACAGCCTACTGCGTTAGCAGAGTTGCGCACCTGTTGAGCGTCTGAGAGTCACAAAAGCTGACCTTCGGTTAATAAAAGGCATTTGAGCTGTAAGCGGGACTTCACGTGGTGAGGAGGGGAGGGGTCTGGAGGCACTTCGGTTAATAAAAGGCATTTGAGCTGTAAGCAGGACTTCACGTGGTGGGGAGGGGTGATGAGATCCTGATCTCCGTACACTGGGAGAGGGGTCTGGAGGCAGAGTTGTATAAATATTATTAACCCTGCACACCGGCCCTATGAAATAGACACTATTATATTGTCTGTAGTCGTCTCTATATTTACTTTCGAGGTCCTCTCATCCGGTCTTACGACTTTAATTACCATCTATATGCTCATGACTACAGAATTTGTATCTCTAGCTTCCAAATATTCCCTGAACTTCAGACTGGTGTATTTGACTATGCATTTGGCATCTCCACTTACATGTCAAATTAGCATCTCAGACTTAACATACACAAAAGTAAGTTGCTGATTGGTCTTCATGAATGCACTCCTACCCAGCTTTCCCCGTCTCAGTTTTCTTCATCTCCTTCCTTCTAGCTGTTCAGGCCAAAAATCTTGGGATGAGCATTGATTCCTCTCTCATGCTCATCTCCAGTTTGTCAGTAAACCCTCTTGTCTTTTCCTTCAAACTAGATGCGGCGTTTGATCACTTCTCTCTATTTCCACCTTACCACCATGGCCTGAGCCATCGTTATCTCTTACCTGGATTATTGTGATAGTTTACTAACTGGACCACCTGCTTCCATCCTTCTTTCTCCCTAATGTCGCATAGTTCATTTTCAAGGCAATGAGAGTGATCTTTTAAAAATCGAAACCAAATCACACCACTGCTCTACTCAGACTGTCTCAGTGGAGTTTTGCTTCTGGCACTGATATACTAGTTTATTTGTGTTCAATATTCTCACTAAGAAAAAATAGAAAAGTTGACAAAAGTTAAAAATTTCCTCTCCCAGCAAGGACTTGGATGACTGAAATCCTGGAAAGATAGGCAGCTCAGAAAGCCACCACTTTTCCCATGAGGTATTTGATGATTTTAAAGCCATGGCTGAAAGAGTGAGAAAGTAAGCAGAGCTTTCAGTCATCTCATGGGGTTGGGGAGACAAAAAAAAAATTGGAGTTTAGGACCTATTTATGATGAGGGGCTGGTAAGCAACTAGGCTTTCAGCTGGGACTCCGAAGAGCTATACCCTAGGGGTGTGGATGAACGGGAAATAGACCCAAGGGCTGAAAACCAGCTTCAAATGGCAACAGTAAATATTCTCTCTGGGGAAAAAAAGCATCATTCAGAGCAACACATTACCCATATAATATTTTATACACCATGTCTGAAACTTAATTTAAACAAAGGACACAGAATTGTCTTAAAAACTAAGGGAAAAAGAAAACAGAAATAAACACACAGAAGATCCAGATATTAAAGTTTAAAGACAGATTTTAAAATAATTCTGTTAAATATCTTCAAGAAATTAAATTGCAAGATAAAGAGTTTTCAGCAGAGAACTGGAAACTCCAAAGAAGAATACAATGGAATTTTGGAATTGGAGAAAAAAACACACTAACTAAAACTACTACAGAATTATGGGCTTAATAACAGATGAGATACAACTTAAGCAAGAATTAGTGAAGCTAATAAGCAAAACAAAATATGAAAAATGACATACAAGAGATATGAAAGAACTTTCTATAAAAGAGATAAGGTCTCAGAAAGGAGACTATGACACATGTGATATGTGGTAAAACATTCTAACACACACGTAATTGGAATATCAGGAAGAGAGGTGAGAGAAAAAAGGAAAAGAAGCAGTATTTGAAAAGATAACGGCTGGAAATTTTTTAAAACTAATGAACAACAATTCTCAGAGTCAAGAAACATTATGAACATAGAGCAGGATTTCAAGCAAAGAAAACCATGTCTAGGCACATTGTAAACTACTGAGAAACAAAATCAAAAAGAAAAGGTTTAAAATCAGCAAAGAAAACAGAGATATAATCTGCAAATGAGCAACAATAAAATTAAAAGCTTATTCTCAAAGAACCAATGGAAGCCTAAACACCTTCAAATGTTTTCAAAGCGCTAGGAGAAATTACCTATCAACCTATATTATATACCCAGTAAAAATGATCTTCAAAATTGAAAATAAAATACAGCCAGTTTTATAACCAAGAAACACTAAGATCATCAGCTGATTTACATTAAAGGAAATTCCAAAAGGAGTTTTTCAGGCAGATGGAATATAATCCCAAATGAAATCATGGAGACATCTAAAGGAATGAAGAGCAATCAATCCTTTTATATATGGATAGATATAAATACATATATATATATGGATAGATATAAATAAACACAATTTATATAAAACAATAAAAATAACGTCATGTGAAGTTTAAATATATGTAGAATTAAAATATACACAATAGCAGCACAAAAAGTGAGATAGAGTAAATGAAAGTAAAGTGTTCTAAAGTCCTAGGATTGTATAGGAATTGATAAAAGTACTTGGCTTTAATACATCAATAATGAATATTATAATCTCTAGAATAACAGCAAAAGTAATAGAAAAAGAATGAATAACATGTAAAAAAGAGGGGAAATGAAAAAATAAAAAATAAAAGAAGCAAGAAAGGGAAAAAAGGAACACAGACAAGTAGAAACAAATAGATGATCACTTTGGGAAGCCAAGGAGGGTAGATCACCTGAGGTCAGGAGTTCGAGACCAGCCTGGTCAACATAGTGAAACCCCCATCTCTATTAAAATAAAACACAAAAAACGAGCTAGGCGTGGTGGTGGGCACCTGTAGTCCCAGCTACTCGGGAGGCTGAGGCAGGAGAATCACTTGAACCCAGGAGGCGGAGGCTGCAGTGAGCCGAGATTGTACCACTGCACTCCAGCCTGGGCAGCAGAGTGAAACTCTGTCTCAAAAAAAAAAAAAAAGGTAAATTTTTTAAAACAGGAGGGTTTTTTGGCAAGTACATTAAATATAAATGGAATCTATACTCCAGTTAAAAGGCAAATGCTATGGACAGAATTAAAAATAATATCAATTATATGTTGCTTGTAAGAGACACCTCAAATAAAAGGCTACAGAAAGATTGAAAGGATGGAAAGAATTATGCCATGTAAATACAGGCATATCTCATTTTATTGCAATTTGCTTTATTGCACTTTGCAGATATTACATTTTTTACGAACTGAAGGTTTGTGGCAACCTTGCATCAAGCAAGTCTACCAGTGCCATTTTTCCAACAGTATGTGCTGTCTTCATTTCTTTCTGTCACATTTTGGTAATTCTCACTATGTTTCAAACTTTATTATTACTATTATATCTGTTATGGTGGACCGTGATCTTTGATCTTTGATGTTATTATTGTAATTGCTTTTGGGTACCATGAATTGCACTCATGCAAAGTTAATTGATAAATGTGTGTGATCTAACTGCTCCACCAATCAGCCCCCCATTTCTCTTCCTCTCCTCAGGCCTCCCTATTCTCTGAAACACAACAATATTGAAATAGACCAATTAAAAACCCTAAAACAGCCTCTAAGTGTTCAAGTGAAAGGAAGATTCCCATGTCTTTTACTTGAAATAAAAGCTCAAAATGGTTAAGCTTAGTGAGGAAGGCATGTAGAAAGCCAAGATGGGCTGAAAGCTAGGCCTCTTGAGCCAGTTAGCCAAATTGTGAATACAAAGGAAAAGTTCTGGAAGGGAATTAAAAATACTACCCCAGTGAACATATTAAAAATACTACCCCAGTGAACATAGGAATGATAAAAATAGTGAAACAGCCTTCTTGCTGATATGGAGAAAGTTTGAGTGGTCTGGATAGAAGATCAAACCAGCCACAAGATTCCCTTAAGCCAAAGCCTAATCCAGAGCAAGGCTTTACCTCTCTTCAATTCTCTGAAGGCTGAGAGAGGTTAGGCAGCTGCCAAAGAAAAGTTTGAAGTTAGCAGAGGTTGATTCATGAGATTTAAGGAAAGAGACTATCTGCATAACATAAAAGTTCAAGGTGAAGTAGTAAGTGCTGATGTAGAAGCTGCAGGAATTTATTTAGAAGATCTAGCTCAAGTAATTGATGAAGAGAGCTATATGAAACAACAGGTTTTCAGTGTAGATTAAATGACTTTCTATTGGAAGAAGATGTCATCTAAGACTCAGAGTTAGAGAGTAAAAGTCCAGGCTTGGCTTCAAAGCTTCAAAGGACAGGCTGACTCCCTTGTTAGGGGCTAATGCAGCTCATGACTCTAAGGTGAAGCCGATGCTCTTTGACCACTCTAAAAATTCTAGGGCCTTTAAGAATTATGCCAAATCTACTCTGCCTATGCTCTAGAAATCGAAAAACAAAGGCTGGATGACAGCACATGTATTTACAACATAGTCTACTGAACATTTTAAGCCCAGTCTGGAGACCTAGTGCTCAGAAAAAAAAAATAGATTCCTTTCAAAATATTACTGCTCATTGACAATGTACCAACAACCCAAGAGCTCTGATGGAAATGTGCAAGGAGATGAATATTGTTTTCATGCCTGCTAACACAACATCCATTCTGCTGTCCATGGAACAAGGAGTAATTTTGACTTCCAAGTCTTGTTACTTCAGAAATATATTTTGTAAGGCTGTAGCTGCCATAGATAGTGAATCTTCTGATGGATCTGGGCAAAGTCAATTGAAAATCTTCTGACCATTTTAGATGTCATTAAGAGAATTCATGGTTCATGGGAGGAGTTAAAAATATCAACATTAACAGGAATTTGAGGAAGTTGATTCCAATCCTCATGGATGACTTTGAGGGGCTCAAGACATCAGTGGAAGATGCTTGTTATAGATGAGCAAAGAAAGTGGTTTCCTGAGATGGAATCTACTCCTGTTGAAGATGCCGTAAACACTGTTGAAATGACAACAAACGATTTAGAATATTACATAAACTTAGTTGATAAAATGGTGGCAATTTTGATTCCAATTTTGAAGGAAGTCCTACTGATAGAGGCAAGAGGCAGACAAAGGCCTAGGCAGATAGGGAAGGGTCCCCGGAGAATCTCCAACTCGCCCCACAAGTGTTTACATCAGATGTTTTGTGCAGATAAGGGAACCTGCACAGGGGACTTGCCTGAGCATGCCCGCAGTGAACTGGAGGCCCACAAGCACTGGGGGAATGGGGTGGAGCCACCAGGAATTCGTGTCTTATGCAGGGGAGGAGCCTGGCTAAGGAGCCTAGATAAGGAGCAAAAAAATCCTGCATCACTACTGTGTGGGTAAAATGCTATCAAACAGCATTGCATGCTACAGAGGAATCTTTTGTGAAAGAAAGGGTCAATCAATGTGGCAAACATCATCTTTGTCTTATATTAAGAAATTGCTACAGCCACCCTAACCTTCAGCTACCACCACCTTGATCAGTCAGTTGCCATCAGCATGGAGGCAAGACCCCTCACCAGCAAAAAAATTACAACTTACTGAAGGCTGAGATGATCAATAGCACTTTTTAGCAATATAGTATTTTAAAATTAATGTATGTTGTTTCGCATATACATTCATTTAAAATGTACAATGTATGTACATTGTTTTTCTAGACATAATGCTATTGCTCACTTAATAGACCATAGAATAGTGTAGACATAACTTATATATGCACTGGGAAACCAAAAAATTTGTGTGACTTGCTTTATTATGATATTATTACTGCAGTAGTCTGGAACTGAATCTGCAATATCTCTGGGTTATGTATGCCTATTGTGCCTAATAGAAAATTGGTTGTACCTATAAAAATATTAGACAAAGTAGATGTTAAGGCAAGAAGTATTATAAGAGATAAAATGCATTAGTGAAAAAAGAATCAATTCAATGCTATCTTTAAAAGATAGTATTGAAATATACGAAGCAAAATGACAGAACTAAAAGGAGAAATACACAAATCTACCATCACAACCTGAGATTTTTAACACATTCCTCTCTGTAACTGATAGAACAAGCAGGGAAAAAAATAGAAAGGACATAGAAGCATTGAACAACACAATGAACAAAATTGACATGATACACATACAACACTACAGAATATATATTATTTTGCTGCAAAAAGAATATTTATTGATTATGTAGTGGGTCGTAAAGCACTTTTCAACAATTTTAAAGGACTGAAATTCTATAGAGTATGCCCTATCATCATAGTGGAATTAAGGAAGAAACCAAATGTCATCTATTATTTTGATATAAAACAACCACAACCAAAAGCCACAATCACAAATAAGTGGAAATTGGCCAATTTACTTCTCATCTATGTTGACAGAAAATGCTGGGAAAAAACATTGCATAATATTCAATACCCACTCATGACTGATTAAAATAGAAGGGAATTTCCTAAACTTAAGAAGATACATCTCTAAAAAACCTACAGAAGTATTATCGTTGAAGTCAGAGGCACAGCAAAGTTACGTGCTATCACGACTCTTATTCAGTGTTGCAGTTGAGAACCTAAATAGTGCAGTAAGACACTCTGGCATTAATATTGGAAAGGAAGAATTTAAATGGTCATGAAGGAATAGTCACAATTGTTAAATGTAGAGAATTCTATATTCTACTTCTAGAATATCCAAAAGAATAAACTGGACCGGGCTCATGCCTGTAATCCTAACACTTTGGGAGACCGAGGTGGGAAGATCGCTTGAGCTTAGGAGTTTGAAACCAGCCTGGGCAACATAGTGAAACCTTGTTTCTATTAATGCTATTTTAAAATGTAATAAAAAAGGGCTGGGTGTGATGGCTCATGCCTGTAATCCCACCACTTTGGGAGGGAGGCCGAGGTGGGTGGATTGCTTGAGGTCAGGAGTTCAAGACCAGCCTGATCAACATGGTGAAACCCCGTCTCTACTAAAAATACAAAAATTAGCCGGGCATGGTGGCGGGCATCTGTAATTCCAGCTACTCGGGAGGCTGAGGCATAAGAATCGCTTAAACCCGGGAGGTGTAGGTTGCAGTGAGCCAGGATAGTGCCACTGCACTCCAGCCTGGGTGACAGCATGAGACCCCATCTCAAAAAAGAAAATTTTAAAATAAAAGAAAATAAATAAATAAGTAAAATGTAATAAAAAAGAATCAACTGAAAAATATTAAAATTAATATATTTTAAAAGACAATTAGGTTTAATAAAAATAAATCAATAGCATTCCTACATAATAACAATGAGATATGAAAGCTAATGGGGAACTATTCCATTTGAATAAAATGAAAATAAAGCATGCAGAAACGACCCTCACAAAAATGCACAAAGCTTATATTTTATTTTAAAGAATGTATCTATTCTAAGAGACATAAACAAATGCTTCAATAGAGATACATAGATGAAAAGATTAGATTCTGTAATTCTTTGGAAATAAATCAGTATCTTTAACAAAATTCTAATAAGTCTCAAAAATATGTCTTTTGGAATGTGTTAAAATTATCTCAGAGTTCATCATGAAGAATATCCAAATGAGTGTAGCTAGAAAATTTTTGCAAAAGAAAGTCGTAAGGAGAGAACTGTCCTAACATATTAAAATACAGTATGAAATAAGATAGCTCAACATAGCAGAATAGTTTTGAAATAGAGTTATAATATTTAAGAAACCACAATAAGCCCCAAATCTTCTAAATCATTAAATGTAAAACAAACAAACAAAAACTACAAAATCTAGAAAGAAATGACACATAACAATTAGCTGACTTTTTCTTTTTTTGTTGTTTTTTTGACACGGGGTCTCACTGTTGCCCAGACTGGAGTGGAGTGGTGCCAGCTCGGCTCACTGCAACCTCTGCCTCCTGGATTGAAGCGATTCTCTTGCCTCGGCCTCCCGAGTAGCTGGGATTACAGGCATGTGCCA
Source organism: Homo sapiens (assembly GCF_000001405.40). Classification (NCBI taxonomy): domain Eukaryota; kingdom Metazoa; phylum Chordata; class Mammalia; order Primates; family Hominidae; genus Homo; species Homo sapiens. The sequence continues at coordinate 43,574,910 of NC_000007.14, read as the reverse complement.
CCATGCTTGGCTAATTTTTGTATTTTTAGTAGAGACAGGTTTTTGCCATGTTGGCTAGGTTGGTCTTGAACTCCTGGCCTCAAATGATCCATCCTCCTTGGCCTCCCAAAGTGCTGGAATTACAGGCATTAGTCACTTTGCCTGGCCTTGACAATTAGCTGATTTCTGAAAGAAAAAGTAACTTCTAAGAAATAAAGCAGTGGAAAAAAACTCCAAGAAAAATATTTGACTACCTAATAATTCAAAAATCATTGCATATCAAAAAATGTTATATGCAAAGTTAGAAGGCAAACAAGCTGGAAATACATTAGCAAAAAGCATTATAGATAAAAATCATACCCTAAATGAAGAACATATAATAAGAGGTGTGCCAACACTATATTAGAAAGAGGTCAAAGAAAATAAAAGATTTTTTTATAGTGAAATGTTCAAATTTAATTTATATTTCCTGGAGAAATATAAATGGGGTTTCATTTTTGCCAATAAAATTGGCAAAGATTTTTAGGGTAATTCAATGCCCATTGTTAGTGATAATGGGGAGAAAGACTGGAAAGATAAAAACCCAAGTGCTTTTTGTTTCCTTGTGTTGTTCTGATCTGTGTTTTTCTGTATAGAGCGCTATACCTGATTTTATCAGATATTCTTACCTGGCCCACCTGTTTTAATATCAACCTGAGTTTATCTTTATCAAATTGCATTATAAGTGTATACTTTCTTTCTTCCTAGTTAGATCAGAAGGGACCATTTATTCTATATCCTCAGTGTGTATAAGTGACACTTTGTAAATATTGATGAATAGATGTGGTTGAATTGAGTATGCAATGCTCTTACTATCCGAGTAAGATAATGGTTAAATGAATTTTGATATATTTACCTGATAGGTTATTATGCAATACTTTTTTTTTTTTGAGATGGAGTTTCTCTTTTGTTGCCCAGGCTGGAGTGCAATAGTGTGATCTCAGCTCACTGCAACCTCCGCCTCCTGGGTTCAAGCTATGCTCCTTCCTCAGCCTCCCAAGTAGCTGGGATTACAAGCATGCACCACCATGCCCAGCTAATTTTGTATTTTTAGTAGAGATGGGGCTTCCCCATGTTGGTCAGGCTGGTCTCGAACTCCCCACCTCAGGTGATCCGCCTTCCTTGGCCTCCCAAAGTTCTGGGATTACAGGCGTGAGCCACCGTGCCTGGCACTTACATATCAACCTTTTGAAAAAGATTTTTAGGGTAGAAAATCAGTTTTCTTAGGTCAATCTGACAGAAGTTTAATCTAAAAAAAATCAACTGGGCAATATTTTTAAACATACAATTATAATAAAAGTATACTTTGTAAATATA